>NC_000024.10:22413772-23022264 GCF_000001405.40 Homo sapiens
TCTGAACTTACCTGTTGTGGGTATTTAACGTTAATGTGCTCAAACACTACATGACTTTTTGTATTTGTCTCCTCTCCTTTTGCATGATGTCCTGAAGGTTCATTTACATCATAGCACTTCACTCCTTCCACAAGCTATTAACCCATTATTTTATCTGCATTGTTTCCACCCGAGTATTTCTACGCACCAATATTCGTTTGAGTATGCTTATTCGGTTCTGGGTGTATATGAGTGGAATTGCATGGTCCTATGATAATGATGTTTGTTTTCTTGAGGAACCACCACATTTCTCCATAGTAGCTGCATCATTTCCCGTTCCAACCTAGCATTGTATCAGCATTCCAATTTATCTACATCCTCTCAAACACTTGTTATTTCCTGCTGTTTGAAATTTATTGCCATTCAAATGTGTGTTTGAAATATGATATCCCATTTTGGACTTGAAATGCATTTTCTGCACCCATTAACTCATCATGCACATGTATCCTAGAACTTAAAGTATAATGAAACAAAAAGAAATGCATTTTCTGAATCGCTGAATATGAGTATCAGTCCCGTGTGCTTTTTGGGCATTTGCCGATTTTATTTGGAGAAATATCTGTTTAGATGTTTGGCCTTTTAATTTTGTTTAAGTTGTAAGTTAGTCATGTATTGGATACTAGAAGTTGAAAATTTAAAATTTGTTGCTTAAACTTATGCACACAGAAATCATCCAAGTTGCCAAGAAACGAGGGATTATGCTCCACCATCTAGAGGCTATGCATACCGTGATAATGGTCATTCTAATCGGGATGAACATTCCTCTAGAGGATATAGGTACTGTAACTTTTTCTGGATTTGTGAAATAGATTTCTTAAATTGCTCATTCCAACTAACGTTCTGTCAGGGCTCCAATTTATCTACATCCTCTCAAACACTTGTTATTTCCTGCTTTTGAAAATTTATTGCCCTTCCAGTGTGTGCGTATGAAATATGATATCTCATTTTGGATTTGAAATGCATTTTCTGCACCCATTAACTCATCATGCACATGGACCCTAGAACTTAAAGTATAATAAAAAAAAAAGAAATGCGTCTTCTGAATCACTGAATATGAGTATCTGTCCCATGTGCATCTTGGGCATTTGCCCATTTTATTTGGAGAAATATCCATTGAGATGTTTGGCCTTTTAATTTTGTTTAAGTTGTAAGTTAGTCATATATCGGATACTAGAAGTTGAAAATTTAAAATTTGTTGCTTAAACTTATGCATACAGAAATCATCGAAGTTCCCGAGAAACTAGGGATTATGCTCCACCATCTAGAGGCCATGCATACCGTGATTATGGTCATTCTCGTCGGGATGAAAGTTATTCTAGAGGATACAGGTACTGTAACTTTTTGTGGATTTGTCAAATAGATTTCTTAAATTGTTCATTCCAACTAACATTGTATCAGGGCTCCAATTTATCTACATCCTCTCCAACACTTGTTATTTCCTGCTTTTGAAAATTTATTGCCATTCATCTGTGTGTGAAATATGATATCCCATTTTGGATTTGAAATGCATTTTCTGCACCCATTAACTCATCATGCACATGGACCCTAGAACTTAAAGTATAATAAAAAAAAGAAATGCATTTTCTGAATCACTGAATATGAGTATCTGTCCCATGTGCTTTTTGGGCGTTTGCCCATTTTATTTGGAGAAATATCTATTTAGATGTTTGGCCTTTTAATTTTGTTTAAGTTGTAAGTTAGTCATATATCGGATACTACAAGTTGAAAATTTAAAATTTGTTGCTTAAACTTATGCATACAGAAATCATCGAAGTTCCCGAGAAACTAGGGAGTATGCTCCACCATCTAGAGGCCATGGATACCGTGATTATGGTCATTCTCGTCGACATGAAAGTTATTCTAGAGGATATAGGTACTGTAATTTTTCTGGATTTGTCAAATAGATTTCTTAAATTGTTCATTCCAACTAACATTGTATCAGGGCTCCAATTTATCTACATCCTCTCAAACACTTGTTATTTCCTGCTTTTGAAAATCTATTGCCATTCATCTGTGTGTGTGAAATATGATATCTCATTTTGGATTTGAAATGCATTTTCTGCACCCATTAACTCATCATGCACATGTATGCTAGAACTTAAAGTATAATAAAACAAAAAGAAATGCATTTTCTGAATCACTGAATATGAGTATCTGTCACTTGTCCTTTTTGGGCATTTGCCTATTTTATTTGGAGAAATACCTATTTAGATGTTTGGCCTTTTAATTTAAAGTTGTAAGTTAGTCATGTATTCGATACTAGAAGATGAAAATTTAAAATTTGTTGCTTAAACTTATGCACACACAAATCATCCAAGTTCCCGAGAAACTAGGGATTATGCTCCACCATCTAGAGGCTAGGCATACTGAGACTATGGTCATTCTAGGCAGGATGAACATTCCTCTAGAGGATATAGATACTGTAACTTTTTCTGGATTTATCAAATAGATTTCTTAAATTGTTCATTCCAACTAACATTGTATCAGGGCTGCAATTTATCTACATCCTCTCAAACACTTGTTATTTCCTGCTTTTGTAAGTTTTTTGCCCTTCCAGTGTGTGTGTGTGTGAAGTGTGGAAGCTCCTTTTTTATTTGAAATGCATTTCCTGAATCACTGATTATGAGTATCTGTTTCATGTGCTTTTTGGGCATTTGGGCATTTTGGGCATTTGGGCTCTGTGGGCATTTTATTTAGATGTTTGGCAATTTAATTGTGTTTAAGTTGTAATGTAGTTATGTTTTGGATACTAGAAGGTGACAATTTAAAATTCCTTGCTTCAACTCGTGCACGCAGAAATCATCCAAGTTCCCGAGAAACCAGGGATTATGCTCCACCACATAGAGACTATGCATACCGTGATTATGGTCATTCTAGTTGGGATGAACATTCCTCTAGAGGATATAGGTACTAACATGTTATCTGGATTTATCAAATGGATTTCTTAAATTGTTCATTCTGAAATTGAAAAGACTTTTTTTTTTTCAATTTAGTTATCATGATGGCTACGGTGAGGCCCTTGGTAGAGATCATTCTGAACATCTAAGTGGAAGTTCTTATAGAGATGCACTTCAGAGATACGGTAAGGGTCCAGGATGGATTTGTAAATTACAGAATTTTATTTAATAGACCAGATTGTTATTTTAATGAAATTCTAAGGAAAATTGTAAAGGGCATATGCAACATGTTTAAATATTGAGTATTCTTAACAGTATAAAGCCTAGGGAATGATATGAAGGTGAGAACTTCAGTTAACGTTAAGAAAATGTGACTGAGCATTTACTTTAGAATTAAGTTTGTTAAGCTGCAAAATACTACTCTTACACTTCTCTTAAATAAAACCTTCTGACTATTAAAGACTTGATTAATATCCTGTCAACAAAGGCGGAGGAAAGCAGATATTTCCAAATAGTACTTTAACTAATTCATGCTTTAATGATAGCAGTAAAAATGTTTAAATGTAGTCCCACATATTATTTTACCAACCCTGCAGGGACCTCTCATGGTGCACCACCTGCAAGAGGGCCTCGGATGTCTTATGGTGGAAGCACCTGCCACGCATATAGTAATACACGAGATAGATATGGCAGAAGTTGGGAGAGTTACTCGAGCTGTGGTGATTTTCATTATTGTGATCGTGAGCATGTTTGCAGAAAAGACCAAAGGAATCCGCCTTCTCTGGGTAGGGTGCTCCCTGATCCTCGTGAAGCATATGGTAGCTCAAGTTATGTGGCATCTATAGTAGATGGTGGGGAGAGTCGATCTGAAAAAGGAGACTCGAGCAGATATTAAAGCAAGCATTGAAAATAATAGTTATTGCATACCAATCCTTGTTTGCAAATCAAAAATTGAAATGTTATTTCTGCATTGTTACCTGCATATTACTGAAAGAAACATGTTGGTTTTGTGGAGAGAGGTAGATACTAACTTCCTCCATGAATTTTTTGAGGTATTCAAAGGAAAAGGAATTGTTTTCAAAGTAATTTCATACTTGTTGATGCTATTTGAAAAGTGTTTAGATGTAATATCTACCTTAAAATTTTCACAATAAAATTTTACATGTACTGCAAGATGCCTGGTGTTATTGTTAGCCGCGCATGCTTAAAGCAAATTCAATAGGAGAGTAAATTGTGTAGTCTGTTGTACATTTTCCTTTGTTTGTTTGAACATAGGTACAAAATTAGGGATGTGTTATGTCGCCCTTGCAAGCTGCTCAAGTTTTCTAATTAGGCTGTTTCTCTTTAAAAACTAACAAGGTTAAAATGTTGGAGAAGTCTTCAGAAAGACTACAAAACCGTCTGCCTCACCATAAAACGTTTATTTTTTAGAGGAATAGTACAGGTCAAAGGAAATCATTAGATGTATTGATACTAAAGTTTAAGACATCCGGAACATTCTATGTGAAGCATTCTGTGACTGAAGAGGATAACGGTAATGAAAACTTTTTTTTTTCACCTAAATCAGAAGTGAACCAGCTAAGTTTCTCAGGCGCGTAGCATAATGAATTTAAATGTTCGTAGTTTGAATAGTGGAAAGTAAGTGTTTTGTCTTGTGAGGTTCCCACGTTAATTTTTTCTTGAATATTTTGACAGTGGATGTTGTAAGTAATGGTTTAGTAATATGTTCTTACAGATAGGAATAATCTAGAGTGGTTGGGATAGTATCAGTTTTTTTTGAGATGAAGTGTACAGCTTTGTCGCCGAGGCTGGGGTGCAGTGGCTCTGTCTTGGCTTATGGCAACCGCTGCCTTCTGGATCCAAGCTATTCTCCTGCCTCAGCATCCTGAGTAACTGGTATTAGATATGTGTGCCGCACAGCGGGGCCAATTTTTGTATTTTTAGTGCAGACAGCGTTTCACCTTGTTTGCCAGGCTGTTCTTAAAATCCTGATCCACCCTCCTCAGACTCCCGAAGTGCTAAGATTATAGGCATGTGCCACCACTGTCAGCCTATCGTATTTAATTGATAATATGAATGGAAACGCTTTAAACCTCATACTTAGGGGAAAGTGAAGTGTATAAAACATAAACAACAGCATAAAGTTTCCGACGGGATTGCTTAAAGTTTTAAGACATCACTGAATGATACAAATATTTAGACCGAAATAACTAAATGAATTAATTTTCCTGATTATACAAACTAAAGAAATGAAATACATCAAGTTCCAGAAGTTTTGCAGTCCATAATTCTTACAATTGACAGACTAATCTGCAAGGAGGAAGTATTTTCTTGAAAAATTTTGACACAATCATCAATTTTTACAGGGTAAGGGTACAAATAATTTTAAAGGGAGAAGTTACCAACTTTGATTTTCAAGTGAGTTATTCATGTTATGGAGTGTTTTCATTCACCTGTAGCATTGTGAGGATGAAGTGAAAAGATAAATCTCCCGAGTCTTGTGTATCTTACTGTCCATGTGTGACGGCTCAGGTCTCTAATTCTAACACTTGGGGAGGCCGAGGCTTGCAGAGCACTTTAGGACAGGAGTTGAAGACCAGGCTGGCCAACACCATGAAACCCCATCTCTACCAAAAATACAAAAATTAGCCGGGCATGGTGGTGCCTGCCTGTAGTACGTTGCAGTTAATTGGGAGGCTCAGGCAGGACAGTGGTTTGAACCTGGGAGCCTGATGCTGCGGTGAGCCGATATTGCACCATGCACTCTAGCCTGGGTGACAGAGTGCGACTCCAACACAAAAATAATTATATCAATGAACAAATATATACATAATAAATAGGGTATCCTTCAGTTCAAGCACTTACCGATTCTTTTTTCTTTTTTAGAGACAAGGTCTCACACTGTTGTCCAGCCTAGACTGCAGTGGCACCATCATAGCTCACTGCAGCTTTGAACACGGGCTTGAAATGTGCAAGCCTTCCATTTCAGCCTCCCAAGTAGCTGGAATTACAGACACACACCAACCACCGTGCCCAGCTTTTGTGTTTGTGTGTGTGTGGTAGGGACAATGCTTTGGATATATTGTTCAGGCTGGTCTCAAACTCCCAGACCGAAATAATCCTCCTTCCCTGGCTTCCCAAAGTGTTGTGATTATAGCCGTGAGCCACTGAGTCTGGCATATCTTTTCTCATTATGAGCGACATTCCACCTCACTGAGTCTGGCGTATCTTTTCTTGGTATCAGCGACATTCCACCTTCGCTCTATTAATTATTTTGAGATGTACAATAAATCATTATTAAGTGTAGTCATCCTGTGCCACTGAACACTAGATATTATTCCTTCTAAGCAAGTATAATTTAACCCACCCCCATCCCCTCTTTGATCCCTCGCTTACCAGTTCACATTACTTGTATCAAAATATCACATGTATGCCAAAAGTATCTACAACTGTTAGGTACAAATTTTCATTCCCTTCCTCCTTCCCTCCCTTCCTTTCTTCCTTCCTGTCTTTCTTTCTTTTTGTCTCTGTATCTTTTTCTCTCACTGATTTTTTTTTTTTTTAAGAAAGAATCCTGCCCTGTCACCTAGGCTGGAGTGCAGTGGCGTGATCTCAGCTCACTGCTCCCTCCTTATCACGGGTTCAAGCAATTGTCCAGTCACACCCTCCTAAGCAGCTGCGACTGCAATCATGTGACACCAATCCTGGCAAATATTTTGTATTTTCAGTAGAGACCAGGTTTCACAATATTTGCTCAGGCTGGTCTTGAATTCCTTTCCTTTAGTGATCCACCCACATCAGCCTCTCAAAATGCTGGGATCCAGGCATGAGCCACAGTGCCCACCCAGTGGTATGCATTTCTCTCTCCCGTGATCTCTCCTATTTTATTATTTTATTCTCTTTTTATTTCTGAGACAGCGTCTCGCTCTGGTGCCCAGGCTGGAGCACAGTGGTGTGATCTCACTTTACTGCAAACTCCATCACCAGGGTTCAATGGATTCTCCTGCATCAGCCTTCCAAGTAGCTGGGATAACATCCACGGGCCACCAAGCTTGGCTAGCTTTGGTATGATACTAGACGTGGCATCTTGTCATGTCTAATTTCGTATCTGTTTTAAAGCTCGATTGATAAGCAATATTGACTTCCTGGAATGTTTTATGTTTACAAAACAATTATAGTACTACTATTTAGCCTCCTCAGATAAAATATGGTAACACACAAAGCATACACACACAGACAAAGACACAGTCAGTGATCAAAAAAAATCAGTGTAGGCCACGACCTAAATGAAAGGTGAGCTGCTGCAGTTGCCTAGAATTAAAGCAGACCAGAGTTGACCCATACCAGGCTGAGAGATGTGAACAGAGGCTTTCCAACAACTCTATCAGATACATGTTAGATTATTCTCCAGCCATAGCGAAGGGACATTAAAGATCTGTTGTGCTTAGAAGAGTCTCGATGATTTGACTTTTCCAGGGTATTAGCATTCATGATGTTGGCCTTTACAGCTCTCTGCAATGAAGTCAGTAGAC
Source organism: Homo sapiens (assembly GCF_000001405.40). NCBI lineage: Eukaryota > Metazoa > Chordata > Mammalia > Primates > Hominidae > Homo > Homo sapiens. Next base: position 22,421,241 of record NC_000024.10, read on the forward strand.
AACACAGTTTTTCTAGGAGTCTAAAGTGCTTTTCAGAATTATCTAAAACTTAGTGGCTTAAAACCATAATTATAATTTACTAACTGTCAGTCTCTGCAATCGCCCTCAGTCTCTCAGCCAAATGAATGTGGTTCAGGGGCACTCAGGAGTTTACAATCTAGTGACGGCTCAGGATGGGGACATTGTCAGGTGTCTTCTCATCTCCCTGGTGCCATAGCTAGCATAACTCAAATTGTGGGGCTGGACTGCTGAGATTCTTGGGCATCTCCTTCTATTTCTATGCATCTCTCCATGGGATGTCCCTACTGCATAGTGTTATCAGGGTGTTAGACTTCATAATGTCCTGGTCCATGGCTTCCAAGGGGTTTGTCCCCATGAGAGCAGGAGACTTAGGCAGAGCTGTATCACCTTGTCTAACCTAGGCCAGAGGTGGCCCAGTATCCAGAAAATGCTTTCACTGTTTTCTATTAATTAGAAGCAAGTACTGTGTTCAGTTACATCAGGAATAATTTCAAATTGGTTTGTGAAGAATTTCAAAGTGTATTTTAGACCACTACTGTGGCCATGCCTAATAATTACTTATTTTTTTAAGTGCTGGATGGGTTTTACCCAACGTAATAGCTGATACAGACTTTTAACCTTGAAACCTTTATGTAATAGCTCCAAACATTTGGTTATATGTTGAAATAACTCTCAAGCAAAAATTGATTTTGAAATTAGAGCTACAAATCTATAAAACAAATGAGATAATGTCATAAATATCTGCATGAAATGCTTATAAAGAGATCAGCCTTAAAAATATTATGAAGTCTAATATGCCACTCTTTTACTATTTCTATGGCTATTACTTGGACAGGAGGACAAGGACTCAGGGGTCTGCTGGTCAGTCTCTGGACCTTGAAACAGTGGCTGGGGCCCCAGGAGTAACACTTCGGGCCATACCATGTAGTGAGGATGAGGAGTCCACCTGGGTTAAGGGGAGTGTCACTATATATATCGCTATATGAATATATATATATATATGTACACACACATATATAAAACACTATATCAGAAACTCAGTAGTCATAGTAAAATCAAAAAATAATCATAGTCAATTTGATCTCATACCTAGACTGAAATATGAAACTTCAAAAGAAAAGAAAGTTAAGAACTTTGGGCTTGTCAAAATTTTCCTACATAGATACAATTATTGGTGACTTTCTTTCACTAGAAAACATAAACAAACATCCATGTTTTGTATATGTGTAAATGAAAATATTTTTATTTCTATCAGTTGTGACATGCAAGCAAGTAATAAAGTGAAAGTACAATAATAAATCATAAAATTATATAAGGACATTTCTGTGTCAAAAAATTCCATTGAGACTATTAATTTTATAAAACCATAGAGAATGCTTCATGAAACTACATTAAATAGTACTTTTTAGTATTTCACTTAATTTTAAAAGTCAACAAATTAAAGGAAATTCTGAATCATTATTTCTTACCAATATCATTATTCTACTCAACAAATTCTTTTGAGATTAAATATTTTAAATAAAACATTAAAAACAAATTGTATTCACTGATACCAGCTTTTGATGAAATAATACTTCTGTATTTGTAATCATGTGAAATATATCTTTCTCCTCACAATGGATCTTTTATAACACCAGTGTTATTATTTTCTCTGATAAAAACCCTGTGATACCTCAGGGCTTTACTGTGTCCATACATTACATGCCTCCAGAGAGTAGGCTTCAAACAGATGGAAAAATTATATTTGTGACAAAATTCTAGGAAAGGGAATGATAAAATGGGAGAATAATTTCTAAATTTCTAACTGTTCATCAATGGATTTGGATATATTTAGATATAGACAAATATATGCACACTGCAAGTTTGCACATGTGTATATAAATTTATATGAGATACCCATAACGTGTGGGTTGTATAATCTTTTAATTAATTCTCAATTTTACATGTGGAAAACTTGATTAAGTGTTTACCCTCATCAAATACTCAGTTTGAAGTACTATACTCAATTTGATGTAAAGCCAGCAAAATCTCTGCCAACATTCATTTCAATTAATCCAATAATGTTAACTGTTGATAACTTCATTCTCCTTGTCCCCTGTTAACAGCTGAAAGTTGATTCTCACCCTAATTCAGCAATCAGGGTGTCATCCTCAAGAGACTATCACCTTGCTTTGGATTGTGACCTCTGACTCCACCACTTTCATCCTATAGCAGTCCTACCTTTGTGTATTTAATCAACTTTGTACATGGTTAAAAAAATAAAAGTGCAGTGAAATGTCAGGCCATGCTGTGAAATGTTCCAGTGTTTCTATATCTCAAATTGACCTTTCATGTTATAGAAGATAAGAAAAACAATTCATTTCTTAGTATTCAGTCCAATGCACCCTTTCTTATTAATATGCCAAACCTGTCCCTTCAAGGCACTGACATCCAAGCACAGCTAGACGTATCAAAATTTATTCTCAACAATAACCATTATGTTAATAACTGTTGCCCAGATCTGGACCCTGCCTGTGAAATCTTTGGTTAGAAGTTGCTATAATGGCTCAAGCTAGGGGAATGACTATTTTTTTTGGCATAATTACTGCTGTCATCTTACTGAAAAAATATCACATTAGATGACAGCTTTTAGTTAGATCAATTCTGTTGATTCATTTTTAATGTCTATCATTTATGATATTGCACAAGTAAAGATCTTTGATAACTTAAATGGTTAACTGAGAAATGACTAAAATAACTCACAGCAATTCAAACATTCATTTACTTACTAGAAGTGCCATACATCATTAACTTCAGATGAAAACAAAGTTGGGAAATTGTGAGTGCTAAATTGCTTACTAAAGTATGTATTTCAGGGTATTTTATAAAACTATCCATGCCACGTATGATGCTTCACCAGCAAGGATAAAGCTTTAGCCTATATAAAAAATAGTCTTTGGTTCTTAATACATCTGTACATTTGTCTCCATAGCCTCAAAACAAGTCACCCATGTACTTGACTTTCAGCTGAGTTGACTACCAGTTATTAGGATTTAAGCAAACAGAATAAAGATTTCAAAATCTGGTGACCAAATATGAGAAATCACACTCTCACCATAAGTAATAATTATTCTCAAGTGCCACTGCAAATGCAAAACTGAAAGAAGAAATTAAGTCTAATATATTGCAATATTCTAAAATCTAAAATTTCCTCTTTGAGGTCTGGTTGTTCATGCCTGGAATTGCAGCTCTCTGGGAGGCTTAGAAGGGAGGACTGCTTCAAACCCAGAGTTTGACAGCAGCATAGGCAACACAGCAAGAACCATTTTTAAAATGTAACTAAATATTTAATTAGTTAAATTGGGCATGATGGCACACATCTGTTGTTCCACTTAGGAGTTCACAGTTGTAGTTTGCTGTTATCACACACTGCATTTCAGCCTGGGCCATGAGGCAAGACTTTGTCTCTACAAAATAATTCAATATAAAAAACAAAATAAATTAAAATAAAAACACTTTCAGGTGTTTTTTGGAAGTTTGTATAATTGCTCTAAAAGTAGAGACATTGTTTAAAGTTGAGCAGTCAATGGGGGAGTGGAGAGTGATTGTTTATATTGTTTTCCAGAAATTAGGATGAATGTATTATAATGTTATATATAAATATCTAATAACCTTTTGTGCAATAAATGTTGACAAATGTCAAGCCATTGTGTTTATAGACTTTTCCTTCAAAATATTCATAGTTTAATTGGAGAATGAAGAAAACAGCCATAATTGGAATGTACTCTGGCAAGTGTTACAATATATACAATTTAGTAACTTAGTTGCAGAGGAAGGAAGTTCTTAACTGCGTTAACAGGGGTGTGGAGAACCTTAGGGAAGGAACAATTGATCGCATCTGTAAGGATACAAATTTTCGAGAAGAATGTTTGCGAGAAAACGTTGTAGAGAAAAAAGAAACATTCTTTCTATCAATGATAGAAGTACCAACAGTGCATATGATGCCATCTGCCGAATGCTTAGAGCATTCTAGCTCAATAAATATTTCTTGAATGAATCCATGAATGGAAGATATTGGGAAAAGGCTTCTGGAAGGGATCATTAAAATCCTATAAAGGGAAGGTAAATACCCTGGACTTTACAATTTTGCCTGCTTTTGTTTATGATCTTTTTATGTTTACTACCTCACAAGCTGTTTTACTTTTTGGTCTTTTCACGAATATCATGAATGAATCATTCCTGAGAGTAATTCTCTCTTTATCTCCTGACACTGTATTTGTCTCTAATACTCCTTTGTGGGAGGCCCTGGGTTTGCATGCCCACAGCTATATCACTCCCTTCTCCCTGGCACTGTTCTGTAATAGAGAGAGGCCTGGCCCCAGGAAGGCATGGTTCCTAGGCTCCTATAAAAATTACTTCTTGTTTCAGTTCAGTCAAGGGGTGACACTGCAGAGATTAGAGAACAAGAAGATATGAGAAGTCAGTTTGTTTCCTTCTCTTTCTCAATAAGGGATATGTTTCTGCAGTGATTCCATGCCTACAGGACATGCTCTCTCTGTTTTCATTTTCCATATAGTGACCCTAATCCCAGACTGGCTCTTCAAATGCCATTTTCTCCAGTTGTCATCTGTAAAGGATTTGGGTACTATTTTGGAGTTTTAAATTTAAAAAATATTGATATGGAAGAGGGGCAGAGAAGTGCCTGGTAGAGAAGGCTGTGGTTCTTGGCTAGGGCTCCACCATCAGGCCTGTGCTCACTGACTTAGTTGAAGACACGCACCTCTGTTTTCTTGCCTAAATTGGTGAGGACATGTGTTTCTGGGTTTTTTTGCACAAGTGTTGCATTTTCCAAGACCACCCTCGCCTGCCATACTCCCATCCTGTTCTATAAGAAATCCTGAGACGCTAGCAGGGAGATACACAGCAGCTGGACTTTTAGAGGAATGATCACCAGAAGAAGACACAACATCTGGACCTGGAGAGGACACCAGAGAAAGGAGAGCACAAGGACTGAGGCTGCAGGCCATCCACTGCAGAAGAACACGAAGTTTCATGGGGCTGTGGGAGGAGAGCACTGAGCTGCCCCATTCCGAGAGAAAACCACCTTCCCATTCCATCTCCATTCTGGCTCCCCATCGATTTTCTGAACACTTCCAATCAATGAAAACTTGCACTTATTCTCCAAACCCACATGGGAGCCAATTCTTCAGGTACACCAAGGCAGGTAATCCCAGGATCCAGAAAGCCCTCTGTCTTTGCAGTAAGGCTGGATGTCTAATTGAACTAACACTAGTAGTCTACAGATGGATGAACTAAATTAACACCGTGCAACACATGCCCGCTAGGGATTCAGGAGCTGTATGCATTCACCCCTAGATGCTGCCTAGGGTCAGAGCCCCGCAACCTGTCCTCACTGATCGCCCAGCTGCAGGTAATAAGAGAGGTTTTCCCATTTTAATGAGTCTGCTTCCAATGCAGTGTGCTTTCTACAATACTGCAGTGTTACCTTATTGCATATATTTGACAAAGTAAGTTACAAACTATAACTAATCTGAGAAGAAAATAAATGGTGAAGAATAAGGAAGAAAAATGAAGCATTGTGTCTCACAATGAATACAAACAACTATAAGAATAATTAATCAATACATGAGTCTAGCCAAGCAGGTGATTAATGTCATGGGGAGGCACTCTCCATCATCTTGGGATTTCATTCTGGGACAGAGAGTGTGAACAGCTATAAGGTCAGATAGAAAAGAGGATAGAACCTGGTGAGGTGTGGATTGTATCCCGCATGTTCACCTGCAAAAAAGATGAAGACAGATGACACAGAAGTTGCTTCCAACTGAATCCCCACATCCCCTTAATTGCACAAGCAGTGCACACCAAGGTCCAGTGTTCAAGTGTGAATTCTCCAACGTGCCGTGAACCTGTGGAGTGCAAACCTAGGGGTTTGCACTTTGAGGGCTTTCATACACTGGGCCAAATGGGAGTAGGATGGATTGATGCTGTGTGGGATGTGGCCTCCACAGTTGCCTCTTTTTTTTTTTTTTTTTTTTTGGCTTCCATCTTCCTCATCAAATTAGGGTTTGCTTGGTCTTACTCACCGTCTTGCCCTTCAGCAGCACTACTGGACATACTTTTCAGGATTGCCATCGCCAAGCCTTTTGGTGGTGTGTCTGTGTGGCTCTGCTTGGGATGTGGGGATCTGTGTTCTTTATTTTTCTGTGGATCATGAAGTCACAGTGAATTGGGAGGCATGTGTACAAATCACCTCCCCCTGCAAAAAAATTCAGTCTTTTAGAAAGAAGAGGAGCACACCACACCAAAAAACTGGCATCTTCTAGTGTTTCATTGTCCTGCAGCCAAACCAGGGAGAGCCCCTGCAGTCCTATCCCATGGGCCCCATGAATTTACCTTGAATTCAGTTCCCAGCTGAATAGGTGATTCATGTCTTAAAGGAAAACTCCTCCAGCGTCTTGGGATTTCATCCTGGGACATAGAGTATGAGCAGAAATGAGGTTAGAAAGGGGTAATGATACAATGTGGTGAGGGCTGGATGGGGTCCCCCAATTTCACCTGCAAAAAATGAAGACATTACACAGAAGTGTTTCCAATTCCATTTTCACATTCCACTAATTGCACAAGTAGTCCACATCATGGCACGGTGTTCAGGTCAGAGTACTCCAATGTGCAAGGAATATTTGGAGTGCAAATAGGGGCCATGCTGGCAAACTCCCGATTTGAGGACCTTCACGCCTGGAGCTAAATGGAAGATGAATGTATTGATGCTGGGTGGGATGTGGCCTCCATGCATGCCTCTTCTTTTCCTGAGTTCCATGTTACTCATCAGTTTAGGGTTTCCTGGGTCTGGCTTGGCCTCTTCCACACTAAACATTTCCCAGTTCACAGAGAATGACCCTCATGGGAATCCATTGCATGAGAATTTCCTTCTAAACACTGTCATGTTTTAATGACAGGGCAGCTTTGATACTTCTCCTACTTCTATTGGAGGGATGCATGATTCCTGTAGAGTGAGAAGCAGGCAGCCGTGTCTGGCTTTTGCCTGATAATATAGCCTCTGTTTCATTTTGTCTGCCTGGCCTTCTTATAGTGGAGGGGTTCTTTCATTGGGCTGTTGTTGGATGGAAGAGCCTCTTGCCACAGATTATGTAGCTATTGGGAATTTCAGAGAGCAAAAGGGACATCGGCTAGTCTGGCTGCTCTGCAGGTTGTGGGTCATTGTCTCATTGTGGGGACTGTGATTGTTTGCACTTTACAGGGGGCTTTTGGTTCCTCTGACAAGGATCATTGAACCTTGCTTCAACTCCAGCACAATGCAGTTGTTTCTTTCAGGAGAGCCTTGATTTTTGTTTGCTTTCATGGGGAATCCACAGTGCCCCTTCACAGCATTACTGGACACTATTTTCAGGCTGCCATCAGCACAGATGGCCTCTGAGACACTCTCTCAACCTCACCTGCAACCATGTGAGGCCAGTCTGAGGTGTGAGGACATGCACCACCTTGGATTTGCCTTTGTAGTTTCTACCTTTCCCTGAGAGCCTCTGCAAGGCCCAGGATGAAGGGAGAGGGTGAGGTCAAGAGCCCAGCCATCTTTCACTGACACGAACCTCTGGGGTCCCAGGTATGATTCTATCACTCAATGAACCCTCAACAACACACCAGACAATATCCCAAACCCATGGGACCCAATTCTTGCACACAGCCCCTTTCTGAAACGGAGCCAGAAGATCAGTTTCCAGCGACCACCTCACAGTCTTGAAACACCTCATCCTCCAGTGGGATCCTACCATGGAGATGACCCGAAGGGGCCTTGAGGTCAAGACTTTTATGGTCCCAAAGTGGGTTTTCACAGGCAGTGTTTTTACTGATACCAGGCTGGCTCTGCCTGTACCATTTTCCTCTGCTTAAGGCAATTGACAGCTCTTACAGCCTGGCACCTGAGCCTGCCTCACAATGCGCATGCCCTAGTCTAAAAGCCTCTGGCTAGCCTCACCATGAAAGTCACCATTGCCTAGCGACAAGTCCCTGTGCCTTGGCAGAGAAAGAGACTTCCGTGGAGATGTGTCTTTGGTGGACTGTGTCCTGTCTTCTCTGTGGAATCGACCAGATAGTCCCATGTTCCAAGGAGAGGGCAGATGTGAGCCAACCTGAAGAAATGTCAAGCAGAGCCTCAGGAATAAACTGTGAATCCCTGAGGATACAAAATAATCTGCAAGATTCCTCAGGCCTGCCTAGATGTTGTAGGGGTGAGTCTTTTTGAAACTGGCCCCACTGTGATTTCTAGGTATAGCCTGCCTTTTTTCCTTGGGGTTGCTCTCTCCCAGTTGGGGCTTCCCGCAAAACTGCACAACTTTGGGAGTTGCCGGGCTGTGTGTTTCTGAGGGAGTATTGTGAGGGTTGGATTTCTGTGTGTGTGCCTATAAGTGGAGTCTACTTCAAGGAATGTGGCTACCACACTTCAGCAATTCTTTTTTTTTTTTTTTTTTTTTTTTGTCTCCCCACTTTGGTGGATTGTCTTGGTGGCTCTTCTTGGGCTGTGGGGCTCTATGTTCCTTATTATTCTGTAGATCATGAATCCTCAGTGAATAGGGAGGCGGGTTGAGATGTGCAGGCATCTGAGTCATACCCACCCCTGCAAAATAAGCCACTCTTCTTGAGAGAAGAGGGTCACATGACACCAAAAAAACAGGCATTTCCTAGAGTTTCACTGTACTGTGGCCAAACTGGGGAGAGGCAATAGCAGTCTTGTCCAAAGGGCCCCTTGAATTTACCTCGAATTTGTCCTCTGCTGAGCACATGCTTCACATCATGAGAGGGCAGTTCTCCATCATCTTGTGATTTCATCCTGGGACTTACAGTGTGAGTAGAAATCGGGTCAGATGGGGAAAGGATACAATCTGCTGAGGAATGGATGGTGTCCTGTAACTTCACCTGCAAAAACCAAAACCTAAACAAAACAAAACAACAAAAAAAAACGAAGACAGATGACACAGAAGGTGCTTCCAAATACATCCCCGCATTCCCTTATTTGCAAAAGCAGTCCACACCATTGCCGGGTGCTGAGGTAAGAGTACTCGAATGGCAAAAGCAGTCCACACCATTGCCAGGTGCTGAGGTAAGAGTACTCGAATGCAAGAAATATTTGGAGTGCCAGTTGGGGGCATCCTGGAAAACTCCTGATTTGAGGGCTTTCGTACCCAACGCTAAATGGGGAGTGGAAATGATTGATACTGGGTAAGGTGTGGCCTCAACATTTGCCTCTTCTTTTTGAATTTTATGTTCCTCACTGACCTAGGGGTTCCTGGGTATGGCTCAACAACTTCCACACTAAATATTTCTCTGTTCATGGAAAATGATCCTCATGGGAATCCATTGCATGAGTATTTCCCTCTAAACACTTTCAGGTTTGAATAACTGTGCAGCTTTAATACTTTTAAAACCATAAATTTCCATTACAGCCACCAAGAAGGAAAGTCTTATTGTCACACTTCTATTGAATGCCACATGATTTCTGTAGGATGAGAAGTGGGCAACCGTGTCTGGATTTGCCTGGTAGTATAACCTCAGTTTCATTTCATCTGCATGGCATTCTCATTGTGGAGGGACTCTTCATTGGGATGATGCTGGATGGGACTGCCTTATGCCACAGATTATTTAGCTGCCAAGGATTTCACAAAGCAAAAAGGACTTTAGGAAAAATGGCTGTGCTACTTGTTGTGGGTAATTTTCTCTTCATGGGGGCTGAGGTTGTTTGCCCTTTGCAGGAGAGTTTTGGGTCCTCTGACAGGAATTATTGAACATTGCTTAAATTTCAGCCTGAGGAGCTCATTCTCTCATGCGAGCCATGATTTTTTTTGTTATTTTGTTTTCATGGTGGAATCCACAATGCCCCTCAAAAGTGCTACTTGACATGATTTTCAAGCTTGTCGTCACCACAGATGGTCTCTGAGATAGTGACTCAACCTCATCTGCACCCGTGACAGGAAGGTCCAAAGTGCAAGAACACTCCTCCATCACATGCTTGCCTTTGTCTTGGTTCCAGCCTGTTCCAGCGAGCCCCTACAAGACCCAGGATGAGGTAGTGAGATCTAGAGTCCAGACATTTTCCACTGAAACCAGTCTCTGGGGTTTCAGGTATAATTCTATCAGCCAAAGAACACTCAACAACAAGCTAGACTATATACCAATACCCATGAAATCAGATTCTTTCACCAAAAAACAGACATCTCCCAGTGTTTCATTTCCGTGTGGCCAACACAGGGAGACACACTAGCAGTCTTGTCCTCAGGTCCTCATGAATTTACTTCAAATTCAATTCACAGCTGAGCAGATGCTTCACATCATGAGGGGTTACTCCTCTATTTTCTTGGGATTTCATCCTGAGACATAGAGTGTGAGCAGCAATGAGGTCAGATAAGGGTGAGGATACAATCTGGTAAGCAGTGGATAGTGTCCCACACTTTCACATGCAAAAAAAAAAAAAAAAAAAAAAAAAGAAGACAAATGAAACAGAAGGTGTTTCAAACTCCATTGCCATATGTTCAGATGGGAGTACATCAACGTGGAAGGAACACTTGGAGTGCAAATTGGGGCAACCTTGGCAAACTCCTGATTTAAAGCTTTCATACCCAGAGTCAAATAGAAGTCGAATGGATTGATGCTGGATGTGATATTGCCTCCAGATATCCCTCTTCCTTTCCTGAATTTCATGTTCCTCATCAGCCTAGGGTTTCCTGGGTCTCGCTCAATGACTTCCACACGAAAGGTTACCCGGTTCATAGAGAATGGCCATCATGGGAATCCACTGGGTGATTGTTCCCTTCTAAACACTGTAACATTTTAATGACTGGTCACCTTTAATACTTTTAAAACCATAAATTCCCATTAAACCCGCCAACAAGAAAACTCTTGTTCTCCCACTTCGATTAGAGGGCTGCATGACTACTGTAGGATGAGAAGCAGGCAACCATGTGTGGGTTTTTACCTGGTAATCTAGCCTCTGTTTCATTTCATCTGCATGGCCTTCTCATTGTGGAGGGGGGTTCTTGAACTGTTGCTGGATGGGACTGCCTCTTGCCGCAGATTATTTAGCTAGCAGGGATTTCAGAGAGCAAAAGGGACTTTGTGGAGGCTGGTTGTGCTCAAGTTTGTGGTTTATGGTCTTGTTTGGGGGACTGAGGTTGCTTGCAGTTTGCAGGAGCATTTTGGGTCCTCTGACAGGAATCATTGAACATTGCTTGGACTCCAGCACAAGACAACTCATTCTCTCAGGTGAGCTTTAATGTTTGTTTGCTTTCTTGGGGAATCCACAGTGCCCCTTATCAGCACTACTGGACACCCTTTTTAGGCTTGCCATCACCACAGACGGCCCCTGAGACACTGATCTCAACCTCATCTTCACCTGTGAGAGGTCAGTCCAAGTTGTGAGAATTGTGCTCCACCTTGGACTTCCCTTTGCTGTGGCTCCTGCCTTTCCCACAGAGCCCCTCAGAGGCTCAGGATGAAGGGAGGCAGTGACGTCAAGGGCCCGGCCATCTTTCACTGACACCAGCCCATGGGGCTTCAGGTATGATTCTATCATCGAAAGAACCGTCAACAACACATCAGACTTTATTCCAATCTCCACCTGACCCGATTCTTGCACACACCCTCTGTCAAAAAGGGAGACAGAAGAGTAGTTTCCACAGACCACCTCACAGTATTGATATGCTTCCTCCTTTGGCGGGACCTGACCACAGAGATGGCCTGAATGGGATGTGAGGTCAAGACTTTTACTGTCCCCCAGTGGTTTTGCGGGCATCCCTTTTCTGATACCAGGCTAGGTCTGCTTGTAGCATTTTCCTCGGCTAAGGAAGGCTGACAGCTCTGAGAGCCAGGTGCCCAAGGCCGCCTCATGAATGCGCATGAGCTAGTCTCAGGGCATCATTCCTGATTGTGAGCTCTGGCTATCATCACAATTAATGTCACCGTTGCCTAGCAACAAGTTCCTGCGACTTGTCAATGAAGGAGACCTCTGTGGAGGTGTGTCCATGGTGGACTCTCGCCTGTCTTTTCTGTGGATCCACGGGAGAGTTCCATAATCCTAGGAGAGGGCAGATGTGAACCAGCCTGAGGAAACATCAAGCACAGCCACAGGAATAAACCACAAAGTCCCTAAGGATCCAAAAGTATCCACACGATTATTCAGGCCTACCTACACATTGCAGGGGTCAGTGTTTTTGAAACGTTCCCCTCTGTGATTTCTAGGCACAGCACACCTCTGTTCCTAGGGTTGCTCTCTCCTAGGTGGAGCTTCCTGCAGAATGATGCAGCCTCTGGAGCTGCATCACTGTGTGTTTCTGTGGGAGTGTTGCGAGTGTTGGATGTCTGCATGTGTGTGTGTGGCACTGTGTGTTTGTGTTGTGTGTGTGTGTGTTTGTGCCTGTAAGTAGAGTCTGCTTAAAGAAATGTGGATAACCCAATTCAGTGCTACTTTATTTGAGTCTCAACACCTTTTGGTGGCCTGTTTGTGTGGGTCTGCTTGGGCTGTGTGTTCTTTATTTTTCTGTGGATCATGAATCCACAGTTGGGAGCTTGCCAAGTCCCGCTGGCATCCAAATAAACTCCCACTGTAAAAACAAAGCCACTCTTCTGGAAAGAAGAGGAGCACACCACACCGAAAAACAGGCATCTTCCAGTGTTTCATTGTCCTGCAGCCAACCCAGGTAGAGACACTAGCAGTCCTGTCTGCAGAGCTGATTGTATTTACCTTGAATTCAGTTGACAGCTGAGGAGGTGCTTCACATCGTTGTGGGGAACTCCTTCATAGTTTTGTGATTTCATCCTGGAACACAGAGTGTGGGCAGCAGTAAGGTCAGACAGGGTGGAGGATCCAATCTGGTAAGGAGTAGATGGGTCCTGCAACTTCACTTGCAATAAAAATGAAGACAGATGACACAGATTGCTTCCAACACAATCCCCTCATTCCCTTAATTGCACAAGCAGTCCACACCATGGCCTATTGTTCAAGTGGGAGTACTCCAACGTGCAAGGAACACCTGGAGTGCAAATTGGGGATATCCTGGCAAACTCCTGATTTGAGGGCTTTCATAATTGGAGCCAAATGTAAGTGGAATGGATTGACATTGCGTGGGATGTGGACCTTCACACTTGCCTCTTCTTTTTTTGACATTCATGTACCTCATCGGCCTAGAGTTTGCTGTGTCTGGGTCAAGGACTTCCACACTAAATGTTTCCCAGTTCATGAAGAGAGACCCTTATGGAATCCACTGCATGAGGGTTTCCTTCTAAACACTCACATTTTAATGACTTGGCAGTTTTGACATTTAAAACCATGAATTCCTGTTACAGCCACCAACAAGGAAACCCTTGTTCTCCCACTTCTATCAGAGGGCTGCTTGATTCCTGTGGGATAAGAAGCAGGCAGTCATGTCTAGCTTTTGCCTGGCAGTCAAGCCTCTGTTTTATTTTATCTGCTTGGCCTCCTCATTGTGGATGGTCTCTTTCATTGGGCTTTTGTCGGATGTGACTTCCTCCTGCCACAGATTATTTAGCTGCCAGCTATTTAAGAGAGAAAGAGGGACTTCGTGTAGGCTGGCTGTGCTTTAGGTTGTGGGTTGTTTTCTGGTTGTGTGGGATGAGGTGGTTTTCACTTTGCTGGAGGGTGTTGGGTCCTCTGACAGGAAGCATTGAACATTGCTTGGACTCCAGCACAAGGCAGCTCGTTCTCTCAGGCGAGCATTGATTTTTTTGTTTGTTTCATTTCATGGGGAATCCACAGTGCCCCTCAACAGCACTACCGTCCAGGCTTGTTCAGGCTTGCCATCACCACAGACTGCCACTGAGACACTGTCTCAACCTCATCTGCACCCGTGAGCCTCCTGTCTGAGGTGTGAGAACACTGCTTTACCTTGGACTTGCCTCTCTTCTGGTTCCTGCCTTTCTCAAAGAGCCTTTGTAAGGCATAGAATAAAGGGAGGAAGGAAGGTCAAAATCCCAGACATCTTTTGCAGACATCCAACTCTGGGGTATCAGATGTGATTCTGTCATCTGAGGAACCCTCAAAAACAAACCAGACAGTATTCCAATCCCAATGGGACCTGATTCCTGCAAACAGCCCTTTCAGAAATAGAGTCAGAAAAGCAGTTTCCATCGACTATCTCACAGTCTCAAAACGCCTTCTTCTCCAGTGGAACTTGACAATGGAGATCCACCAAAAGCGCCCTGAGGTTGAGCATTTTGAGATCCCACAGTGGGTTTTCACAGGCAGCCTTTTTCCCGATACCAGGCCAGCTCTGGCTGTACCATTTTCCTCTGCTTAGGCAGGCTGACAGCTCTGACACACAGGTTCCCAAGCCTGCCTCACAAATGCACATGTGCTAGTCTCAGGGCACCAGGCCTAACTGTGAGCTATGGCTAGTGTCTCAATGAACTTTGCCATTGCCTACTCTCAAGTCCCTGCAGCTTGGCGGAGAAGGAGACCTCCACGGAGGAGCATTGGGGGTGGACTCTCCCCTATCTTCTCCGTAGGATCCCCTGGATATTCCTCTGATCCTAGGAGACTGTAGACATGAGCCAGCCTGAAGAAATGTCAAGCACAGCCCTAGGAATAAACTGTGAAATCCATAACGATCCAAAGTGATCTGCAGGTTTCCTCAGGCCTGCCTAGATGTAGGAATGACTCTTGTTGAAATTTGGCCCTTTCTGATTTCTTGGTACATCCCACCTGTGTTCCCCAGGGTTGTTCTCTCCCAGGTGGGGCTTTCTGCAGAACCAAGCAGCCTCAGGAGCTGCTGAGCTGTGTGTTTCTGTGATAAAGTTGTGAGTGATAGATGTTTGCGTGTGTGTGTGTGTTATTTTGGGTTTGTGTGTCTATGTGTATGTCTGTGTGTGCCTGTAAGTAGAGTGTGCTTAAAGGAATGTGGCTAAAGAACTTCAGTCCTTCTTTTTTTTTTTTTTTTTGAGTCTCCCAACCTTTTGTTGACATGTCTGTGTGGCTCTGCTTGGGCTGCAGGGCTCAGTGTTCTTTATTTTTCTGTGGATCACTAATTCAAAAAGAACTGGGAGTTGGGCCAAGGCATGCCAACATCCAAATCACCTCCCCATGCAAAAAAAAAAAAAAAAAAAAAAAAAAAAAAAGGCACCCTTTTAGAAAGAAGATGAGCACACCACACCCAAAAAACAGATGTCTCCCAGAGATTCATTGTCCTGTGGGAAACCCAGGGAGCACACTAGCAGTCTCATCTGCAGGCCTTTTGAATTTACCTCAAATTTGGTTCCCAGCCTAGCAGGTGCTTCATGTCATGAGGGGGCACTGCTCCATCATCTTGGGATTTCATTGTAGGACATATAGTGTGAGAATCAATAAGGTCAGATGGAGTGAGGATACAATCTGGAGAGGGGCGGATGGGGTCCTGCAACTTCACTTGCAAAAAAAAAAAAAAAAAGAAGAAGAGGACGGATGACACAGAAGATGCTTCCAACTCCATCCCCACATTCCTTAATTGCACACGCAGTCCACACCAAGGCCCGCTGTTCAAGTGGGAGTCCTCCAACATGCAAGGAAGATTGGGAGTGCAAATTGGGGCCATCCTGGCAAACTCCTGATTTGAGGGCTTTCATTGCTGTAGCCAAATGAAAGTGGAATCGATTGATGCTGGGTGCAAGCCAGCCTAAAGAAACATCAAGCAGAGCCCCAGGAATAAACTGTGAAATCCCTAAGGATCCAAAAGGATCTGAAAAAGGCCTCAGGCCTTCCTAGACATTGTAGCAGTTAGTCTTTTTGAAACTTGCCACACTGTGATTTCTAGTTTCAGCCAGCCTGTGTTCCTTAGGCATTGTCTCTTCCAGGTGGGGCTTCCTGCAGAACCATGCAGCCTCAGAAGCTGCTGGGCTGTGTGTTTCTGTGGGAGTGTTGTGAGTGTTGGGGTGTGTGTGTGTGTGTGTATCTGTGTGCCTGTAAGTGGAATCTCTTAAAGGAATGTGGCTATTGCCCTAAAGCACTTCTTATTTTTGAGACTCCTAACTTTTGGTGGCCTGTCTGTGTGGCCTTGCTTGGTCTATGGGATTACAACTTCTTCATTTTTTTGTGTGGATCATGAATCCACAGTGAACTGGGAGATTGGCTGAGACATGCCAAAGTTAAATTATGTCCCACTGCAAAAAACAAAACAAAACAAAACCCTCTTCTAGGAAGAAGAATAGCAAACCACACCCAAGAGCAGACATCTCCCAGTGTTTCATGTTCTGCAGCAAACCCAGGGAGAGACACTGGCAGTCCTGTTCTCAGGGCCCCTTGAATCTACCGCAAATTTGATTCCCAGCTGAACACGTGCTTTTCATCACAATGGGACAATCCTCCATTGTCTTGGGATTTTATTCTTGGACACAGAGTACGAGCAGTAATAAGGTCACATAGGTTTGAAGATACAGTCTGGTAAGGGGTGGTTGGAGTCATGCATATTCGCCTGCAAAAATGGTGAAGACAGATTACACTGTCACAATTTAATGACTGGGCATCTGTAATACATTTAAAACCATAAATTCCTGTTACTGACACCAACAGGGAAACTCTTGTTCTCCCTCTTCTGTCGGATGGGTGCATGATTCCCATAGGATGAGAAGCATGCAGTCATGTCTGGCTTTTGCCTGGTAATCTGTGGTCTGTTTCATTTCCACTGTAGGTCCTTTCTCATTGTGGAGAGGGTCATTCAGCCATTGCTGGATGCGACTGCCACTCACCACAGATCTTTTGGCTGCCAGCGATTTTAGGGAGCAAAATGGCCTTCAGGTAGGCTGGCTGCACTTCAGGTTGTGGGTCGTTGTCTCATTGTGGAGGCTGAGGTTGTTTGCACTTCTGAGGAAGCTTTTAGGTACTCTGACAGGAGTATCTGAATGTTGCTTGGACTCCAGCAAAAGTCAGCTCATTCTCTCGGGTGAGCCTTGAGTTTTTTGTGCTTTCATGGGGTGTCGCCATTGCCCCACAACGGCACTATTGGACGCAGTTTTCAGGCTTGCAATAGCCACAGACAGCCTCTAAGACAATGTGTCAACCTCATCTGCATCCCTGAGAGGGAAGTTCAAGGTGTGAGAACTCTGATCCATCTTAGACTTGCATTTGTTGTGGTTTATGCCTTTCCCAGAGAGCCCCTGGGGGACCCAGAATGAAGAGAGGCAGTGAGGACAGGGGTTTGGCCATATTTCACTGACAACCACCTCTGGGGTCTCACTTATGATTCCATGACACAAAGACCCCTCAACAACTCACCAGACTCTATTCCAATCCCTATGGGACCTGATTCTTACAAATAGCCTCTTTCAAGAATGAAGTCAAAAGAGCAGTTTTGCATGACAGCCTAACAGTCTCAAAACACCTCTTCCTCCAGTGGGACCCGACCAAGGAGATGGATGGAAGGGGTCCTAAGGTTGACTTATTTAGGGTCCCCCAGTTGGTTATCACAGGCAGCCTTTCTCCTGATATGAGGCCGGCTCTGCCTATACCATTTTCCTTTGCTTAGGCAGAATGGCTGCTCTGACAGCTGAGCCCCTGGGCCTGCCTTGCGAATGTGCATCTGCTAGCCTCAGGGCACCACCCCTGAGCTGTGATCTTTGGCTTGCATCACAATCAATAACTCTTTGCCTAGTGAAAAGTCCCTGAGGCTTGGCAGAGAAGGAGACCTCCGTGAAGATGCATCATGGTGGACTGTGGTCTCTTCTCTGTGGAATCCTCGGGAGAGTCCCATGATCCTAGGAGAGGGTGAGAGGGCAGATGTAAGCCAGCATTAAGAAGCCTCAAGCAGAGCCGCAGGAATAATCCGTGAATTCCCTAACAATCCTAAAGGATCTGCAGGATGCTTCAGGCCTGCCTAGATGTTGTAGGGGTGAGTATTTTGAAATTGGTCCCACTGTGATTTCTACATACAGCATGCCTGTGTTCCCCGGGATTGCTCTCTCCCACATGGGGCTTCCTGCAGAACCACACAGCTTCAGAAGCTGCCAGGAGTGTGTTTCTGTGGGAGTGTTGTGAGTGTTGGATGTCTGCATTTGTGTGTGTGTTTCCCTGTTTGTGTGCATGCCTGTAAGTGGAATCTGCTTAAAAAAATGTGGCTAACACACTGCAGCGCTTTCTTGTTTTTGAGTCTCCCAGCCTTTTGGTGGTCTGTCTTTGTGGCTTTTCTTGGGCTGCTGGGTTCCATGTTCTTTATTTTTCTGCAGATCATGAATCCGCTGTAAATTGAGAGGCTGGCTGAGACCTGCCAGGTCCAAATAACCTCCCCCTGAGGAAAAAAAAAAGCCACTCTTCTAGAAAGAAGAGGAGCACATCAAACCCAGGAACAGAAATATTTCACTGCTTTATTCTCCAGTGTACATCCCATGGAGAAACACTAGCAGTCCAGTCCTCAGGGCCCCTTGAATTTACTTCATATTCAGTTCCTAGCTGAGCAGGACCTTCACGTCACTCCTTCATTGTCTTGGAATTTCATTTTGGGACAGATACTTTGAGCAGCCATAACATCAGATAAAGGTGAGGATACAAGCTGGTGAGGGGTGGATGCGGTCCCACACATTCACCTGCAAAAAATGTGAAGATAGATGTCACAGAATGTGCTTCCAACTGTATCCCCACATTTCCTTAATTACACAAGCAAGTCCATACCATGGCCTGGTGTACAGTTGAGAGCACCACAATGTGCAGGGAATGTTTGGAGTGCAAACTGGAGCCATCCTGGCAAACTCCCTATTTGAGGACTATCATACCAGGAGCTAAATGGAAGTGAGATCATTTCACGTGAGGTTTGATGTGGCCACCACACTTGTCTCTTTTTTCCTGACTTCCATGTACCTCATCGGCCTAAGTTCTCCTGGGCCTGGCTCCACATCTTCCACGTTAACCATTTACCACTTCACGGAAGATGACCCTCAAAGTAATCCATTTCATGAGTGTTTTCTTTTAAACACTGTCAGATTTTAATGACTAGGCAGTTTCGATAGTTTTAAAACTAAATTTCTGTAACAGTAGCCAACAAAGAAACTCTTGTTATCCAGCTTTTATCAGAGGGCTGCTTGATACCTGTAGGAGAAGCAGGCAGCTGTACCTGGCTTTTGCCTGGGAATTTAGGCTCTGTTTCATTTCATCTGCTTGTCTTGTTTCATTGTGGAGGGCTCTTTCATCGGGCTGTTGTTGGATGAGGCTACCTCTCACCACAGAATTATTGGCTTCCAGGGATTTCAGAGAGCAAAAGGGACTTTGGGTAGGCTGACTGCACTTTAGGTTTGGGGTCATGGTTTACTTGTGGGGGCTGAGATTGTTTGCACTTTTCAAGAGGCTTTTGGGTCCTGTGACAGAAATCTCTAAACGTGGCTTGGACTACAGCACATGGCAGCTCATTCTCTCATGTGAGCCTTGATTTTCCTTTGCTTTCATGGGGGGTCCACAGTGCCCTTCAATAGCACTACCTGACAAACATTTCAGGATTGCAATTGTCACAGATGTCCTCTGAGACACTGTCTCATCCTCACCTGCACCTGTGGGAGTCCACTTAGAGCTGTGAGAATACTGCTCCACCTTGGACTTGCCTTTGTCATGGTTCCTCCATTTCACCAAGAGCCCCTGCAAGACTCAGGATGAATGGAGGCAGTGAGGTTAAGAACCTGGCCATATTTCACTGTCACCCACCTCTGGAGTCACAGGTATGATTCTATCACCCAAAGAACCCTCCACAACTCACCAGACAACATTCCAGTCCCCCTGGGACTCAATTCTTGCACACAGCCTCTTTCAGGAATAAAGTCAGAAGAGCAGTTCTCAGAGACCCCATCACAGTCTAGACATCTCCTCCTCCAGTGGGAACAGATCACGGGTACAGCTGAAAGGGGCCCCAAGTATGAGACTTTTAGGGTTCCACAGTGGGTTATTGCATACAGCATTTT
The DNA here is from genome assembly GCF_000001405.40 of Homo sapiens. NCBI lineage: Eukaryota > Metazoa > Chordata > Mammalia > Primates > Hominidae > Homo > Homo sapiens. The sequence goes on from NC_000024.10 coordinate 22,441,191, forward strand.
TTTTTCCCAGTACCAGGCCCACTCTTGCCTGTACCATTTTCCTCGGCTTAGGCTGGCTGACAGCTCTGACTGCCGAGTGCCAAGCCCACTGGTGAATGCACATGTGCTAGTCTCAGGGCACCAGGCCTGAGCTGTGAGCTCTGGCTAGCCTCACCATGAATGCCACAATTCCCTGAGGCTTGGCTGAGAAGGAGACCTCTGTGGAGGTGCATCAGCCAAGGAATCTTGCCTGTCTTCTTTGTGGGATACACAGGATAGTCTCATGATCCTAGGAGAGAACAGACGTGAGCTAGCCAGAAGATATGTCAAGCCAAGCCCCAGGAATAAACCGCAAAATCTGTAAGGTTCCAAAAGGATCTGCAGGATGCCTCAGGCCTGCCTACACATGTAGAGGTGAATCTTTATGAAACTGACACTGCTATGATTTCTAGGTGCACCCCGCTTGTGTTCCCCAGAGTTGCTGTCTCCCACGTAAGTCTTCCTGCAGAACCATACAGCCTCAGAAACTGCTGGGTGGTGTGTTTCTGTAAAATTATTGTGAGTCTTTGATGTCTGTGTATGGGTGTGGCTTTTTTTAGCACTGTGTGTTTATGTGTGTGTGTGTGTGTGTGTGTGTGTGTGTGTGTGTGCGCACCTGTAAGTGAAGTCTGCTTAAAGGAATGTGGCTAATGCGCTGCAGCACTATTTTTTTTTTTAAGTCTCCCAACCTTTGGGTCACATGCCTGTGTGGCTCTGCTTAAGCTGCAGGGCTCTGTGTTTTTTAATTTTCTCTGGATCATGAATCCAAAGTGTACTGGGAGGCTGGCTGTGAGACACCAAGGTCCACATCACCTCTGCCTGCCAAAAAAAGCTGCTCTTCTAGAAAGAAAAGGAGCACAACACACGCAATAACAGACATCCTTCAGTATTCCATTGTCCAGTGGTCATCCCAGGAAGAAACACTAGCATTCATGTCCTCAGGGCCCTTGAATTTACCTTGAATTCAGTTCATAACTGAGCAGTTTCTTCAGATCCTGAGAAGGCACTCCTAGATCATCTTGGGATTTCATTTAGGGAAAGAGAACATGAACAGCAATAAGGTCAGAAGGGGTAAGGATGCAATCTGGTGAGAAGTGGGTGGGGTCCCACACTTCCAATTGCAAAAAATGTGAAGACAGATGACAGAGAAAGTGATTCCAACTGCATTCTCAAATTTCCTTAATTACGCAAGTAGTCCACACTATGGCCTGATGTTCAGGTGGGAGTACTCCAATGTGCAGAGAACATTTGAAATGCAAACCGGGCCATCCTGGCAAACTCCCAATTTGAGGGCTTTCATACTCTGCTCCAAATGAAAGTGAGACCTATAGATACAACGTGGGATGTGACCTCCACACTTGCCTCTTCTTTTCATGTCTTCCATATTCCTTGTCAGCCTGGGGTTTCCTGGATCTGGCTCAACATCTTCCCAGATGGCTCAACGGTAAAGGTTTTCCAGTGTTTCCTTCTAAACACTGTCACGTTTTAATGACTGGGCAGCTGTGATAATTTTAAAACCATAAACTCCTTTTACAGCTGCCAACAAGGAAACTCTTGCTCTCCAAATTTTATTGGAGTGCTGCATGATTCCTGTAGGAAGAGAAGCAGGCAGCGATGTTTGGCTTTTTTCTGGTAATCTACACTGTGTTTCATTGCATCTGCACATCCTTTCTCATTGTGGAGGTGGTCTTTCATTGGGCTGTTGCTGGATGGGGCTGCCTCTTACAACAGATCTATGGGCTGCCAGGGATTTCAGTGAGCAAAATGGACTCTGGGTAGGTTTAGTGCCTCTCCAGGTTGTGGGTCGCTGTCTCGTTATGGGTTGTTTGCACTTTGAAGGAGGCTTTTGAGTTCTCTGACAGGAATTTTTGAATATTGCTTAGATTCCAGCACAAGCCATCTTTTTCTCACACACACACCTTGATTTTTCTTTGCTTTCCTGGGAAGTCCACAGTGCCCCTCAACAGCACTACTGGACACCCTTTTCTGGCTTGCCATGGCCACAGATGGCCTCTGAGATACTGTCTCAACCTTATCTGTACCCATGAGAGGCCAGTTTGAGGTTTGAGAACACTGCTCCATTTTGGACTTGCCTTTGTCTTGGTTCCTGTGCTTCACAGAGAGACCCTGCGAGGTCCAGAATGATGGGAGACAGTGAGGTTAAGGGCCCAACCATCATTCATAGACACCCAATTCTAGGGTCTCAGGTATAATTCCATCACCCAAACACCCCTCCTCAACTCACCAGACTACATTCCAATCCCCATAAGACCTGATTCTTGCACACAGCCTCTTTCGGAAAGGGAGTCAGAAGAGCAGTTTTTAGCGACCACCTCACAGTCTCTAAATGCCTCCTACTCCTGTGGGAACTGAACACAGAGACAGCCCGAAGTGACCCTAATTTCGAGCCTTGTAGGGTCCCGCAGTGTGTTATCACAGGCAGCCTATTTCCCATTACCAGCTGGCTCTACCTGTACCATTTTCTTCTGCTTCCACAGGCTGACAGCTGTGAAAGCCAGGCCACTGAGCATGCCCTCAAATGCGCATGAGCTAGTCTCCAGGCACCAGGCCTGATTGTGAGCTCTAGCTAGCATCACAATGAATGTCACCCTTACACAGCTACAAGTCCCAGCTGCTTGGCCAAGAAGGAGACCTCCATAGAGGTGCCTTGTGGTGGACTCTTGCTTGTCTTCTCTGGGGGATCCACAGGATAGATCCATGTTCCTAGGAGAGGGCAGACGTGAGCCAGCGTGAAGAAACTTCAAGCAGAGCCCAAGGAATAAACTGCAAAGTCCCTAAGGTTACAAAAGCATCTGCAGGATTTCTCAGGCCTGCCTAGATGTAGGGTTGAGTCTTTTTGAAACTCACCCAACTGTGATTTCTAGGTAGATCCCACTGTGTTTGCCGGGGTTTCTCTCTCCCAGGTGGGGATTTCTGCAGAAACACACAGCCTCAGAAGCTGCCAGGCTCTGTTTCTGAGGGAGTGTTAAAAGGGTTGGATGTCTGGGTGTGGTGTGGCTTTTTGGCTTTGTGTGTTTTTGTGTGTGTGTGCGTGCGTGCACACACGCATGCACCTGTTAGTGGAATCTGCTTAAAGGGATGTGGATAACACACTGCAGAGCTTCTTTTATTTGAGACTTCCAACATTTTGTTTGCCCATCTGTGTGGCTCTGCTTGGTCTGGAGGCCTCCCTGTTCTTTATTTTTCTGTGAATTATGAACCTGCGGTGAATTGCAAGGCTGGCTGTGACACGCGGGGTCCTCATAACCAACCGCTGGAAAAAAACAAAGCCACCCTCTAGAAAGATGAGCAGCACACCACAGCCAAGAACAGAAATCCTTCAGTGTGTCATTTTTCTGTGGCCATCCCAGGGAGAAACACTAGCAGTCCTGCCCACAGGGCCCCACGAATTTACCTCAATTTTGGTTCATAGCCGAGCAGATACTTCCCATCATCAGGATTCACTCCTCCATCACCTTGAGATTTCATCCTGGGACATACAGTGTGAGTAGCAATAAGGTCAGATAGCGTGAGGATACAATCTGATGAGGGGTGGATGGGGTCCCACACCTTCACCTGCAAAAGTATAAAGACAGATGACACAAAACGTGCTTCAAACAGCATTCCCACATTTCCTTAATTGCACAAGCAGTCCACAACTTGGCCCAGTGTTTAGTTGGGAGTACTCCAATGTGCAGGGAATATTTGGAGTACAAACTGCGGCCACCCTGGCCAACTATCGATTTGAGGGCTTTCATAGGCAGAACAAAATGGCAGTGAGATTGATTGATACAAGGTGGGATGTGGCCTCCACACTTGCCTTTTCATATCCTGACATACGTGTGCCTCATCATCCTATGGATTCTTGGGTATGGCTCAATGTCTTCCATGCTAAACATTTCCCAGTTCATGGAAGTTGACCCTCAGGGGAATACATTGAGTGAGTGTTTCCTTCTAAACACTGTCACATTTCAATGACTGGGCAGCTGTGATAATTTTAAAATAGTAACTTCCTGTTACTGCTGCCAACAAGGAAACTCTTGTTCTCTAGGTTTTATCGAAAGGTTAAGCAGGCAGCCGTGTCTGTATTTCACCTGGTAATACCGGCTCTGTTTCATTTTATCTGCACATCCTTTCTCATTGTGTAGGGGGTCTTTTATAGGGCTGTTGGTGGATGGGGCTACTTCTCACCACAAATTTATTGGCTGACAGGGATATCAAGGAGCACAAGGGACTTCAGGCAGGCTGGCCGCATCCCAGGTTCTGTGTCTTGGTCTCATTTTGTGGGATGAGGTTGTTTGCACTTTGCAGGAGGTTTCAGGGCCCTCTGACAGGAATCTTTGAACATTGCTTGGACTCCAGCCCAAGGCAGCTCTTTCTCTCATACGAGCTTTGATTTTTTTGCTTTCATGCCAGTCACTAGCACTACTGGACACCCTTTTCAGGGTTACAATCACCAAAGACAGCCTCTGAGACACTGTCTCAACCTCATCTGCCCCTGTAAGAGGCCAGTTTGAGGTGTGGTTCCCGCTTACCCGAGAGAGATCCTATGAGGCCAAGAATGAAGGGAGGCACTGAGGTTAAGGCCCTGGTCATTTTTAATTGACACCCATCTCTGGGGTATCAGGTAGGATTCTATCACCCAAAGACCCCTAAACAATGCACCAGACTACATTCCAATCCCCATGGTACCCAATTCTTGCACACAGCCTCTTTCGGGAATGGAGTCACAAGAGCAGTTTTTCACGACAAACTCACAGTCTAAAAATAGAAATGCATTCTCATCCTGCGGGACCCAGCATCAAAGATGGCCAAAGGGGCACTAAGGATGAGACTTTTAGGGTCCCAGAGTGGGTTATCACAGGTGGCATTTTCCTGGATAACTTTCTGGCTCTGCATGTATCATTTTCCTCTGCTTAGGCAGGCTGACAGCTCTAACAGCAGGGCCTGAAAATGCGCATGCTGTAGTCTTGAGGCACCAGGCCTGACTGTGAGCTCTAACTAGTGCCACAATGAATTTCACCATTGCCTAGTGACAATTTCTGCATCTTGGCAAAGAAGGAGATGTCCGTGGAGGTGTATCAGTCATGAATTCTCACCTGCCTTCTATGTGTGATCCACAGGATTGTCCCATGAGCCTAGGAGAGGGCAGATGTAAGCCAGCCTGTAGTAGCATCAAGAAGAGGCCCAGGAATAAACCACAATATTTCTCAGGATCCAGAAACATCTGCAACATTTTTCAGATGTGTCTAGACATTGTAGAGGTGAGTCTTTTTGAAACTTGCCCTATTGTGATTTCTAGGTACAGCCTGCCTGTGTTCCCCCAGGGTTGCTCTCTCCCAGGTGGGGTTACCTTCAGAACCAAGCAGCCTCAGGAGCTGCTGGGCTGTGTGTTTTTGTGACAGTGTTGTGAGTGTTGGATGTCTCTGTGTGTGTGTAGCATTGTGTGTTTCTCTGTGTGTGTTTGTGTGTGTATGTGTGCCTGTAAAGGGAGTCTTCTTAAAGCAATGTGGCTAACATACTTCAGTGTTATTATTATTATTGTTATTTTGAGTCTTCCAACCTTTTGGTGGCCTGTCTGTGTGGCTCTTCCTGGGCTGCAAAGCTTCATGTTCTTTATTTTTCTGTGAATTATGAATCCGACATGAATTGGGAGGTGGGCTGAGTCCCACTGGTGTCCAAATCACCTCCCCCTGCAGAAAAACCCACACTTCTAGAAAGAAGATGAGCACACCACATCAAAAAAACAAACAAACAAAAAACTCCCCCACAAACAGACATTTTTTGGTGTTTCATTGTCCTGCAGCTAAACAGGGGGAGACACTAGCAGTCCTGTGCAGAGGGCCACTTGAACTCACCTTGAATTCAGTTCCAAGCCTAGCAGGTGCTTCACATCATGAGGGGACACTCCTCCACCATGCTAGGATTTTATCCTGGGACATAGAGTGTGAGCAGCAGTAAGGTCAGATACAGGTGAAGATACAATCTAGTGAAAGGTGGTTGGGGCCCTGTAACTTCACCTGCAATAAAAATAAAGTCAGATGACACAGAAAGTGTTTCCAACTCCATCCACACATTCCCTTAATTGCAGAAGCAGTCCACACAATGGCATGGTGTTAAGGTGGGAATACTGCAACATACAATGGACATTTGGAGGGCAAATTGGGGCCATCCTGGCAAACTGCCGATTTGTGGGCTTTCATATTCAGAGATCAATAAGAGTGGAATGGATTGATGCTGGGTGGGATGTGGCCTCCACATTTTCCTCTTCTTCTTCTGACTTCTATATTCCTCACCTGCCTAGAGTTTCCTGTGTCTGGCTCAACCACTTCCACACTAAAGCTTTCCCAGTTCACAGAGTGTTTCCTTCTAAACACTGTCACCTTTTAATGACTGGGTAGCTTTGATATTTTAAAACTGAAAATTCCCATTACTGCTGCCAAAATAAACTCTTTTTCTCCCACTTCTTTCAAATGGCTGCATAATACCTGTAGGATGAACAGCCTTGTCTGGCCTTTGCCTGGTAATCTAGCCTCTGTTTCATTTCATCTGGATGGCCTTTTCATTGTGGAGGGGCACTTTCACTGGGCTGTTGCTGGATGTGACTGCCTTTTGCCACAGATTATTTAGCTGCCAGAGATTTTAGAGGGCAAAAGGGACTTCGGGCAGGCTCCTGCCATCCAGGTTATGGGTCGTTGCCTTATTGGGGGGCTAAGGTTGTTTGCACTTTGCAGGGGGCTTTTAGGTCCTCTGATAAGAATCACTGAACATTGCTTGGACTCCAGCACAAAGCATCGCATTCTGTCAGACATGTCTTGATTTTTCTTTGCTTTCATGGGTAATTCACAGTGAATCTCAACGGCACTAATATTCACCTTTTTTAGGTTTGCCATCACCACAGATGGCCTCAGAGACACTGTCTCAACCTCGTCTGTGCCCGTTGGAGGCCAGTCTGAGGTGTGAGAACACTGCTTCACCTTGTAGTTGCCTTTGTCATTGTAACTGCCTTTCCCAGAGAGCCCCTGTTAGGCCCAAGATGAAGGGAGGCAGTGAGATCAAGATCTCAGCCATCTTTTGCTGACACAAGCCTCTGGGGTTGTGTCAGCAAAATAATCCTTGACAACACACCAGACTATACTGCAATCCCCATGTGACCTGATTCTTGCACACACACATTCTTATTTGGGAATGCAGTCAGAGAAGCAGTTTGCAGCGACTATCTCCCAGTCTCAAAATGCCTCCTCCTCCGATGAAAAACTGACCACAGAGACAGCCTGAAGGGGCTCTGATGTAGAGACTTTTAGGGTCCCGCAGTGGGTTTTTGCAGTCATATTTTTTCCGATACCAGGCTGGCTCTGCCTGTATTATTTTTCTCTCCTTAAGCAGACTGACTGCTGTGACAAATAGGCACCTGAGCCTGCTTCACGAATGCACATACACTAGTCTCAGGGCACCAGGACTGATTGTGAGACCTTGCTAGCATCACAATGACTGTGGCTGCTGCATAGTGAGAAGTCCCTGTGGCTTGGCAGAGAAAGAGACCTTTGTGGAGGTGCATCAGTGTTGAACTCTCACCTCTCTTCTCTGTGAGATACATGGCATAGTCCCATGATCCTAGGAGAGGGCAGACTTCAGCCAGCCTGAAGAAATGTCAAGCTCAGCCCCAGGAATAAACCACAAAATCCCTAAGATCCAAAAGGATCTGCAGAATTCCTCAGGCCTGCTAGACATTGTAGGGGTGAATCTTCTTGAAACTTGCCCCACTATGATATCTAGGTACATCCCGCCTGTGTTCACTGGGGTTGCTCTCTCCCAGGTGGGACATCCTGCAGAATCACACAGCTTCAGGTGCTGCCAGGATATTTCTTTCTGTGGGATTGTTGTGACTGTTGGATGTCTGTGTTCGTGTGTGGCACTGTGTGTGTTTTGTATTTGTGTGTGCCCGTTAGTGGAGTCTGCTTAAATGCTTAAAAGAATGTGGCTAACACACGTCAGTGCTTCTTTTTTTTTTTTTTTTTTTTTTTTTTAGACTGTAACCCTTTTGTGGGCACCCTATATGGCTTTGCTTGGGCTGCGGGACCTCATGTTCTTGATTTTTCTGTGGATCATGAATCCACTGTGAATTGGGAGGCATGCCAAGACCTGCCGGCATCCAAATCAACTCCCCCTGCAAAAGAAAAGCCACTCTTCTAGAAAGAAGAGGAACACACCCCACCAAAAAACAGACATCTTCCTGTATTTTATTGTCCTGCAGCCATCTCAGAGAGAGACACTAGCAATCCTGTCCACTGGACCCCTGGAATTTACCTCAAATTAGATTCCTATCTGAGCAGGTACTTTACATCATGAGGGGACCCTCCTCCATCATCTTAGGATTTCATCCTGGGACATACAGTGTAAGAAGCAATACAGTCAGATGGGGTGAGGATACAATCTGGTGAGAGATGGATTGGGTCCTACAACTTCACCTGCAACACTGAGAAAGACAGATGACACAGAAGGTGCTTCCAACACCATTCGCACATTCCTTTAATTGCACAAGCAGTCCATACAATGGCCCGATGTTGAGGTGGGAGTACTCCAACACGCCAAAAACATTTGGTGTGCAAATTGGGTCCATCCTGGCTAACTCCTGATTTGATGGCTTTCATACCCAGAGTCAAACGGGAGTGCAACGGAATGACGCTGTGTGGGATGTGGCCTCCACACTTTCCTCTTTGTTTCTGACTTCCATTTTTCTCATCGGTCTAGGGTTTCCTGAGTTTGGCTCAATGAATTCCACACTAAACATTTCCCAGTTCATGAAAATCTGCCCTCATGGGAATCCATTGTGTGAGTGTTTCCTTCTAAACTCTGTCACATTTTAATGAATGGATCTCATTGATACTGTTAAAAGCATAAATTCCTGTTACAGCCTCCAAAAAGAAATTTTAGTTCTCTCACTTCCATTGCACAGCTGCATGATTCCTGTAGGATGAGAAGCTGGAAGCCATGCCTGGCTTTTGCCTATTAATCTAGCCTCTTATTTCTTTCATCTTCATGGCCTTCTCATTCTGGAAGGGCTCTATCATTGGGCTGCTGCTGGATGGGACTGACTCTCACCACAGGTTATTTAGATGCTAGGGATTTCAGAGGGCCAAATGGACTTTGGGTAGGCTGGCTGCATTATAGATACTTGGTCATTGTCTCTTTGTGGGGGTTAAGGATGTTTGCACTTTGCAGGAGGCCTGTGGATCCTCTGACAGGATTCAGTGAACATTGCTTGGGTTCCAGCATAAAGCAGCTCATTCTCTCAAGTGAGCCTTGATTTTTCAAGGCTTTCATGGGGCATCCACTCTTCCTTGTCAACAGCACTGAAACACCCATTTCACACTTGCGTCTCCACAGAGGGTCTCTGAGACACAGTCTCAACCTCATCTGCACCAAGAGAGGACAGTATGAGGTGTGAGAACACTGCTTCACCTTGGAATTGCCTTTTTATTGGTTCCTGCCTTTCCTAGAGAGGTCCTTCAAAACCCAGGATGAGGGAGGCAGTGAGATCAAGAGCCCAGCCATCTTTCACTGACACTTACCTCTAGGGTCTCAGGTATGATTCTATCATCTAAAGTACCCTCAAAAACACTCCAGACTATATTACAATCCCTATGGGACCTGATTCTTGCACACACCGTCTTTCAGAAATTGAGTCAGAAGACCAGTTTCCAGAGCCACCTCACAGTCTTGAATGGCCTCTTCCTCCAGCAAGAGGAGAGTGCCTGGATAGGCACTGAGTTTGAGACTTTTAGGGTCCCACTGTGGGTTTTCTCAGGCAGCATTTTTTGAGATACCGGGCCAGTTCTTTTTGTACCATTACCCTGAGCCTAGGCAGGGTAACAGCTCTAACAGCTGCACACTCGAACCTGCCCAGTGAATGCACATTGGCTAGTCTCAAGGCACCAGTCCTGACTGTGAGTTCTGGCTAGCTTCACAATGAACATCACCATTGCAAAGCGACATGACCCTGTATCTTGGCAGAAAAGGAGACCTCCATGGACGTGCATCGGTGGTGGACTCTTGCCTTTCTTCTCTGTGGGATCAATGCAATAGTCCCATGATCTTAGGATAGGGCAGACATAAGGCATTTTGAAGATACATCAAGTACAGTTCTGGGAATAAACCGCAAAATTTCTAATGATCCAAAAAGATCTGCAGGACTCCTCAGCCCTGCCTAGACGTTGTAGGGGTGAGTCATTTTGAAACTTGCTGCACTGTGATTTCTAGGTAAAATCTGCCTGTTTTCGCCAGGGTTGCTGTGTCTCAGGTGAAGCTTCCTGCAGAATCATGCAGCCTCAGGAGCTGCCAAACTGTGCATTTCTTGGAAATGTTGTGAGTGTTGGATGTCTGCATGTGAGTGTGACATTGTCTGTGTGTGCCTGTAAGTGGAGTCTGCTTAAAGGAATGTGCTAATGCACTTCAGCCTTTTTTTTTTTTTTTTTTTTTTGAGTCTCATGACCTATTTTTGGTCTGTGTGGTTTACATGGGCTGCAGAGCTCCATGTTGTTTATTTTCATGTGGATCATGACCCATCAGTGAACTGGGAGGCACGCCAAAATGCACCAACCTCCAAGTCACCACCCCCTGCAAAAAAGCCACTCTTCTAGACAGAAGAGGAGCACACCATACACACACAAAAAAACAGACATATCCCAGTATTTTATAGTCCTGCAACCACCTCAGGGAGAGACACTAGCAGTCCTGTAAACAAGGCCCCTTAAATTTACCTTGAATTCAGTTCCCAGCTGAGCAGATGCTTCCTGTCATGAGGGGCACTCTTACATTGACTTGGGATTTCATCCTGTGAAATAGAGTGTGAGGAGCAGTATGGTCAGATAGGGGTGAGGATACAATCTGGTGAGGGATGGGTGGGGTCCCACAACTTCACCTGAAAAAAAAATGAAGACAGATGACACAGAAGGTGCTTCCAACTCCATCCCTGCATTCCTTTAATTACAAAAGCAGTCCACACCATGACCCGGTGTTCAGGTGGGAGTACTCCAACATGCAAGGAACATTTGGAGTAGAAATTGGAGCAATCCAAGCAAACTCACGATTTGAGAGTTTTCATATTCAGAGACAAATGGGAGTGGAATGGATTGATGCTGGCTGTGATGTGGCCTTTACACTTGCCTCTTCCTATATTGACATCCGTGTTCTTCATTGGATTAGGGTTTTCTGGGTCTGGCTCAGTGACTTCTACAACAAATGTTTTCCATTTCACGGAGAAAGATCCTCATGAGAATCCATTGCATGGGTGTTTTCTTCTAACCACTGTCAGGTTTTAATGACTGGGAAGCTTTGACATTGTTAAAACTGTAAATTCCCATTACTGCCACCAACAAGAAAACTTTTGTTCTCCCATATCTACCAGGGGGCTGCATGATTCTTGCAGGATGAAAAGCACACAGATGTGTCAATTTTTCCTGGTAATCTAGCCTCTATTTCATTTCATCTGCATGGCATTCTCACTGTGAAGGGTCTTTTTCATTGGGCTGTTGCTGGATGGGACTGCCTCTAGCTACAGATTATTTAGCTGCCAGGGATTTCAGAGAGCAAAAGGGTCATCAAGTAGTCTGGCTGCATTCCATGTCATTGGTTGTGGGGGCTCAGAATGTTTGCACTATGCAGGATGCTTTTGGGTTCTTTGACAGGACTCACTGAACATTGCATAGACTCCAGCACAAGGTAGCTCATTCTCTCAGGCAAGCCTTGGGTTTTCTTCGTTTTCATGGGGAATCCACATTGCCCCTTAACAGCACTACTGGACACCATTTTCAGGCTGGCCATCCCAACAAACGGCCTCTGAGACACTGTTTCAACCTCATCTGCACCCAAGAGAGGGCAGTACAAGGTGGGAGAACAGTGATCCAACTCTGACTTGCCTTTGTTGTAGTTTCTGCCTTTCCTAGAGAGCCCCTGTGAGGTCAAAGTTGAAGGAAGGCAGTGAGGTCAAGAGTCTGGCCATCTTTTCATGATATCCACTTCTGGGGTCTCAGGTATGATTCTATCACACAAAGAACCCTCAACAACACACCAGTCTATATTTTAATCCCCATGGTACTCAATTCTTGCACACAGCCTTTTTCCAGAATGAAATCTGAAGAGCAGTTTCTAGAAACTATCTCACAGTCACAAAATGCCTCCTCCTCCAGTGGAAGTCGACCACCACGATGGCCTGGAGGGTCCCTGAGGTTGGGAGTTTTAGGACCTTGCAGTCTTTTTCACAGGCAGCCTTTTTCACAGGCAGCCTTTTTCCTGATACCAGGCCAACTCTGCCTGTAGCATTATTGTCTACTTAGGCAGGCTGATAGCTCTGACAGCCATGCTCCCCAGCTTGCCTCATGAATGTGCATGCACTAGCCTCAGGGCACTAGGCCTCATTGTGAACTCTGGCTTGCCTCAGTATAAATGTCACCATTATCTAGCAATAAGTCCCTTTGTCTCGGCAAAGGAGAATTCTGTGGAGGTGTCTCAGTGGTGAACTCTCAACTGTCTTCTCTGTGGGATCCATAGATAGTCCCATGATCTTAGGAGAGGGCATATGTGAGCCAGCCTGAAGAAACATCAAATACAGCTCCAGGAATAAACCACAAAATCCCTAAGGATCCAAAAGGATCTACAGGATTCCTCCAGCCTGCCTAGACATTGTAGGGGTGAGTCCTCTTGAAACTTGCCCCACTGTGATTTTTAAGTACAGGCCCCCTGTGTTCACCAGGGTGGCTCTCTCCAGGTGGGGCTTCTTGTAGAACCACACAGCCTCAGGAGCTCCTGGACTGTGTGTTTCTGTGGGAGTGTTGTGAGTGTTGAATATCTGTGTGTTTGATGTCTGTGTGTCTGTGTGGCATTGGGTGTGTGTGTGTGTTTCTGTGTGTGTGACTGTAAGTGCAGTCTGCTTATAACAATGTGGCTAACACACTACAGCATCTCTCTCTCTCCCTTACTTCTTTCCTTCCTTCTTTCCTTCCTTCCTTCCTTCCTTCCTTCCTTCCTCCCTCCCTCCCTCCCTCCCTCCCTCCCTCCCTCTCTCTCTCTCTCTGTCTCTCTTTCTTTCTCTTTCTTTCTTTCTTTCTTTCTTTCTTTCTTTCTTTCTTTCTTTCTTTCTTTCTTTCTTTCTTTCTTTCTTTCCTTCTTTCTTGTCTCCCAACCCGTTGATGGCCTGTCTATGTGGCTTACCTTGGGCTGCATCGCTCTGTGTTCTTTATTTTTCTGTGAATCATGAGCCTGCAGTGGACTGGGAGGCATGCCAACATGTGCTGGCATCCAAATAACATCCGCCTGCAAAAAAAAAAAAAAAATGCCACTCTTCTAGACAGAAAAGGAGCACAAATACTAAAGGTTTCCCAGTTTGTGGAGAATGATCATCATGGGAATCCATTGTTTAGTGTTTTCTTCTAAACACTGTCACAATTTAATGAGTGGGACATTTTGATAGGTTTAAAACCATAAATTCCTGTCACAGACACCAACAAGAAAACTCTTGTCCTCTCACTTCTATCAGAGGCCTGCATGATTCCTGCAGGATGAGATACAGGCAACAGTGTCTTGCTTTTCCTGGTAATCTAGCCTCTGTTTAATGTCATCTGCATGGCCTTCTCATTGTGGAGGGGCTCTTTCATTGGGATGTTGCTGGATTGGACTGCCTTTCACCACAGATTATTTAGTGGCCAGGGATTTCAGAGATCATAAAAAATGACAGGTATTCTGGCTGCTCTCCAGGTTTTGGGCTGTTGCCTCTTTGCGGGGGCTGAGGATGTATGCACTTTGCAGGATGGTTTTGCGCCCTGTGACAGGAATCATTGAACATTGCTTGGGCTCCAGCACAAGACAGTTTGTTCTGTAGTGAGCCTTGATTTTTGTTTGCTTTCATGGGGAATCCACAGTGCCCATCAACAGCAATACTGGACACCCTTTCAAGGCTTGCCATCACCACAGCTGGACTCTGAGACACTGTCTCAACTCATTTGCACTTGTGAGAGGCCAGGCCATAGTGTGAGAACATTACTCCAACTTTGATTTGCCTTTGTCTTGGTTCTGGCTTTTCCCAGAGAGCCCTGCGAGGCTCAGGATGAAGGGAGGAATTGAGATCAAGAGCCTGGCCATCTTTCACTGACACCCACCTCTGGGGTCTCAGGTATTATTCTATCACTGAAAGAGCTGTCAACAACACAGCAGACTATATTCCAATCCCTGCTGGAACGGATTCTTGCATATAGATCTTTCTTGAATGGAGTCAGAAGAGCAGTTTCCTGTGACCACCTCACAGTAACAAAATGCTTCTGCCTCCAGCAGGACCCGACCACCGAGACAGCCTGGAGTGTTCACCAGTTTGACAGTTTTAGGGTCCTGAAGTGAGTGTTTGCAGGCAGCGTTTTTTTTTTTACACCAGCACGGCTCTGCCTTTACCATTTTCCTCTGCTTAGGTAGGGTGACAGCTCTGACAGCACTGCACCCGAGCCTCCCTCACGAATGTGCATGTGCTAGTCTTAGGGCACCAGGCCTGATTTTTGAGTTCTGGCTAGCATCACAGTGCATGCCACCGTTGCCTAGCAACAAGTCCCTGCTACTTGGTGGAGAAGATTTCCATGAAAGTGTGTTGGTTTTGATCTCTCACCTGTCTTCTCTGTGGAATCCATGACATAACCCACATTCCTAGGAGGGGGCAGACGTGAGCCAGCTTGAAGAGACATCAAGCACAGCCCCAGGAATAAACCATAATATCCCTAAGGATGCAAAAGATCTTCAGGATTCCTCAGGACAGCCTAGATGTTGTAGGGGTGAGTCTTTTTGAAACTTGCCTCATAGTGATTTCTAGGTACAGCCCAAATGTTTTTTTGGGTTGCTGTCTCCAAGATGGGGATTCCCACAGAACCATGCAGCCTCAGGAGCTGCCAGTGTGTGTTTATCTGTGGGAGTGTTGTGAGTGTTGTTTGTGTGTGTGTGTGGCATTGTGTGTGTGTGTATGTGCCTGTAAGTGGAGTATGCTTAAAATAATGTGGCTAATGCACTTCAGCGCTTCTTTTTTTGAGTATCCCAACATTCTGTTGGGTGGTCAGTGTGGCTCTGCTTGGGCTGTGGGGCTCCATGTTCTTTATTTTTCTGTGGATCATGAATCTGCAGTGAATTGGGAAGCAAGTTGAAACACATGGGCATTCAAGTTACCTCCCCCTGCAAAAAAATGCCACTCTTCTAGAAAGAAGAGGAACACACCACAGCAAAAATAAGACATCTTCCAGTGTTTTGTTGTCCTGTGGTGAACCCAGGGAGAAAATATAGCAGTACTGTCTGCAAAGCCGCTTGACTTTACCTCGTATATGGGTCACAGCTGAGCACGTGTTTCATGTCGTGAGTGGGCACTCCAACATCGCCTTGAGATTTCATCCTGGAACATAGAGGGTGAGCAGCAATAAGTTCAGGTAGGGTTGAGGATACAATCTGGTGAGTGGTTCATGGGGTCCCACAATATCTCTGCAAAAAAATAAATAGATAAGTAAATGAAGACAGATGACCCAGAAGGTGCTTCCAACTCCATAGCTAGTTGTTCAGTTGGCAGTACTCCAACGAGCAGGGAACATTTCAAGAGCAAACTGGGGCCATCCTTGTAAACTCCCACTATGTGGGCTTTTATATCCGGAGCCAAAGGAGAGTGTATTGGATTGATGCTGGATAGGATGTGGCCTATATACTTACCTCTTCTTTTTCTGCCTTTCATGTTGCTCTTCAGCCTAGGGTTTTCTGGGTCTGAATCCACGTCTTCCAAACTAAAACTTTCTGAGTTCACAGAGGAAGACCCTCATGGAAATCCACTGCGTGAGTGTTTCTTTCTAAACTGTCAAGTTTTAATGACTGGGCAGCTGTGATACTTGTAAAAACTTAAATTCCTCTTACAGCCACCAACATGGAAATTCTTGTTCTCCCACTTTTATCAGAGGGCTGCATGATTCCTGTAGGAGGATATGCAGGCAGTCGTTCTGCATTTGCCTGGTAATCTTGGCTTTGTTTCACTTCATCTGCACGTCCTTCTTCGCTGTGGAGTGGATCTTTCATTGGATCTTGCCGGATTGGACTGCCTCTCACTACAGATCTTTTGGCTACCAGGAATTTCAGGAAGCATAAAGAACTTTGTGTAGACTGGCTATGCCCCAGGTTTTGTGTCATCAGTCTCCTTGTGGAGGCTGATGTTGTTCACACTTTTCAGGAGGCTTTTGGGTCCTCTGACAAAAATCTTTGAACATTGCTTGAACTCCCACACAAGTCAGCTTGTTCTCCCAGATGAACCTAGATTCTTCTTTGCTTTTATGGGGGGTCCACTTTGCACCTCATCAGCACTACTGGATAGCCTTTTCTGGCTTGCTATCACCACAGATGCCTCTGATACACTGTCACAACCTCATCTGCACCCATGAGAGGCCAGTTTGAGGTGTGGGAACAATACTTTATCTTGGACTTGCTTTTGTCGTGGTTTCTGCCTCTCCCGGAGAGTCCCTGATAGGTCCAGGATGATGGGAGACAGTGAGGTCAAGGGGCCAGCCATCTTTTGCTCACACCTGCCTCTTGGGTCTCAGCAATGATTCCATCACCAAAGGACCCATCAAAAACTCACCAAAGGGCATTCCAATCCCCATGGGAATGGAATCTTGCACACAGCCTCTCTGGGGAATGAAGGCAGAGATGCAGATTACAAAGGCCAGTTCAGTCTCAAAGCGACTCCTCCTTCAGTGGAACCTGACCTCAGAGACTGCCAAAATGGCCCTATGGTCTAGACTTTTTCGATCTGGCAGTGGGTTATCACAGGTAGTATTTTTGGCCATGCCAGGCCAGCTCTGCCTGTACCAATTTCCTCTGCTTAAGCAGGCTGACAGCTCTGAGAGCCAGGTGCCTGATCCTTCCTCAAGAATGCACAGTCACCTGTCTCTGTGGTATCCACGGGATTGTCCCATGATCCTAGCCTGGAGAAACATCAACCACAGCTCCAGGAATACACTGCAAAATCCCTAAGGATGCAAAAGGATATGCTGGAATCCTCAGGCCTGCCGAGGCATTGTAGGAGTGAGTCTTTTTGAAACTTGCCCCACTGAAATTTCTAGGTACAGTTCTCCTGTGTTTCTTGGTGTTGCTCTCTCCCAAGTTGGGATTCCTGCAGAATCACACAGCCACAGGAGCTATCCAACTTTTTTTTGTGTGTGGGAGTGTTGTGAATCTTGGATGTCTGCCTGTGTGTGTGGCATTGTGTATTTGTTTGTGTGTGTTTGTGTGCCTGTAAGTGGAGACTGCTTAAAATAATGTGGCTAATGCACTTCAGTGCTTCATTTTTTTTTTTGTCTCCAAACCTTTCTGGTGGAGTGTTGCAAGTGTTGGATGTCTGAATGCGTGTGTGGCATTGAGTGTTTGTGTATATGCGTGTGTGTGATTGTATGTGCAGTCTGCTTAAAGGAATGTTGCTAACGCACTTCAGTGCTTCCTTTTTTTGTGTCTACCCAACTTCTGTTGGCTTGTCTGTGTGGCTCTGCTTGGGCTGTGGGGCTCTTTCCCAGGTGGTGTTTCCTGCACAACAATGCATCCTGAGTAGTTTCTGGGTTGGGTATTTCTGTAGGAGTGTCGCAAATGTTGGATGTCTGTGTGTGTGTGGCATTGTGTGTGCCATAAAAACCACCATTCTAGAAAGAAGAGGAGCACACAACACCAAAAAATAGATATCTTTCAGTGTTTTATTGTCCTTTGGCAAACCCAGGAGAGACATTAGCAGTCCTGTCCACAGGGTCTCTTGAATTAACCTCGAATTCCCTTCCCAGCTGAACAGGTGATTCACATCTTGCTGGGGTGGGGGGCACATTTTAAAAATCATTTTGGGATTTCACCCTAGGACATAGAGTGTGGATAGCATTAAGTTCAGACAGAGGTAAAGATACAATCTTGTGAGGGGTGCATGGGGTGACAAAACTTTACCTGCAAGAAAAATGAAGACAGATGACACAGAAGGTGCTTTCAGCCTCATCGCGTAGTGTTCAGTTGGAAGTACTCCAACGGGCAGGGAACATTTGAATTGCAAACTGGGGATATCCTGGCAAACTCCGGATTTGAGGGCTTTCATACCCGCAGCCAAATGGGAGTGAGATGGATTGATGATGGGTAGGATGTGGCCTTCACACTTGCCTATTCTTTTTCTGACTTCCTTATTTCTTGTGGGCCTAGGGTTTCCTGGGTCTGGCTCTAAGTCTTTCACACTAAATGTTTCCCATTTTGCGGAGGACGACCCTCATGGGAATCCATTGCTTGAGTGTTTCCTTCTAAACACTGTGACATTTTAATGAGTGGGCAGCTGTGATACCTTTAACATGATAAATTCCCATTACAGCCACTGACAAGGAAACTGTTTTTCTCCCACTTATATCAGAGGGCTGCATGATTCCTGTAGGATGAGAAGCAGGCCATCGTGCCTGGCTTTTAACTGGTAAACTAGACTCTGTTTCATTTCAGTTGCACGTCCTTTCTCATCATGGAGGGTGTTGCTGGACAGGACTGCCTCTTGCCACAGATCTTTTGGCTGCCAGGGATTTCAGGGACCAAAAGAGACTTTGAATAGGATTGCTGTGCTCCAGGTGGTGGGTCATGGTCTCCATCTGGGGGCTGAGGTTGTTTGAATTTTGCAGGAGGATTTTGGGTCCTCTGATGGAAATCTTGGAACGTTGCTAGGCCTCCAGCACAAATCAGCTCATTCTCTCAGGAGAGCCTTCATTTTTCACTCCTTTCATGTGTGGTCCACTGTGTCCCTCAAAAGCACTACTGGATACTTTTTCCAGGCTGGCAATCACCACAGAGGGCATGTGAGACATTGTCTCAACATCATCTGCATGCATGATAGGCCTTTTGGAGGTGTGAGAATGGAGCTCCACTTTGGACTTTCCTTTGTTGGTGTTCCTGGCTTTCCCAGAGAGTGGCAGTGAGGCCCAGTGTGGAGGGAGACAGTGAGGTTAAGGACCCAGTCATCTTTCACTGACAACCACCTCTGGTGTCTCAGCTATGATTCCATTAACTAAAGATCCCTCAACAACACACTAGCCTATATTCCAATCCCCAGGGGACTTGATTCTTGCACACAACCTCTTTCATAAATGGAGTCAGAAGAGAATTTTTCAGTAACCACCTCAGCATCTCGAAACACCTCACCTTACTGTGTGACCCAGCCACAGAGGTGTCCTGAAGATGTTCTCAGGTGGAGACTTTTAGGGTCCCGCCTTAGCTTATTGCAGGCTGCCTTTTTCCTGCTCCCAAACATTCTCTGCCTGTACCATTTTCCTCTGCTTAGGCAGTCTGACAGCTCTGACATCCAGATGCCAGAGTTGGCTTCATGAATATCCATGTGCTTGTCTCAGGGCACAAGGCCTGAGCTGTGGTCTCTGGCTAGAGTCACAATGAATGCCACCTTTGCCTAGTGACAACTCCTGCAGCTTCACAGAAAAGGAGACCTCCATGGAGGTGCTTTGGTGTTGGACTTTCCCTTGTTTTCTTTGTGGGATCCAAGGAACAGTCCCATGATCCTAAGAGATGGTACAGTGAGCCAGCCTGAAGAAATGTCAAGGAGAGTCCTAGAAATAGACTGAGAAATCCCTACACATACAAAAAGATCTGCACAATGCCGCAGGCTTGCCTAGAGGTTGTAGGATGAATCTTTTTGAAACTTACCCCACTGTGATTTCTAGGTACAGCCGAGCTGTTTTCCCTAGGTTTATTCCTCCAGGTGGAGCTTCCTGCAGAACCAGGCAGCCTCAGAAGCAGCCAGGCTGTGTTTCTGTGGAAGTGTTTTGCAAGTGTTGGATGTCTTCACGTGTTTGTGGCTTAGAGTGTGTGTGTGTGTGTGTGTGCACGCGCGTTTTTATGTGTGTGCCTGTAAGTGGAATCTCCTTAAAGGAATGTGGCTAACGAATTTCAGCACTTTTTTTTTTTTGAGTCTCAGAAACTTTTGGTGGCCTCTCTGTGTGGGTCTGCTTGGGCTCCAGAGGTCCATGTTCTTTATATTTCTGTGGACTATTAATCCGCAGTGAATTTGAAGGTGAGCTGATACATGTGGGCATCCAAGTCACCTCACCCTGCAAGAAAATTGACTCCTTTAGAAAGAAAAGGGGCACACCACACCAAAAAAGAGGCATCTCTCAGTGTTTTATTTTCCTGTGGCCAACCCACAGAGAGACAATAGCAGTCCTGTCTGCAGGTCCCCTTGAATGTACCTTGAATTCGGTTCCCAGCCCAGCAGGTGCTTCACGTCATGAGGAAACACTCCTCCATCATTTTGGGATTTCCTTCTGTGAAATAGATTGTGAACAAGTCAGATAGGAGTGAAGATACAATTTGGTGAAGAGTAAATGGTGTCCTGCAACTTCACCTGCCAAAAAAAAAAAAAAAAAAATGAAGGCAGATGACACAGAAGTGGTTTCCCACTCCATCCCCACATTCTTTTAATTGCACAAGCAGTCCACGCAATGGCCTGGTGTTCAAGTGGAGTCCTGCAACGTGCCAGGAAAAGTTGGAGTGCAAATTGGGGCCATTCTGACAAACTCCAGATTTGGGGTTTTTCATACCTGGAGCCAAATGGGACTGGAAAGGACTGATGCTGAATGGGGATGTGGCCTTCATGTTTGCCTCTTCTTTCCCTGACTTCCATGTTCCTTGTCAGCCTATGGTTTCCTGAGTCTGGCTTAATCACTTGCACGCTAAAGGTTTCCCCCTGCACGGAGAACGACCCTCATGGGAATCCATTGAGTGAGTGTTTCTTTCTAAGCACTGTTATGTTTAAATGACTGGGCAGCTTTGATACTTTTAAAATCATAAATTACCACTACCGCTGCCAACAAGGAAAGTCACGGTACTACATTCCTATCCCCTTGGGACCAGATTCTTGCACACAGCCTATTCCGGAAATGAAGTCAGAAGAACAGTTTCCACCCACCACTTCACAGTCTTGAAATGCCTCATACTCCAGCGGAACCCAACCACGGAGACGATAAGAAGTAGCCCTAAGGTCGAGACATTTAGAGTACCACAGGATATTACCCCAGGCAAACTTTTTCTCAGTATGAAGGCGGCTCTACTTGTACCATCTTCCTCTGCCTAGGAAGGCTGACAGCCAGTACATGAGCCATCCACACAAATGCACGTTTGCTAGTCTCAGGGCACGAGGCCTTAGTTTTGAGCTCTGGCTAGCATCACAATGAATGCCACAGTGGCCTAAGTCTACACATCTTGGCAGAGAAGGGGACCTCTGTGGAGTTGTGGATCCTCAAGATAGTTCCATGATCCTAGAAGAAGGCAGATATGAACAAGCCTGAAGAAACATCAAGCAGAGCTTCAGGAATAAACCACAAAATTCATAAGGATCTAAAAGATCTGCGGGATGTCTCAGGCATGCCTAGATGTTGTAGCAGTGAGTCTTTTGAAACCTACCCCACTTTGATTTCTAACTACAGCCCACCTGTGTTCCCCAAAGTTCCTGTCTTTCAATTAAGGCTTCCTGCAGGACCACGCAAACTCAGAACCTGCCATGCTGTGTTCTTCTGTGGAAGTGTTGCAAGTGTTAGATATCTCCGTGTTTGTGTGGCTTTGTGTGTGTGTGTTTATGTGTTAGTGTGTGGCTAAGTGGAGTCTGCTTAATGGAATGTGGATAACACACTGCATCGCTTCCTTTTTTTGAAACTCCACACCTTTTGGTGGCCTGTTGGTGTGGCTCTGCTTGAGTTGCAGGGCTCTGTGTCCCTTATTTTTCTGTGGACTATGAATTTGCAGTGAATTAGGAGACTGTCTGAGAGAGGCATAGGTTCAAGTTACCTCCCCCTGCAAAAAAAGCCATTCTTCTAGAAAGAAGAGGAGCACATCACACCCCAAAACAATGTGTTTCATTCTGTGTTTCATTGTTCTGCAGCCAACCCAGTGTGAGAAACTAGCAGTCCTATGTGAAGGGACCTTTGAATTTACTTTGAATTCTGTTCTCAGCTGAGTAGGTGCTTCATGTCCTCATATGGCACTCCTCCATCATCTTGTGATTTCATTCTGGGACAGAGAGTGTGAGAAGTAACAAGGTAAAATAGGGGTGAGGATACAATCTGGTGAGGGGTAAATAGAGTTCAGCACATTCTCCTGCAAAAACGGTGAAGACAGATGACACAGAAGGTACTTCCAACTGCATGCCCACATTCCCTTAATTACACAGGCAGTTCATATTATGTCCTGGTGTTGAGGTGGGAGTAATACAATGTTGAGGGAACATTTGGAGTGCAAGCTGGGGCGGTTCTAACAAGCTCCCGATTTGAGAGCTCTCATACCCTGAGCCAAATGAGAGTGGGATGTGTTGATGCTGGGTGGGATGTGCCCTGCACACTTGTCTCTTCTTTTCCTGACTTCCATGTTCCTCATCGGCCTAGGGCTTCCTGGGTCTGGCTCCACATCTTCCACACTAAGCAATTCACAGTTCATGGGGGATGACCTTCATGGGAATCCAATGCATGAGTGTTTTCTTCTAAACACTGTCACATTTTAAAGACTGGAAAGATGTGATAATTTTAACACTGTAAGTTTTCGTTACAGCCACCAATAAAGAAACTCTTGTTCTCCCACTTTTATCAGAGGGCTGCATGATTCCTCTAGCATGAAAAGCAGGCAGCTGTGTTGGGCTTTTGCCTGGTAATCTAGCCCCTGTTTCATTGCATCTGCCAGTCCTTTCTCAATGCGAATGAGGTCTTTCATTGGGCTGTTGCTGGATGGGGTTGCCTCTCACCACAGACCAATTGGCTGTCAGGGATTTCAAGGATGAAAAGGGACTTTGGGTAGGCTGACTTCATCCAGGTTGTAGTTTGTGGTGTCATTGTGAGTGCTAAAGTTGTTTGCAGTCTGCAGAAGGTTTTTGGATACTCTGACTGGAATCATTGAACATTGCTTGGATGCAAGCTCAAGGCAAGTCATTTTCTGAAGTGAGCTTTGATGTTTCTTTGCTTTCATAGGGAATCCACAGTGCCCCTCAACTGCACTACTGTTCACCAGTTTCAGGCTTGCCATCACCACAGAGGGCATCTGAGATATTGTCTGAACCTCATCTGCACCCATGAGAGACCAGATCGAGGTGAGAACACTGGCCCTCTTTGGAATTCCCTTTGTCATGGTTCCTGCCTTTTGTGGAGGGCCCCAGCAAGGCCCAGGGTGGAGAGAGACAGTGAGGTAAAGAGCCCAGCCATCTTTCACTGACACCCATCTCTGGGATCTCAGGTATAATTCTGTCACCCAAAGAACCCTCAACAACACACCAGACCAAATTCTGATTCTCATGGGATGGGATTCTTGCAAAAAGCATCCTTTCGGAATGGAGTAGGAAGAGCAGTTTCTAGT
The DNA here is from genome assembly GCF_000001405.40 of Homo sapiens. Taxonomy (NCBI): domain Eukaryota; kingdom Metazoa; phylum Chordata; class Mammalia; order Primates; family Hominidae; genus Homo; species Homo sapiens. The sequence continues at coordinate 22,464,612 of NC_000024.10, forward strand.
CGCCACCTCAGAGTCTCAAAATGCCTCCTCCTCCAGCAAGACTCGACCATGGAGATGGCCAGAAGGGGCCCTGAGGTCGAGACCTTGGGGTCTGACAGTGGTTTCTCATGGGAAACCTTTTTCCCAAGACCAGACTGACTTTACCTGCACAATTTTTCTCTTCTTAGGCAGACTGATAGCTCTGACAGCTAGGTGCCTGTACCTGCCTCAGGAATGCATATGCACTAGTCTCAGGACACCAGTCCTCATTGTGAGCTCTGGCTAGCATCACAATGAATGTCATCATTGCCTAGAGACAAGTTCCTGCCTCTTGAGGAAGGAGACCTCCCTGTAGGTATGTCGGCTGTGGACTCTTGCCTGTCTTCTCTGTGGGATCCAAGAGATAGTCCCATGATCCTACGAGAGAGTAGATGTGAGCCAGCCAAAAGAAACATCAAACAGAGGCCCAGGAATAAATTGCAAAATCCCTAAGGATCCAAAAGATCTGCAGGATTCCTCAGGCCTGCCTAGATGTTGTAGGGGTGAGTCTTTTTCAAACTTGTTCCATTGTGATTTCTAGTTACAGCCTGCATGTTCCCCTGGGTTGCTGTCTCCCAAAAGGGGATCTAGCAAAACCATGCAGCGTCAGAAGCTAACAAGCAGTGTGTTTCTTCAGGATTCTTGCAAGTGTTGGATGTCTGCCTGTGTGTGTGGTATTTTGTGTGTGTGTGTGTGTGTGTGTGTGTGTGCGCCTGTAAGTCACTTCTGCTTAAAGGAATGTGGCAAACACACTCCAGGGCTTCATCTTTTTTGAGTCTCCCAATCATTTGTTGGCCTGTCTGTGTGGCTCTGCTTCAGTTGTGAGGCTTTGTGTTATTTATTTTTGTGTGGATCATGAGTCTGCAGCAAATTGAGAGGTGGGCAGAGACCTGCCAATGTCCAAATCACCTGCCCCTGCAAAGAAAACCACACTTCTGTAAAGAAGAGAAGCACACCACACCAAAAAACAGACATCTCCCAGTGTTTCATTGTCCTGTGTCCCACCCAGAAAGAAACACTAGCAGTCCTCTGCAGAAACCCCTGAATTTACATCGAATTTGGCTCCCAGCTGAGCGGTTCTTCATGTCATGATGGGGCACTCCTCCTTTGTCTTGGGATATCATCCTGGGACATAGAATATGAGCAGGGAGAAATTCAGATATGGGTGAGGATACAATCTGGTGAGGAGTGGATGGGGCTCTGCAAATTCATCTGCAAAAAAAAAATAAATACAAATGACAAAGATCCTTCTTTAAACTCCATCCCTGCATTTCCTTAATTACACAAGCTGTCCATACCTTGGCCCAGTGTTCAGGTGGGAGTACTCTAATGTGCAAAAAACATTTGGACTGCAAATTGAAGCCATCTTGGTAAACCCTGGATTTGAGGCCTTTTACACCCAGAGGCAAATGGGAGTGGAATGGGTTGATGCTGTGTGGGATGTGGCCTCCACACTGGCCTCTTCTTTTCTGACTTCCATGTTCCTCATCAGCCTAGGATTTCCTAGGCTGAGCCTAGGGTCTGACTCAACGACTTCCACACTAAACATTTCAGAATTCACAGAGAATGGGCCTTATGAAAATTCACTGTCTTACTGCCTCTTTCTAAACACTGTCATGTGTCAATGACTGTGCAGCTTTGAATTTTTTAAAACCATAAATTCTCATTACAGCCATCATAAGGAAACTGTTGTTCACCCATTTCTATCAGAGGGCTGAATGATTCCCGAAAAGTGAGAAGAAGACAGCCATGTCTGCTTTGACCTTGTAATCTAGCCTCTGTTTCACCTTGTCTGCATGGCCTTCTAATTGGGGAGGGTCTCTTTCACTGGGCTGTTGCTGAATGGAACTGCCCCTCACCACACATCTTTTGGCTGCCAGGGATTTGAGAGAGCAAAAGGGACTTTGGGTAGGCTGGCTGCACTCTAGCTTGTGGTGCTTTTCTCATTGTGGGAGCTGAGGTTGTTTACATTTTCCAGGAGGATTTTGGGTCCTCTGACAGGAATTATTGAACATTACTTGGACTCCAGCACAGGGAAGCTTGTTCTCTCAGGTGAGCAGTGAATTTTTTTTTTTTTTTTGCTTTCATGGGGATTCAACAGTGCCCCTCAACAGCACTACTGGACACCCTTCTTCAGAGTTGCCATCACCACATATATCCTCTGAGACACCATCTGAATCTCATCAGCACCCCTGAGAGGCCAGTATGAGGTGTGAGAACACTGCTTTACCTTTGACTTGCCTTGCCGTGGTTCCTGCTTTTCAAAGAGGGCCCCTGAAAGGCCCAAAATAAAGGGAGGCAATGAGGTCAAGTGCCAGGCTATCTTTTGCTCACATCCACCACTGGGGTCTCAGGTATGAATCTATCACTTAAAGAACCCTCAACAACACACCAGACAATATTCCAATCACCATGGGACCCATTTCTGGCACACAGCCTCTTTTGGGAATGGATTCAGAAGGTTTCCAGTGACCACCTCACAGTCTGGAAACACCTCCTCCTCCAGTAGGACCTGACCAGAGAGATGGCCAGAAAGGGTCTTTAGATTGAGAGTTTTAGGGTCCTGCAGTGGGTTTTCACAGGCAGCATTTTTCTCAATACCGGCCAGCTCTGCCTGTATTATTTTCCTCTGCTTTGGTAGGCTGACAGGTCTGACAGCCAGGTGCCCAAGCCTGCCTGCCTCATGAATGTGCATGCACAAGTCTCAGGGCACCAAGACTGTTACTGAGCTTTAGTGAGCATCCCAATGATTGTCATTGCTGGCTAGTGACAAGTCCCTTCATCTTGGCAGAGAAAAAGACATACATGGAGCTGCGTGGTTGGTGAACTCTCATCTGTCTTCTCTGTGGAATCCACAGGATAGTCCCATGAGCCTATGAGAGGGCAAATGAGAGCCGTCCTGAAGAAACGTCAACCACAGCACGAGGAATAAACCTCAAAATCCCTAAGGATCCAAAAAAATCTGAAGGATAACTTAGGCCTGCCTAGACTTTGTAGGTGTGAGTCTTTTTGAAAGTTGCAGCACTGTGATTTCTAGGAACAGCCCACCTGTATTCCCTGGGGTTGCCTATCCCAGGTTAGCTTCTTGCAGAACCACAAAACCACAGGAGCTGACAAACTGTGTTTCTGAAAGAGTGTTGTGAGAGTTGGATGTTGGCATGGGTGTGTGACATTGTTTTGTGTGTGTGTGTGTGTGTTTGTAAGTGGAGTTTGCTTAAAGAATGTGGCTACTACACTTCAGCGCTTGGTTTTTTTTGAGTCTTGCAAACTTTTGGTGGCCTGTCTGTGTGGCTCTGCTTGGGCTGTGGGGCTCCATGTTATTTATTTTTCTGTGGATCATGAATCCGCAGTGAACTGAGAGGTGGGCTGAGACCTGCCAGTGTCCAAGTCACCTGCCACTGCAAAAAAAAAAAAAAAAAAAGCCACCCTTCTAGAATGAAGAGGAGCACACCACACCAAAAAACGGGCATACCACGAATTCAGTTTCACTGCTGAGCAGGTTCTTCAGGTCATGAGAGGGCACTCCTCCATCATCTGGGCATTCATCCCAGGACATACAGTATGAGCAGGAATAAGGTCAGATAGGAGTGAGGATACAATCTGGTGATGGGTGGAGGGAGCCCCAGAACTTCATCTGAAAAAAAAAATGAAGACAGATGACACAGAAGGTGATTCCAACTCCATCCCCTCATTCCCTTAATTGCGGAAGTAGTCCACACCATAACTCAGCTTCAGATTGGAGCACAGCAACGTGCAAGGAACATTTTGAGTGCAAATTGGGGACATCCTGGCAAACTTCTGATTTGAAGGATTTCAATCTGAGAGCCAAATGCGACTGGAATGAATTGATGTTGGGTGGGATGTGGCTTCCAAACTTGCCTCTTCTTTTCCTGACTTGCATGTTCCTCATTGACCTGTGGTTTCCTGGGTTTGCCTCAACAACTGTTACACTAAATGTTTCCTAGTTCATGGAGAACAACCTTCATGGAAATCCATTGAGTGAGTGTTTTCTTCTAAACACTTTCACATTTTAATGACTGGGCAGCTTTGATACCTTTAAACGGTAAATTCCCATTACAGCCACCAACAAGGAAACTCTTCTTTTCCCTCTGTTATCAGAGGGCTGAATGATTCCTGTATGATGAGAAGCAGGCAGCCGTGTCTAGATTTAGCCTGGTAATATAGCCTCTGCTTCATTTCATCTGCTCATCCTTCTCTTTGTGGATGGGCTCTTTCATTGGCCTGTTGCTGGATGGGACTGCCTCTTGCCACAGATATTTTCGTTGCCAGGAATTTCAGGAAGAAAAATCGTTGTAGAGTAGACTGGCTGCACGTTGGGTTTTCAATCATTATCTTGTGGGAGCTGAGGTTGTTTGCATTTTGAAAGAGGCTTCTTCTTTCTGTGACAGGAATATGGAAATGTTGCTTGGACCCCAGCACAAGTCAGCTCTTTCTTTCAGGTGATGCTTGATGTTTCTTGGCTTTCATGGGGGATTCACATTGCCCCTCAACCACACTACTGGATACACTTTTCAGGATTGCAATCTCCACAGGTGGCCTCTGAGACACTGTCTGAACCTCATCTGCACCTGTGAGAGACCAGTTCGAGGTCTGAGAACATTGCTTCAATTTGGACGTGCCTTTGTCATGGTTCCTGCTTTTCCCAGATAGCACCTGAGCAACCCAGAATGAAGGAATGCAGTGAGGTCAAGGCCAGGCCATCTTTCACTGACAACTTTTTTCTGGTATTTCAAGTAAGAGCCCATCACCCAAAGAACCCTCAACATCTCACCGTAATATATTCCAATCCCCATGGGACAGGATTCTTGCACAAAGCCTCTTTCAGGAATGGAGTCAGAAGAGTAGTTTCCAGTGACAACCTCACAGTCTTGAAATGGCTCTGCCTCCAGTGTGACCTGACCATGGAGACAGCGTATAAGGGCCCTAAGGTTGAGACTTTTAGGATCCTGCAATGGGTTATCACAGGCAGCCTTTTTCCTGATACCAGGCCAACTCTGTGTGTACCATTTTCCTCTGCTTAGGCAGGCTGACAGCCCTGACACCCTGGTGCTCTAATTTGAGTCACTAATGTGGATGTGCTAGTCTTAGGGCAATGGGCCTGAGCTGCGAGCTCTGGCTAGCATTACAATGAATGCCACCTTTGCCTAGTGACAATTCTCTTTGGCTTGATGGAGAAGGAGATCTCTGTGGAGGTGCATCGGCAGTAGACTCTCACCTGTCTTCTCCGTGGGATCCATGGGCTAGTCCCATGATCCTAGGAGAGGGCAGATGTGAGCCTGCCTGAAGAAATGTCAAGCAGAGCCCCAGGAATAAAGCACAAAATCCGTACAGATCCAAAAGGATCTGCAGAATTCTTCAGGCCTGCCTAGACATTGTAGCAGTTTGTCTTATTGAAATGTGTCCCACTGTAATTTCTAAGTTTAGCCTTCCTTTGTTTTCCAAGCTTTCTCTCTCCCAGGAGGGGCTTCCTGCAGAATGAAGCAGCCTCAGAAGCTACTGGGCTGTGTGTTACTGCGGGAGTATTGCAAGTGTTGGATGTCTGCATGTGTGTGTGGCTTTATGTGTTTATGTGTGTGTGTCTGTGTGTGTGCATGTAAGTGAATTCGGCTTAAAGGAATGTAACTAACACACTGCAGTGCTTTTTTATTTTTTATTCTCCCAACCTTTTGGTGGCCTGTCTGTGTGTCTCTGCTTGGACTGTGGTGCTCCCTGTTCTTTATTTTTCTGTGGATCATGAATCAGCAATGACTAGTTAAGCAGTCTGTGACAAGCTGGGTTCCCCATTATCTGCCCCTGAAAAAAAAAGGCACTCCTCTAGAAAGAAGAGGAGAGCATCACACCCAAGAACAGATAGCTCCCAATGTTTCACTATAATGCAGCCAACCCAGAGACAGTAGCACTCTGGTCCCCATAACCTCTTGAATTTACCCAGAATTCAGTTTCCAGCCAAGAAGGTGCTTCATGTCCTGTGGGTGCACTCCTCCATCAACTTGAGATTTCATGCTGGAACAGAGAGTGTGACAGCAATAAAGTCAGATACGGGTGAGGACACAATCTGGTAAGGTTTGGATGGGGTTCTGCAACTCCATCTGCAAAAAACTATGAATACAGGCGACACAAAAGGAGCTTTCAATTCCATTTCCGTCACTTTAATTGCACAAGCAGTCCTCACCATGGCCCAGTATTCAGGTGGGAGTATTCCAAAGCAAAAGAACTATTTGGAGTGCAAATTTGGGCCATCCTGGAAAACTCCTGATTTGAGGGCTTTCTTACCTGGAGTCAAATGGGAATGGAATGGATTGATGCTGGGTGGGATGTGGCCTCCAGACTTGCCTCTTCTTTTCATGACTTTCATGTTTCTCATTGGCATATGGTTTCCTGGGTCTGGCTCAATGACTTCCATACTAAACATTTCCCAGTTAACTAAGAACAAGCCCCATAAGAATCCATTGCGTGAATGTTTCCTTCTATACACTATCATGTTTTAAATACTGGGGAGATTTGATACTTTTAAAAACATAAATGCCCATTACTGCCAACAGTAAGGAAACTCTTGTTCTCCCACTTCTATCGAGGGCTACAGGATTCCTGTAGGATGAGAAGCAGGCAGCCATTTCTGGCTTTTGCCTGGTAATCTAGCTTCTGTTTTATTTCTTCTGCATGGCTGTCCCATTATGGAGGGGCTAATTCATTGGGCTGTTGCTGGATGGAATGGCTTCTTGCCACAGATTATTTAGCTGCCAGAGATTTCTGAGAGCCAAAGGGACTTCAGGTGGGTTGGCTGAGATCCAGGTTATGTGTCGTTGTCTTGCTGTGGGTGTTGAGGTTGTTTGCACTTTGTCGGAGGCTTTTGGGTCCTCTGAAATGAGTCATTGAACACTGCTTGGACTCCAGCACAAGGCAGCTCATTCTTTCAGGTGAGAGTTGATTTTTCTTTGCTTTCATGCGGAATCCACAGTGCTCCTCAACAATAGTACTGGACACCCTTTTCAGATTTGCCATAACCAGAAACAGCCTCTGAGACTCTGTCTCAACGTCATCTGCACCCGTGAGAGGCCAGTCCCAGGTGTCAGAACACTGCTTTACTTTGGACTTGCCTTTGTCGTGGTTCCTGCCTTTCACAGAGAGCCCCTGCAAAGACCAGGATGAAGGGAGGCCGTGAGGTCAAGAAAACAGCCATCTTTCACTGACACCTGCATCTGAGTTCTCAACAACACGCCACACAATATTCCAATCCCCATGTGAGCTGATTCTTGCACACAACCTCTTTTGAAAATGGATTCAGAAGGGCAGTTTACAGAACTAACTCACAGTCTTGAAACACCTCCCCCTCCAGAGAAACCTGAAAATGGGGATGGCCAAAAGGGGCCCTGAGGTTGAGACTCTTAATGTCCCAGAGTGGATTTTCTCAAGCAGCCTTTTTCATGATACCAAACTGGCTCTGCCTGTACCCTTTTTCTGCTAAGGCAGGCTGACAGCTCTGACAGAAGAGTTCCCAAACTGACCTCACAAATATGCATACACTTGTCTCAGGGCACCAGGCCTGATTGTGAGCTTTGGCTAGTGTCACATTAAATGTCATCGTTGCCTAGTGACAAGTCCCTGCTGCTTGGCTGAGAAAGAGGCCTCTGTGAAGGTGCATCAGTGGTGTACTCTTGCCTGTCTTCACTGTGGGATCCATGGGATAGTCCCAAGATCCTAAGAGAGGACAGGCATGAGCCAGTCTGAAAAACTTCAAGCACAGCCCAAGGAATAAACTGTGAAATCCCCAAAGATCCAAAAGCATTTGCAGGATTTATCAGGTCCATGAAATTGTTGTAGAAATGAGTCTCCTAGAAACTGCCCCACTGTGATAACTAGTACAGCCCCCATTTTTTCCCCAGGATTGCAGTCTCCCAGGTAGGGCTTCATGAAGAACCATGCAGCCTCTAGAGCTGCCAGGCTGTGTGTTTCTGTGGGAGTGTTGCAAATGTTGGATGTGTGGGTGTGTGTGTCTGTGTGTGTTTGTGTGTGTGTGTGCCCATAAGTGGAGCCACCTTAAAGGAATGGGGCTAACACACTTCAGTGCTTCTTTTTTTTTTTTGTTTTTTAGATTCCTATCTTTTCTTGGCCTGTCTATGTGGCTCTGCTGGAGCTGCAGGGCTCCATGTTCTTTATTTTTCTGTTGATCATGAATCCTTAGTGAATTGGGAGGTGGCCTGAGACCCCCCAGCATCCAAATTACCTCCCCCTGAAAAAAAAGGCCCTCTCTAGAAAGATGAGGAGCACACCACACACACAAAAAACGAACATATCCCAGTGTTTTATCATCCTGTGGCCAACCAAGGGGGAGACACTAGCAGTCCTGTCTGCAGGGCACCTTGAATTTACCTTGAATTCGATCACGTGCTTCATGTCATGAAGGGGTCCACTTCCATTGTCTTGGGATTTTATCCTGTGACATAGAATGTGAGCAGAAATAAGGTCAGATGCGGTGAGTATAAAACCTGCTGAGGGGTGGATGGAGTCCCACAACTTAACCTGCAAAAATAAAAAGGAAGACAGATGACACAGAAGGTGCTTCCAACACCATCCCCGCATTCCCTTAATTGCACCAGCTGTCCACACCATGACCTGGTTTCTGGTGCAAGTACTCCAACCTACCAGGAACTTTTGGTATGTAAATTAGGGCCATTCTGACAAACTCCTTATATGAGGGCTTTCATATCCAGAGCCAAATGGGAGCGGAATGCATTGGTGCTCTGTGTGATGTGGCCCCTAGATTTGCCTCTTCTTTTCCTGACTTCCATGTTCATCATTGGCCTAGCATTTTCTATGACTGGCTCAAGAATTTCCACACTAAACATTACCCAGTTCAAAGAGAGCAACCCTCATGGGAATCCATTGCAGGAGTGTTTCCTTCTCACAGTCACATTTTAATGACTGGGAATCTTAGACACTTTTAAAACTATAAATTCTCATTACAGCCACCAACAAGAAAACTCTTGTTCTCCCTCTTCCATTGGAGGGCTGCATGATTTCTGAAGAATGAAAATCAGGCAGCCATGTCTGGCTTTTGTCTGGTAATCTAGCCTTTGTTTCGTCTCATCTGCACCACCTTCTCATTGTGGAAGTGTTTTTTTATTGGGCTGCTGCTGTATTGGGCTGCCTCTCATCACAAATTATTTAGCTGCCAGGGATTTCATAAAGCAAAAAGGTCTTTGGGCAGGCTGGCTGCGCTGCAGGTTTGGGTCGTTATCTCATTGTGGTGACTGAGGTTGTTTGCACTTTGCAGCAGGGTTTTGGGTCCTCTGACAGGAAATATTGAACATTTCTTGGGCTCCAGCACAAGGCAGCCCATTCTCTCAGGCCAGTATTGATTTTCATTTGCTTTCATTTTGAATCCATAGTTTCCCTCAATAGCACCACTGGACAGTTTTGTCAGGCTTGCCATCACCACAGGCAACCTCTGAGACACGGTCTCAATTTTATCTGCATCCATGAGAGGCCAGCCCAAAGTACTGCTCCACATTGGACTTGGCTTTGTTATGGTTCCTTCATTTCCCAAAGAACTATTAAAAGACCCAGGATGAAGGGAGACAGTGAGGTCAAGAATCCGGCCATCTTTCATTGATAGCTGCCTCTGGGGTTTAAGTATGATTCTATCACCCAAACAACCCTCAACAACACACTGGACTAGATTCCATTCCCCATGGTATTCGATTCTGGCACACAGCCTTCTATGGGAATGAAGCTGGAAGAGCAGTTTCCAGTGACAACCTCACAGTTTTGAAACACCTCCTCCTCCAGCAGGACCTGACCACAGAAGATGCCTGAAGGGGCCCTGAGGCTGAGAGTTTTGGAGTCCTGAAGTGGTTTTTGACAAGCAACATTTTTCCTGATGGTAGGCCAGCTCTGCCTCTACCATTTTTCTCTGCTTAGGAAGGCTGACAGTTCTGAGAGCTGGGTGCCTGAGCCTACTTCACAAATGCACATACACTAGTCTCCAGGCCAGATTGTGAGCTCTAGCTAGCATCACAAAGAATGTCACCATTGCCTAGAGACAAGTACCTTCCTCTTGGCAGAGAAGGAGACCTTTGTAGAGGTTCGTCAATGGTGGACTGTTGCCTGTCTTCTCTGTGGAATCCGCAGGATAGTCCCATGATCCTAGGAGATTTCAGATGAGAGCCAGAGTCAGGAAACATAAGCACAGCCCCAGGAATAAACCACAAAATGTTTAGGAATCCAAAGGGATCTGCAGGATACCTTAGGGCTGCCTAGACCTTGTAGGTGTGAGTGAGTCTTCTTGAAACTTGCCCCACTGTGATTTCTAGTTACAGCCCGCCTGTGTTCCCCAGGCTTGCTCTATGCCAGATGTGGCTTCCTGCAGAACCACACAGCCTCAGGAGCTGCCAGACTGTGTGTTTCTGTGGGAATGTTGGGAGTGTTGGAAGTCTACGTGTGTGTCACATCGTGATTTTGTGTGTGTGTGTGCTCTTGTAAGTGCAGGCTTCTTAAAGAAATGTGGCTACCACACTTCACCACTGTAGGGAGACCCCATGAAACTATTACTACAGAATAAAAGATGAAATGACCTGATTATTGTAAATACAAAGTTGCATGCAGGATTGTGTAAAGACAATGCCAGATTGGACTGCCAGAATGAGCCAACAGCACGTGATGTGCTTCCCCCTGCAGAGACCCTATGAATGGACATGCAGTCAGGTTTCACATCACCAAGACTCCTGTCCCAGAAAAGCAGATGTCCGTAGCTCTGGGAATGGAATGCAATCCTCATAGAGAGCCTATAAATGGACACATGGGGGGCGCCTGTCCATATGGATAAGATAAGGCTATAAATGCCCTCATCTTGCCACGGCTCTTCTAGGCCTCTTTAGGGTTAAGGCATACTCCTTTCTGAGAATTTCTGGTCTAACTGGTTGTCTAGCTTCACATCTTGTTTCCATGGATTGTTTGTAACCAGCTTTGTTGCAATTGTTACTGCTGATTAATATCTTGCTAATCATAGGTTATGGAAAGACTGTGTTTCTGTTCTAAGGCTCTGTTAGAAATTACTGATGCACACACTATATTGTAAATTCTTATCTCTCTGTATACTGTACTTCTACATAAAAAATGTACTGTACTTGTACATACAAATGCTATGTTAAAGAATTACTTCATCCCCATGTGACCATCTCACCTTATAATGAAATGACCCTAAATCCCTCACTAACCTACACCTGCCCTCACTACACTTAATAATAAATGCTGGTATATCCAGTGCATTGTTGGCACCACAGGACCAGAAAGCGGTGACCCCCCTGGACCCAGCTTTCACTATCTTGTGTGTGTCTATTATTTCTCAACCTGCCAATCCACCTAGGAACAAAGAGAGAACTCCATTGCATTGTGGGCTTCTGGCCAGATCCTGCAATACAACGCTTCTTTTTTTGTGCCTCCAAACCTTTTGTTTGACCTTTATGTGTGCTCTGCTTGGCCTGTGGGGCTCCATGTTTTTGAATTTTCTGGTTATCATGAATCCACAGTGAATTGGGAGGCAGGCTGAGACCTGCTGGTGTCCAAATCCCTCCCCCTGCAAAAATAAATAAATAAATTAATTAATAAACATAAAATAAAAATAAAAATCCACTCTGCTAGAAAGAAGAAGAGCACACCACACCCAAAAAATGGACACCTGCTACCGTTTCATTGTCCTGCATCCAACCCAGGGAGAGGAACTAGCAGTCCTGTCTGCAGGTCCCCTTGAGTTGACCATGAATTCAGTTTCCAGCTATGCAGGTGTTTTGTGTTATGAAGGGGCACTTCTCCATCATCTTGGGTTTTCATCCTGGGACACTGAGTATAAGAAGGAATAAGGTGAGATTGGAGTGAGGATATGATTTGATGAGAAGTGGAAGGGATCCCACAACTTCACCTGCAATAAAAATGAAGACAAATGACACAGGAGGTGCTTCTAACCCCATGCTCACGTTTCATTAATTGCACAAGCAATCCACACCATGGCCCAATGTTCAGGTGGAAGTTCTGCAATGTGCAAGGAGTATTGGGAGTGCCAATTGGGACCATGCTGGCAAGCTCTTGATTTGAGGCCTTTCCTACACGGAGCCAAAAGGGAGTGGAATGTTCTGATGTTGGGTGGGATGTGGTCTCCACATTTGCCTCTTCTTTTCCTGACTTCCATGTCCCTTGTCAGCCTAGGGTTTCCTGGGTCTGGCTTAACAAATTCCACAGTAAACATTTCCCAGCTCATGAAGAACGACCCTCATTAGAATCCATTGCGTGAGTGGTTCTTTCTAAACACTGTCACATTTTAATGATTGCACAGCTTTAATATTTTTAAAACTGTAAATTTGTGTTATAGCCACCAAAACAGAAACTCCTGTTCTCCCACTTGTATCAGAAAGCTGCATGATTTCTGAAGGATGAGAAGCAGGCAAACATGTCTAGATTTTGCCTGATAATCTAGCTTGTTTTATTTCATCTGCATGGCCTTCTCATTGTGGAGGCGCTCTTTCAGTGGGCTCTTCCTGGATGGGAATCCCTCTCACTACAGTTGAATTAGCTGCCAGGGATTTTAGAGAGTGAAAGGGAATTCATGTAGGCTGGATGGGTTCCGCATTGTGGTTGTTGTCTCGTTGGCAAGGCTGAGGTTGTTTGCAATTTGCAGGAGGATTTTGGGTCCTCAGACAGGAATCACTGAACATTGCTTGTACTCCAGCACAAGGCAGCTTGTTCTCTCATTTGAGCCTAGATTTTTCTTTGCTTTCATGGGGAATCCACAGTGCCCCTCAACAGCACTACTGCACATACTATTCGGACTTGTCATCGCTACAGATGGCATTTGAGACACTGTCTCAACGTCATCTGCAGCAGTGAGAGGCCTGTCTGATGTGTAAGAACAGGTCAAGTGCCCGGCCATCTTTTGCTGACAACTGCCTCTGGGGTCTCAAGTATGATTCTTTTACCCAAAAATCCCTCAACGAAGTCAGATTCTATCACCCAAAAACCCCTCAACAGCACACCAGACTATAAAACGATTTCCATGGGACCCAATTCTGGCACACATCCTCTTTTGGGAATGGAGTAAGAAGAGTAGTTTCCAGAAACCACCTCACAGTCTCAAAACGCCTTCTCCTCCAGTGAGACCCAACCACAGAGACAGACAAAGGGGCCCTGAGATGGAGGCTTTTTGGGTCCAGCAATGGTTTTTCACAGGCTGCTTTTTTCCTGATACCAGGCAGATTCTGCCTGTACCATTTTCCTTGGTTAGGCAGGCTGACTGATCTGACAGCCAGGTGCCTGAGCTTACCTCCAGAATGTGCATGCACTAGTTTCAGGGCACCAGGCCTGATTGTGAGCTTTTTTGAGCATCACAATGAATGTTATCATTGCCTAGCGACAAGGCCCTGTGACTTGGCAGAAAAAGGAGACATTCATGGGGATGCATGCAAAGTGGACTCCTGCTATTTTTCTCTGTGGGATCTACGACATAGTCCCATGATCCTAGGATAGGGCAGAAGTGGATTCCTCAGGCCTACCTAAGAATTGTAGGGGTGTCTTTTTGAAACTTGCCCCACTATGATTTCTAGTTAGAGCCCAGCTGTGTTGTCCATGGTTGCTCTATACCATGTGGGGCTTCCTACAGAACCATGCAGCTTCAGGAGTTGCCAGGATGTATGTTTCTGTGGCAGTGTTGCAAATGTTGGAAGTCTGCATGTGTGTAGCATTGTGTGTTTGTGTGTGTGTGTGTGTGTGTCTGTAAGTGGAGTCTTCTTAAAGGAATGTGGCTATCACACTGTAGCATTTTTTTTTTTGAGTCTCCAGAACTTTCGGTGGTCTGTCTCTGCTGCTTTACTTGGGATGCATGTTCTTTATTTTTCTGTGGGTCATTAATCTGCAGTTAATTGAGATGCTGGCTGTGACACACCAGGGTCCAAGTCCCCTCCCGCTGAAAAAATGTCACTTTTCAAGACAGAATAGGAGGAAACCACACCTAAGAACAGACATCACAAAGTTTTTCATTGTTATGCGGCCATCTCAGGAAGAGACAGTTGCAGTGCTGTTCACAAGGCCCTTTGGATTTACCTCGAATTTGTTTCCCAGGAGAGCAGGTTCTACATGTCATGAAGGGCAACTCCTCCATCATTTCAGGATTTTTTTTCTGGAACAGAGAGTGTGAACAGCAATAAGGACAGATACAGGTGAGGATACAATCTGCTGAGGGGTGGATGGGGTCCCACACCTTAGCCTACAAAAAAGTTGAAGACAGATGACACAGAAGGTGTTTCCAACTACATCCCCGAATTCCCTTAATTGCACAAGCAGTCCACACCATCCCTGTTGTTCAGGTGGGAGTACTCCAATATTCAGGGAATATTTGGAGTGCAAACTGGGGCCATTCTGACAAAGTCCTGATTTGAGGGCTTTTATATCTGAAGCGTAATGGGAGGGCGACGGATAGATGCTGGGTGGGATGTGGCCTCCACACTTGCCTCTTGTTTTCTTGACTTCCGTGTTCCTGGTCAGCATAGGGTTTCCTTGGTCTGGGTCAATGTCTTCCAAACTAAACACTTCCAAGTTCATGGAGGACGACACTCACGGGAATCCACTGAGTGAATATTTCCTTCTAAACAATATCAAGTTTTAATGACTGGAGAGTTGTAATAATTTTAGAACTGTAAACTCCCATTGCAGAAGCCAGCAAGGAAACTGTTGTTCTCCCACTTCTATCAGAGGGCTGCACAGTTCCTCTAGGATGAGAAGCAGGCAGCCATTTCTGTCTTTTGCCTGGTAAACTAGACTCTGTTTCATTTCATCTATATGTCCTTTCTCATTGTGGAGGGGATCTTTCATTGGCCTGTTTCTGGATGGGAGTGCCTCTCAGCACAAATCTTTTGGCTGCCAGGGATTTCTGAAAGCAAAAGGGAATTTGGGTAGGCTGGCTGTGCTCCAGCTTGTGGGTCATGGTCTCGTTGTTGCAGCTGATGCTGTTTGCAATTTGCAGGAGGCTTTACCGTCCTGTGACAGAAATCTTTGAATGTTGCTTGGACTCCAGCACAAGTCATGTGGTTCTCTCAAGAGGGCCTTGATTTTTCTTTACTTTCATCATGGGTCCACATTGCCCCTCAACAGCACTACTGGAAACCCCTTTTAGGCTTGCAATCATCACAGACGGGCTCTGAAACACTGTCTCAACCTCATCTGAATCCTTTAGGGGTCAGCTGGAGGTGAGAGAACACTGCTCTGCCTTGGACTTGCTTTTTTCATGGTCCCTTCCTTTCCCAGAGATCCCCTGCAAGGCCCAGCATGAAGGGAGGCAGTGAGGTCAAGAGCCCAGCCATCTTTTGCTGACACCCACCTCTGGTCTCTCATGTATGATTCCACCACCCAAAGAGCCCTCAACAACTCACCAGACTATAGTCTAATCTCCATCTGACCCGACTGTTGCACACAGCCTCTTTTGGGAATGGAGTCAGAGTAGCATTTCCAAAGACCACCTTATAGTCTCAAATCACCTCCTTCTCCAGCAGGACCTGAGCAGAGGGATGACCCAAAGGGACACTATGGTCGAGACTTTTATGGTCCCACTCTGGGTTATTGCAGGCAGCATTTTTTTCAATACCATGCCGTCTCTTCATGTATTTTTTTTTTCTTTTTTTTCGCTTAGGCTGGCTGACAGTTCTGACAGCCCGTCGCCCAAGTCTGCATACTCTTAGGCACAAGGACTGAGCTATGGGCTCGGGTTAGCATCACAACGAAGGCCACCATTGCCTAGGCATAAGTCTCTGCGGCTTTGCGGAGAAGAACTCTGTGGAGGTTAGTCAGTGGTGGACTCTCGCCTCATTTCTCTGTGGGATTCCCGTGATAGTCCCATGAGGCTAGGAGAGGGAGGAGGTGAGCCAGCCTGAAGAAAAGTCAAGCACAGCCCCAGGAATAAGCCGCAAAACTCCTACAGATCCAAAAGGACCTGGAGGATGCCTAAGGCCTCCCGGACTTTGTCAGGGTGAGTCTTTTTAAAACTGTGATTTGCAGGTACAGGCTGCCTGTATTCCCCGGGGTTGCTCTTTCAAAGACAGGGCCAGTTTGGGATTGGGAGGGATTGATGCTGGTGGCATGTGGCCTCCACACTTTCATCTTCAGGGCCAAGGCCCTGGTAATCTGTCACTGATATGCACTTGTGGGGTCTCAGGTATGATTCCATCACGCAAAGACGTCTCAACAATCGCCAGACTATTTTCCAATACCCATGGGACCTGATTCCTGCACACAGCCTCTTTTAGGAGTGGAGTCAGAAGAGCACTTTCCAGCAACCACCTCACAGTATCAAAACGCCTCCTCCTCCAGAGGAAATTACCCGGAGATGGCCCAAAGGTGCCCTAAGCTCAAAATTTTAGAGTTCTACAGTGAATTATCGCAGGCAACATTATTTCTGACACCTGGTCGGCTGTGTCTGTACCATTTTCCTGTTTAGGCAGGCTGACATCTCCTAGAGCTGGGCACAACCACCTGCCTCACAAATGGACATGTGCTAGTATCAGGGCAACAGGCATGAGATGTGAACTATGGCTAGCATTACAATCAATGCTGACATTGACTAGCAACAAGTCTCTATGGCTTGGCGGAAAAGGAGAATTTCATGGAGGGGCATTGGCATTGGACTCTCACCTATCATCTCTGTAGGATTCATGGGATAGTCCCGTGATCCCAGGAGAGGGCAGATGTGAGCCAGGCTGAAATAACATCAAGCAGAGCCAGGAATAAGCCCTGAAATCCATAAGGATCTAAAAAGATCTGCAGAATGCCTTAGGTCTGCTTAGATATTGTAGGGGTGAGTCTTTTGGAAAATTGTCCTACTGTGATTCCTAGGTACAGCCTGTTTTCCATATAGTTGCTCTCTCCCAGGTGGGGCTCCCTGCAGACCCACACAACCCAGGAACTGCTGGGCTGGGTGTTGCTGTGGGAGCACTGAGAATGCTGGATATCTGTGTGTGTGCGTGTGTGTGTGTGGCTTCCTGTGTCTGTGTATTTGTGTGTGTGTGTACCTGTAAGTGGAGTCTGCTTAAAAAAATATGGCTAACGCACTGTGGTGCTTCATTTTTCAAGTCTCCCAACATTTTGGTGGCCTGTCGGTGTCGTTATGCTTTGGTTGCAGGGCTCTATGTTCTCTGTTTTTCTGTGGATAATGAATCCATTGTGATTTGGGAGGCTGGCAGAGGTCCAAATCACCTTTCCCTGGAAAAACAGTCTCTCTTTTAGAAAGAAGAGGAGCACACCACATTCAACAACAGACATCTCCCAGTGTTTTTTAATCCTGCGGCCAACCCAGTGATAGACACTAGTATTGTCCACAGGGCTCCTTGAATTTACCTCGAATTCGGTTCTGAGCGGGTGCTTCACCTTGTACGGAGGCACTAATCCATCATCTTGGGGTTTCACTTTGGGTCAGAGAGTGTGAGCAGCAATGAGGTCAGATAGGGTTGAGGATACAATCTGTTGAGGGGTTGATGGGGTCCCACGCCTTCACCTGAAAAAAAGGTGAACACAAATGACAAAGAAGTTATTTCCAACTGCAGCCTTCTATTCCCTTAATATCACAAGCAGTCCAGACCATGGCCCCATTTTCAGATGGGAGTACTCTAACACACAGGGAATATTTGGAGTGCAAACTGGGGCCATCCTGGCAAACTCTCAATTTGAGGGCTTTCAAACACGGAGCCAAATGCGAGTGGGATGGATTGATACTGGGTGGGATGTAGCTTCCACACTTGCCTCTTCTTTTCCTGACTTCTATGTTCCTCGTCAGCCTAGAGTTTCCTTGGTCTGGCTCAATGTCTTCCAAACTCAACCATTCCCAGTTCATGGAAAATGACCCTCATGGGATTCCCTTGTGTGAGTATTTCCTCCTAAACACTGTTGTATTTTAATGACTGGGCAGCAGCGATACTTTTAAAACTGTAAATCCCTGCAACAGCCACAAACAAGGAAACTC
Organism: Homo sapiens; assembly: GCF_000001405.40. Lineage (NCBI taxonomy): Eukaryota > Metazoa > Chordata > Mammalia > Primates > Hominidae > Homo > Homo sapiens. The sequence continues at coordinate 22,482,643 of NC_000024.10, forward strand.
TTGTTCTCCCACTTCTACAGAAAAGCTGCATGATTGCTGGAGGATGGTTTATTGTCCTACAGCCAACCCAAAAACGGCACTACCAGTCATGTTGCAGGGCCCCTTGAATTAACCTCGAATTAGGTTTCCAGATGAGCAGGTGCTTCATGTTGTGAAGGGGCCCTCCTCCATCATCCTAGAATTTCATTCTGGGACACAGAGTGTGAGCAGCAATAAGGTCAGATATGGGTGAGGATACAATCTGGTGAAGGGTAGATGGGGTCCCATGCCTTCCCCTGTAGAAATGGTAAAAACAGATGACACAGAAGGTGCTTCCAACTGCATTTAAGCATTCCCTTAATTGCAAAAGGATTCCACACCATGGCCCAGTTTTCTGGTGTGAGTACTCCAAGTTTCAGGAAACAGTGTTAGTGTGAACTTTGGCAATGCTGGCAAGTTCCCTATTGGAGGGCTTCAGTACATGGAGCCAAGGGGGAGTGGAATGGAATGATGCTGTGTGGGATATGGCCTCCACACTTGCCTTTTCTTTTCCTCACTTTCATATTCTTCATTGGCCTAGAATTTCCTGGGTCTTGCTAAATGTCTTTCACACTAAATGTTTCCCAGTTCACAGAGGATGACCCTCATGGGAATGTATTTCATCAGTGTTTCCTTCTAAACACTGTCACATTTTAATGACAGAGCTGCTGTGATACTTTTAAAACCATAAATTCCCTTTACAGGCACCAACAGATAAATTCCTTTTTTTTTTTCTTAGACAGAGTTGCACTCCGTTGCCTGGGCTGGAGTGCAGCGTCATGATCTCCAGTCACTGCAAGCTCTGCCTCCCGGGTTCATGCCATTCTCCTGCCTCAGCCTCCTGAGTAGCTGGGACTACAGGTACCTGCCACAATGCCTGGCTAATTTTTTGTTCTTTTAGTAGAGATGGGGTTTCACCATTTTAGCCAGGATGGTCTCAATCTCCTGACCTCATGATCCTCCCACCTTAGCCTCCCAAAGTTCTAGGATTACTGGAATAAACCACCGTGTCCGGCCCTTGGGAAACACTTGTTCCCCACTTCTGTCAAAAGGCTGCATAATTCCAGTATGATGAGAAGCAGACAGCCATGTCTGGCTTTTTTCTGGTAATTTACACTCTGTTTTATTTCATCTGCAAATCCTTTCTCATTGTGGAGGGTGTATAGCATTGATTGTTGCTGGATAGGGCTGCCTCTATATACAGATTTCCTGCCACTGATTTCAGAAAGGTCTGTGGTCTGTTTGTGAGAGCTGAGGTTGTTTGCAGTTCTTGGGAGGCTTTTGGTTCCTCTGAGAGGAATCTTTGAAAGTTTCTTATATTCCAGCTCAGGTCAGCTCCTTCTCTCTGGCAAGCCTTGATTTTTCTTTCTTTCCAGGCTGGGTCCACTTTGCCCCTCAACAGCATTACTGGACACCTTTGTCAGACTAGCAATTTCCACAGACACCCTCTGTGAACATTTTTCAACATCATCTGCAGCAGTGAGAGGCCAGTTTGATGTGTAAGAATACTGCTTGACTTTGGACTTGCCTTTGTCATGGTTCCTGCCTTTCTCATAGATCTCCTGCCAGGACAAGGATGATAGGAGGCAAGGAAGTCAAGGGCCCAGCCCCATTCACTGAAAGCTGCCTCTGGGATCTCAGGTATGATTCCATCACATAAAATCCCCTCAACAACTCACCAGACTATATTCCAATCTCCGTGGGACCTGATTCTTGCACACAGCCTCTTTCACGAATGGAGCCAGAAGAGCAGTTTTCAGTGACCATCTCAGTTTGGAAAAGCCTCCTCCTTCAGTGGGTCTCAGCCACAGAGTCATCCCGAAGGGGCTCTAAGGTCAATAATTTTAGGGTCTGACAGTTGATTATCACAGACAGACTTTTTCATGATAGCAGATCATCTCTGTCTATATCATTTTCCTCTGCTTAGGCAGGCTGACAGCTCTGACAGCCAGGCACTTGAATCTACCTGGCAAATGTTCATGCTCTAGTCTCAGTGCAAAAGGCCTGTTTGGGAGTTCTGGCTAGTGTCACAATAAATGCCGCCATTGCCTAGTGACAAGTCAATGTGGATTGAGGGAGGAAACCTCTATGTAGGGGCATAGGTAGTGGACTCTCACCTGTCTTCTATGTAAATTGCATGGGATAGTCCTATGAGGCTAGGAGAGGGCAGACAGAAGCCAGCCTCAAGAAACTTCAAGGGCAGCCTCAGGAATAAACTGCAGCATTCCTAATGATTTAAAAGACATGCAGTATTTCTAATGCCTGCCTAGATGTTGCAGGGGTGAGTCATTTTGAAACTTGCCCCACTGTGATTTGTAGGTAAAGCATACCTCTGTTCCTGGGGTGGCTGTCTCCCAGGGGGGGCTTCCTGAAGAATCACAAAGCCTGAGAATCTGCCAAGCTTTGTTTTTCTGTTGAGAGTGTTGTGAGTGTTGGATGTTTGCATGTATGTGTGGCTGTGTGTGTGTGTGTGTGTGTGTGTAAGGGGAGTCTGCTTAAAACAATTTTGCTAAAGAACTGCAGCCCCCCCTTTTTCAAGTCTTCCAACTTTTTAGTGGATTGTCTCAGGCTGCGGGGCTTTGTATTCTTTCTTTTTCTATGGATTATGACTCTGTAATGAAGTCTAAGGCAGGATGAGACCTGCCAGGTAACAAACCACCTCCTTCTCCCAACAAAAACCACTTTCCTAGAAAGAAGACCACACCACTCCCAAGAACAGACATCTCCCAGTGTTTTATCGTCCTTCAGCCAACCCAGGGAGAGACAGCAGCAGTCCTGTCTGCAGGGCTTTTTAAATGTAGCTCAAATTCAGTTCCCAGCCAAGCAACTGCTTCACGTCGTGAAGGAGAATTCCTCTATCATCGTGAGATTTCATTCTAGAACAGAGAATGTCAGCAGCAATAAGGTCACAGAGAGATGAAGATATAATGTGGTGAGGGGTGGATGAGAACCTGCACCTTCACATGTAAAAAAGATGAAGACAGAAGACAGAAGGTGCTTCACACTGCATCCCTGCATTCCCTTAATTGCACAGCAGTCCACGCCATGGCCTGATGTTGAGGTGGTAGTACTACAAGGTGCAGGGAACATTTGGAGTGCAAACTGAAGCCATCTTGCAAACTGTCAATTTGAGGGCTTTCATACTAGAGCCAAATGGGAGTACGATGAATTTATCCTAGGTAGGATGTGGCATCCACACTTGCCTCTTTTTTTCCTGACTTCCATGATCCTCACCAGCCTAGGGTTTTCTGGGTTTGGCTCAATATCTTCCACACTAAACATTTCCCCATACAGTGATTATGACCCTTATGAGAATCCATTGTGAGTATTTCATATTAACAATGTCACATTTTAACATTTTAATTACTTGGCAGCTGTGATACTTTTAAAACCAAGATTTCCTGTTACAGCTGCCATCAAGGAAACTCTTGTTCTACCACTTCTATCGGGGGATGCAAGATTTCTGTAGGGTGAGAAGCAGGAAGCCATATCTCACTTTTGCCTGGCATTCTAGGCACTATTCCATTTCATCTGCACATCCTTTCTCATTGTGGAAGGGACCTTTCACTGGACTGTTGCTGGATGGTACTACCTCTCATCACAGATCTTTTGGATGCCAGGGATTTCAGGGAGCAAAAGAAACTTTGGTTATGCTGGCTGAAATCCAGGTTGTAAGCCATGGTGTCATCATAGGGGCTGAGGTTGTTTGCACTTTACAGGAGGCTTTTGGGTCCTCTGACAGGAATCTTTGAACATTGCTTGGACTGCAGCCCAAGTCAGATCATTCTTTCAGGCGAGCATTGATTTTTCTTTGCTTTCATAAGGTATGCATAGTGCCCATCAACAGCAGTACTTGACACACTTTTCAGGTTTGCATGGCCACAGACAGCCTTGGAGACACTGTCTCAATCTCATCTGCACCTGTGAGAAGACAGTCCGCGGTGTGAGAACACTGCTCCATCTTGGACTTGCCTTTTTGAGGTTGCTGCCTTTCCCAGACAGCCCCTGCGAGGTCCAAAATAAAGGGAGGCAGTGAGGACAAGAGACCGGCCATCTTTCTCTGACACCCACCTTTGGGGTCTCAGATATGATTCTATCACCCAAAAAATCCTCAACAACTCACCAGACAATACTCCAATCCTCATGGGACCTGATACTTGCACATAGACTTTTTCATAAATGGAGTCTGAAGAGCAGTTTCCAGAAACCAAGTCACCATCTTGAAACACCTTCTCCTCCAGCGGGAACCTGTCACGGAGATGAATGGAAGGGGCCCTGAGTTTGTGAATTTTAAAGTCCCGCAGTTGGTTTTCACAGGCAGACTTTGTCCTGATACCAGGCCATCTCTGCTTGTACTATTTTCCTCTGCTGAGGCAGGCTGACAGCTGTGACAGTCAGGTGCCTGAGCCACCCTCACGAATGCACATGTGCTAGTCTCAAGGTAGCAGGCCTGATTGTGAGCTTTGGCAAAAGTTACAAAAAGGGTCACCATTGCCTAGTGACAAGTCCCTGCCTCTTGCCAGAGAAGGAGACCACTGGGGAGGTGTGTCAGTGGTATACTGTCACCTATCTTCTCTGTGAAATCCACAAATAGTCTCATGATCCTGGGAGAAGGCCTGGGGCTTGGTAGAGAAGGAGAATTCTGTGGAGGTCCATCGGCGGTGGAACCACACCTGTCTTCTCTGTGGGATTCACAGGATAGTCCTAGAAAAGGGCAGACGTGAGACAGACTGAGGAAACATCAAGAAGAGGAATAAATGGTGAACTGCCTAAGGATCCAAAAGGATTTGCAGGATTCCTCAGGCCTGCCTAGAAGTTGCAGGTGTGAGTCTTTTAGAAACCTGTCCCAACGTGATTTATAGGTAAAACCTGCCTGTGTTCCTCAGGGTTGCTCTCTCCCAGGTGGGGATTTCTGATGAACCATGCAGCCTCAGTAGCTGCCAGGCAGTGTGTTTCCATGGGAATGTTGCAAGTGTTGGATGTCTTTGTGGGTACGTGTGGCATTGTGTGTTTGTGTGTGTGTTTGTGTGCCTGTAGGTGGAGTCTGCTTAAAGGAATGTGGCTAATGCACTGCAGCACTTCTTTTATTTTTGAGTCTCTTATACTTATGGTGGCCTGTCTGTGTGGCTCAGCTTGGGTTGTGGGGCTTCCTGTTATTTGTCTGTGGATCATGAATCTGCAGTGAATTGGGAGGTGGGCTGAGACACGCAGGCATCGAAATCACCTCCCCTGCAACAAAAGCCACTCGTCTATAAAGATGAGCACACCATACCAAAAAAAAAAAAAAAAAAGACATCTCCCAGTGTTTTATTGTCCAGAGTCCAAACCAGAAAGTGACCCTCACAGATCTGTGTGCATGGCCCCTTGAATTTAGCTTGGATTCAGTCTCCAGCTGAGCAGATGCTTCATGTCATGAGGAAGATCTCCTTCATCATCTTGGAATTCATTCTGGGACATAGATTGTGAGCAGAAATGAGGTCAGATGGGGTGAAGATACAATCTGGTGAGGGGTGGAAGTAATCCCCCAACTTCACCTGCAAAACATAAAGGCAGAAAACACAGAAGGTTCTTCCAACTTTATCTCTGCATCCCCTTAATTGCACAAGCAGTACACACCATGGCCCAGTGTTCTGGTGGGAGTACTTTAACCTGCAAGGAATATTTGGAGGGCAAATTGGGGCCATTTTTGCAAACTCTCCATTTAAGAGCCTTCATACATGAGCCAAATGGGAGCAGAATTGATTGATTCTGTATTGGATGTGGCCTCCGTACTTGCCTCTTTTCCCCTGACTTCTACGTTTCTCGTCAACCTAGGGTTTCCTGTTTCTGGCTCAATGACTTCCACACTACATGTTTCCTAGTTCACAGAGAACGACCCTCCTGGGAATCCATTGCATGAGTGTTTCCTTCTAAACATTGTCACCTTTTAAAGACTGGGAAGCTTTGATAGTTTTAAAACGGTAAATTCTTGTTACACCCACCAACAAGGAATCTGTTTTTTTTCCCACTTCTATCACAGGGTTGCATGTTTCCTCTAGGATGAGAAGGAGGCAGCCATGTCTGGCTTTAGCCTGATAATCTAGCCCCTGTTTCATCTCATCTGCATGGACTTCTCATTGTGGAGGGGCCCTTTCACTGGGCTGTTGCTGGCTAGGACTGCCACTTGCCACAGATTATTTTGCTGCCAGGGATTTCAGAGAGTAAAAGGGACTTTGATAAACTGGCTGCACTCCATATTGTGGATCATTGTCTCATCGTAGAGGCTGCAGTTGTTTGCACTTTGCAGGAGGCTTTTGGTTTCTGACAGGAATCTTGAACATTGCCTGGACTCCAGCAAAGGCAGCTCATTCTTAGGTGAACCTTGGTTTTTCTTTGTTTTCTTGGGGAATCCATAGTGCCCCCCAACAGCAGCACTGCACACCATTTTCAAGCTTGCCATCACCACAGATGGCCTCTGAGACACTGTCTCAACTACATCTGCACAAGTGAGAGGCCATTCCGAGATGTGAGAACACTGCTCCACATTAGACTTGCCTTTGTTATGGTTCTTGCCTTTCATAGATAGCCCCTGCAAGGCTCAGAATGAAGGGAGGCATTCAGTTCAAAAGCCCAATCATCTTTTGCTGACATCCACTTCTGGTGTCTCAGGTATGTTTCTGTCGCCCAAAGAACACTCAACGACACACCAGATTATATTCCAACCCCCTTGGGACCCAATTATTGCACACACCCTCTTTCGCTAATGGAGTTAGAAGAGCAGTTTCCAGCGACCACATCGCAGTCGCGAAACACCTCTTCCTCCAGCGGGACCTGAACAAGGAAATGGCCAGCAGGGTCCCTGAGGTCGAGATTTTCAGGGTCCTGCAGTGGGTTTTTATAGTCAGCCTTTTTCCCGATACCAGGCGGGCTCTGCCTGTTCCATTATCCCCTGCTGAGGCAGACTGACAGCTCTGACAACCTGACTTGAGTCTGCCTCACAAATGCGCATGCGCTAGTCTCAGGGTACCTGATCCGATTGTGAGCTCTGTCTAGCATCGCTATAAATGTCACCGTTGCCTAGCAAGAAGTATCTGCATCTTGGAAAAGGGGACCTCCGTGGAGGAGCGTCAGCTGTGTCTTCTCGTCTGTCTTCTCTGTGAAATCCACGGATAGTCTCATGATCCTAGGAGAGGGTAGACGTTAGCCAGCGTGAAGAAACAAGCATAGCTACAGGAATAAACCACAAAATCCTTAAGCATCCAGAAACATCTGCAAGATTTGGTAGGCCTGCCTAGACATTGTACGGGTGAATCTTTTTGAAACTTGCCCTACTGTGGTTTCTAGGTACAGCCTGCCTATGTTCCTTGGGGTTGCTCTCTCCTAGGTGGGAATTCCTGCAGAGCCATGCATCCTCATGCACTGCTGAGCTATGTTTTTCTGTGGGAGTGTTGCAACTGTTGGATGTGTGTGTGTGTGTGTGTTTTTCATTGTGTGTTTAAGAATGTGTTTGTTGCTGTAAGTGGAGTCTGCTTAAATAATGTGTCTAATGCACTTCAGTGCCTCTTTTTTTTTTTTTTTTTGAATGTTTCAATCTTTGTTGGCCTCTCTGTTGCTTTGTTTGTGCTGTGGGGCTCCGTGTTCTTTATTTTTCTGTGGATCATGAATCTGCAGTGAATCGGGAGGTGGGCCAAGACATGCAGGTGTCAAAATCAACTCCTCCTGAAAGAAATAAAACAAAAAAGAGCCACTCTTCTAGAAAGAAGAGGAGCACACCACACCAGAAACAGACATCTTGCAGTGTTTCACTGTCTCAACCTTATCTGCACAGTCCGAGGTCAGTCTGAGGTAAGAGAATAACCACAACTGCATAGTGAAAGACCAGTCTGAGGTATGAGAACACTCCTCCACCTCGGACTTGCCATTGTCGTGGTTTCTACCTTTCCCAGAGAGCTTCTGAGAGACCCAGGATGAAGGGATGCAGTGAGGTCAAGAGCCCAACCTTCTTTCACTGACACCCACCTCTAAGGACTCAGGTATGATTGTATCACCCAAAGAACCCTCAACAACACAACAGATCATATTCCAATTCTTATGGGACCAGATTATTGCACACAGCCTGTTTCAAAAATGGAGACAGAAGGGCAGTTTCCAGTGAACAGGTTACTATCTAAAAATACCTCCTCCCTGAAGGGGCCCTGAGGTTGAGACATTTAGGGTCACACAGAGGGTTTTCAAACACAGCCTTTTTTATCAACAACAGGCCTACTCTGCCTGTATTATTTTTCTCTGCTTAGGATGTCAGCTTGCTTAAACACAGGGAAAAACATCTGCAGGACTTCTCAGGCCAGCCTAGACATTGTAGGCATGAGTCTTTTGAAACTTGTCCAACTGTGATTTCTAGGTATAGCCAACTGGGGTTTCTTGTGGTTGCTGTCTCCCAGGTTGGGATTCTTGCAGAATCACATAGCCTCAGGAGTGCTGAGCTCTGTTTTCCTGTGGGAGTGTTGTGAGTGTTGGATGTCTGCGTGTGTGTGTGGCATTGGGTGTGCACATGTGCGCCTGACAGTAGAGTGTGCTGGAAATTACATGGCTAACCCGCTTCAGCCCTTTTCCCTTCTTTTTTTTTTTAGTCTCCCAACATTTCTGGCGGAGCATTTCAAGTGTTGGATGTCTGCATGTTTGTGTGGTATTGTGTGTGTGTGTGTGTGTGTGACTGTAAGTGAAGTCTGCTTAAAAGCATATTACTTATGCACTCCAGTGCTTTCTGTTTTTGAGTCTTCCAACATTTTGGTGGCCTGTGTTTCTCTGCTTGGGCTGTGGGACTCTCTCCAGGTAGTGCTTCGTGCAGCCTCGGTAGCTGCTGGGCTGTGTATTTCTGTGGGAGTATAGTGAGTGTAGGATGTCTGAATGTGTGTGTGGCATTGTGTGTTCAAAAAAAGCCACTCTTCTAAAAAGAAGAGGAGCACACCATGCCCAAAAGAGACATCTCCTAGTGTTTCATTGTCGTGAGGCCAACCCAGGCATAGACACTAGCAGTCCTGTCCACTGGGCACTTTGAATTAACCTTGAATTTGGTTCCCAGCTGAGCAGGTGATTCACATCTTGTGGTGGGGGGGCACTCTCCATCATCTTTTGATTTCATCCTGGGACATAGAGTATGAGCAGGAATAAAGTCAGATAGCTTTAAGGACAAAATCTCGTGAGGGGTGTATAAGGTTTTGCAACATCACTTGCAAAAAAAAAATGAAGATAGATGACACAGAATCTGCTTCCAAGTAAATAGCCTGGTTTTCAGGTGGACATGAAGAGAATATTTTGAGAACAAACTGGGGCCATCTGGAGAACTCTCAATGTGAGGGCTTTCATAACCGGAGCCAAATGAGAGTGTGATGGATTGATGCTGGGTGAGTGTAGCCATCACACTTGCGTCTTCTTTTCCTGACTTCCATGTTCCTCTTTGGCCTAGGGTTTTCTGGGTCTGGTTCCATATCTTCCACACTAGAAGTTTCCCAGTTCATGGAGGACCACTCTTATGTGAATCCATTGCATCATTGTTTCTTTCTTAATTCTGTCACGTTTTAATGACTAGGCAATATGAGACTTTTAAAGGCATAAATTCCCATTACAACCATCCATATGGAAACTTTTATTATCCCTCTTTTATTGAAGGGTTGCATGATTCCTGTAGGATGAGAGGCAGGCAGCCATGTTCTGCATTTTCCTGCTAATCTTGGCTCTGTTTCACTTCATCTGCATGTCCTTCCTTGCTGTGGAGTGGGTCTATCATTGGCTCTTGCTAGATGGGACTGCCTCTTGCTATAGATCTTTTCAGTGCCAGGAATTTCAGGAAGCCAAAAGGACTTTGCATACGGTGGCTATGCACCAGGTTGTGGATCATGGTGTCCTTGTAGGGGCTGATGTTGTTTGCACTTTGCAGGAGGCTTTTGGGTCCTCTGACAGGAATCTTTGAACTTTGCTTGTACTCCTGCACAAGTCAGCTTGTTCGTTCAGGCGAGCTTTCATTTTTCTTTGCTTTCATGGGGAGTCCACATTGCCCCTCATCAGCACTACTGGACACCCTTTTCTGTCTTGCAATTGCCATGGACCACCTCAGAGATACTCTCTCAACCACATCTGCATCCGAGAAAGGCCAGTTTGAGGTGTGAAAACAATGCTTTATCTGGGACTTGCTTTTGTTGTGGTTCCTGTATTTCCCAGAGAGGAACAAATACTTGCTTTTGTTGTGCTTCCCTGTATTTCCCCTGTGAGGCCCAGGATGAAGGGAGTCAGTGATGTCAACGGCCCAGCCATCTTTCACTGACACCACTCTCTTGGGTCTCAGTGATGATTCCATCACCCAGAGATGCTTCAAAAACTCACCAAATGGTATTTCAATCCCCATGGGAATTAACTCTTGCACACATCCTCTATTGGGAATAGAGGCAGAGGTGCAGATTGCAGTGACCCCTTCACAGTCTCAAAATGACTTCTTCTGTGGAACCCAACCTTAGAGACTGCCCAAAAGGGCCCTATCATCTATATTTTTGTGTCCAGTGGTGGCTTATTACAGGCAGCATTTTTCCCTATACCAGGAAGGCTCTGCCTGTACCATTTTCCTCTGCTTAGGCAGACTGACAGCTCTGAAGGGTGCCTTAGCCTGCCTCAGGAATGCCTAATGAGGCAACTTGAAGATGGATTGTTTGATATTGTTCAGTGTAAGGAAGAGAAACAAGAATAATGATCAAAACTAAGGTTTCCATGGGACACCATCAAGAATATCAACATATTCATAATGGGAGTCCCACTGGAATAGGTGAGATGGGGAAAAAAAGAATATTTAAATGAATAGTGGCTGAAACTTCCCAAAAGTGTCGATAGATGCAAATCTACTGATCCAAGTATCTCTAAAGAACACAATACTCCAGGGAGAATAAAATCCAAGATATCCACACTGAAACACATGCACTGAAATTGACAGAAGACAAATAAATAGAGAACTTTAAAAGAATCAAGACAGAAGTAACTCATCACATGCAAGTTATCCTTCATAACATTAACAGCCAATTTCTCATTAAAAATTATAGTGGAAAGAAGTCACTGTGATGAGATCTTTAAAGTGCTGGAATAAGAAGATAAAGTCAATCATAAACTCAATATCTGGCCAAACAAAAATTTAACTTTATGAGCAAATAAGGCATTTCCAAGCAAACATAATTAAAGAGAGTACATTACTACTAGATCAGCCTTACAAAACATGATGAAAACAAGCAAGGAATGAAAGAAAAATAGTGCCCCATGTGCAAATAAAGAAATAAGAACATCAATAAAATAATTACGTCACGAAATAGAAAAGCCAATATTATTATATTTGGGTTTTCTGTGACTTTATTTTTCTACTGGATTTAAAAGTATCTCACAACTGTAATCCCAACAAAGTAGGGGGATTTCCTTGAGTCTGGGAGTTTGAGACCAGCCAGGGCAACAAAATGTGACCGTCTTTTGAGAAAATAAACAAAATTAGCCAGCTGTGGTGGCATGGACTTCTGTCCCCAGAACATAGGGCACTGAGTTGGAAGGGTCCCTTGAGCCCAGGAGCTCGAGGCTGTAGTGAACCATGTTTAGCCTGTGTGACTGAAACCCTGTCTCAATGAATTAAAATACAATACAATAATAAAATAAAGAAATGACAAAAAATAAAGCAATAATTACACATCTGGGTTGTTAGCAAATGTTGCATAACAAACTATTTTTGACAAAAAAATAGAAAGTTGGGGAAAACAGTATGGGAAAATGATTTTTGTATAATGTCAATGCTCAGTTGTTATAATTCACACTATATTATTATTAATTCAAGATATTAATTATAATACCATTAATAACTTGTCCTTTTTATGGCTGCATAGTATTCCACGGTTTATATGTGCCATATTTTCTTAATCCAGTCTATCATTGATGGACAATTTGGTTGGTTTCAAGTCTTTGCTATGGTGAATAGTGCGATAATAAACATACGTGTGCATGTATCTTTATAGCAGCATGATTTATAACCCTTTGGGTATATACTCAGTAATGGGATTGCTGGGTCAAATGGTAATTCTAATTTTAAATCCTTGCGGAATTACCACACTGTCTTCCACAATGGTTGAACTAATTTACACTCTCCCAAACAGTGTAAAAGCATTCCTATTTCTCCACATCCACACCAGCGTCTGTCGTTTCCTGACTTTTTAATGATTGCCGTTCCAAGTGGCTTGAGATGATATCTCATTTTGGTTTTGATTTGCATTTCCCTGTTGACCAGTGATGATGAGCATTTCTTCATGTGTCTGTTGGCTGCATAAATGTCTTCTTTTGAGAAGTGTCTGTTCATATCCTTTGCCCTCCTTTTGATGAGGTGTTTTTTTTTTTTAATGAAAATTTGTTTGTGTTCTTTGTAGATTCTGATATTAGCCATTTGTAAGATGGGTAGATTGCAAAAATTTTCTCCCATTCTGTACGTTGCCTGTTCACTCTGATGGTAGTTTCTTTTGCCATTCAGAAGTTCTTTAGTTTAATTAGATCTTATTTGTCTATTTTGGCCTCTGTTGCCATTAATTTTGGTGTTTTAGTCATGAAGTACTTGCCCATGCCTATGTCCTGAATGGTATTGTCTATGTTTTCTTCTAGGGTTTTTACGGTTTTATATTTAATATTTAAGTCTTTAATTCATATTGAATTAGCTTTTATGTAAGGTGTAAGGAAGAGATCCAGTTTCAGCCTTCTAAAAATGGCCAGCCCCTTTTCCCAGCACCATTTACGACATAGGGAGTCAATTCCCCATTTCTTCTTTTTGTCAGATTCATCAGAGATAAGATGATTGCAGATGTGTGGTATTATTTCAGAGGCCTCTTTTCTGTTCCATTGGTCAATACATCTCTTTTGGTACAAGTACCATACTGTTTTGTTTACTGTAGGCTTGTAGTATAGTTTGAAGTCAGGTAGCATGATGTCTCCAGCTTTTTTTTTCTTCTTCTTCTTAGGATTATCTTAGCAATATGGCCTATTTTTGGGCTCCATATGAACTGTACCTTTTTTTTTCCAAATCTCTGAAGAAAGTCACTGGTGGCTTGATGGGAATGGCATTGCTTGTATAAATTACTTTGGACACTATGGCCATTTTCAAGGTATTCATTCTTCATACTCATTATCGTAGAATATCCTTCCATTTGTTTCTGTCCTTTTTGATTTCGTTGAGCAGTGTTTTGTAGTTTTTCCTGAAGAGGTCCTTCACATTCCTTGTAAGCTGGATTCCTAGGTATTTTATACTCTTTGAAGCACTTGTGAATGGGAGTTCACTTGTGATTTGGCTCTCTGTTTGTCTGTTAATGGTGTACAGGAGTGTTTGTGATTTTTGCACACTGATTTTGTATGCTGAGACTTTGCTGAAGTTGCTTATCAGCTTAAGTAGATTTTGGGCTGAGACAATGGGTTTTCTCAATATACAATCATGTTATCCGAAAACAGGGACAATTTGACTTCCTCTTTTCCTTATTGAATACCCTTTATTTCTTTCTCTTGCCTGATTGCCCTGGACAGAACTTCCAACACTATGTTGAATAGGAATGGTGAGAGAGGGCATCCTTGTCTTGTGCCGGTTTTCCAAAGGAATGCCTCCAGTATTTGTCCACTCTGTCGGATATTGTCTGTGGGTTTGTCAGTAGCTTTTATTATTTTGAGATATGTTCCATCAATACCTAGTTTATTGAGAGTTTTTAGCATGAAGGGTTGTTGAATTTTGTCAAAGGCCTTTCCTGCATCTATTGAGATAATCATGTGATTTTTGTCATTGGTTCAGTTTATATGATGGATTAGGTATATTGATTTACATAAATTGAACCACATTTGCATCCCAGGGATGAAGCTGATGTGATAGTAGTAGATAAGCTTTTTGTTGTGCTGATGGATTCAGTTTGCCAGTATTTTATTGAGGATGTTCGCATGGATGTTTATCTGGGCTATTGGTCTAAACTTCTCTTTTTGCTTGTGTGTCTCTGCCAGGCCTTGGTATCAGGATGAAGTTGTCCTCATAAAATGAGTTGGGGAGGATTCTCTCTTTTTTTTATTGATTGGAATAGTTTCAGAAGGAATGGTACCAGTCCCTCTTTGTACCTCTGGTAGAATTTGGGTGTGAATCCACCTGGTCCTGGGCTTTTTTTTGGTTGGTAAGCTATTAATTATTTACTCAATTTCAGAGGCTGTTGCTAGTCTATTCAGAGATTCAACTTCTTCCTGGTTTAGTTTTTGAAGGGTGTATGTGTCCAGGAATTTATCCATTTCTTCTAGATTTTCTAGTTTATTTTGTTAGAGGTGTTTATAGTATTCTCTGAGGGTAGTTTGTACTTCTGTGGGATCGATGGTGATATCCCCTTTATCATTTTTTATAGCTTCTATTTTATTCTTCTCTCTTTGCTTCTTTATTAGCCTTGCTAGGGGTCTTTCAATTTTGTTGATCTTTTCAAAAAAAAAAAAAAAAAAAAAAAAAAAACCCAGTTCCTGGATTCATTGATTTTTTGAAGGGTTTTTTGTGTCTCTATCTCTTTCCGTTCTGCTCTGCTCTGATCTTAGTTATTTCTTGCCTTCTGCTACCTTTCGAATTTGTTTGCTCTTGCCTCTCTATTTCTTTTAGTTCTGATGTTAGGTTGTCAATTTTATATCTTTCCTGCTATCTTTTGTGACATTTACTGCTATACATTTCCCTCTGCCCACTGCTTTAAATGTGTTTCAGAGATTGTGGCATGTTGTGTCTTTGTTCTCATTGGTTTCAAGGAATGTCTGTATATCTGCCTTCATTTTGTTATTTACCCAGCAATCATTCAGGAGCAAGTTGTTAAGTTCCCCTGTAGTTGTGCAGTTTTGAGTGAGTTTCTTAATGCTGAGTTCTAATTTGATTACACTGTGGTCTGAGAGACACTTTGTTGTGATTTCTGTTCTTTTACAATTGCTGAGGAGTGCTTTACTTCAGGTTATGTGGTCAATTTTAGAATAAGTGTGATGTGGTGCTGAGAAGAATGTATATGCTCTTGATTTAGGGTGGAGAGTTCTGTAGGTGTCTATTAGGCCAGTTTGTTACAGAGCTGAGTTTAAGTGCTGGATATCCTTGTTAACCTTCTGTCTCATTGATCTGTTGATTAATGAGACAACATTGACTGTGGGGTGTTGAAGTCTCCCATTATTATTGTGTGGGTGTCTAAGTCTCTTTGTAGGTCTCTAAGGACTTACTTTCTGAATCTGGGTTGTGTATTGGGTGAATATATATTTAGAATTCTTAGCTCTTCTTCATGAATTGATCCCTTTATCATTAGGTAATGGCCTTCTTTGTCTCTTTTGATCTTTGTTCGTTAAAAGTCTGTTTTATCAGAGGCTAGGATTGCAACTCCTACTTATATTTTTTTCTGCTTTCCATTTGCTTGGTATATCTTCTTCCATTCATTTATTGTGAGCTTATGTGCATCTTTGCATGTGAGATGGGTCTCCTGAATACAGCACACTGATGGATCTTGACTCTTTATCCAATTTACCCATCTGTGTCTTTGAACTGGGGCATGTAGCCTCTTTACACTTAAGGTTAATATTGTTATGTGTAAATTTGGTCCTGTCATTATGACGTTGGCTGTGTAGTTTGCCTGTTAATTGATACAGTCTCTTGATAGCATCGATGGTCTTTAAAATTTGCTTTTGCAGTTGCTGATACTGGTTGTTTTTTTCCATGTTTAGTGTTTCCTTCAGGAACTCTTGTAAGGCAGGCCTGGTCGTGACAGAATCTCTCAGAATTTCCTTATTTTTAAAGGATTTTATTTCTGCTTCACTTATAAAGCTTAGTTTGGCTGGATATGAAATTCTGTGCTGAAAATTCTTTTCTTTAAGAATGTTGAATATTCGCCCCCACTCTCTTCTGGCTTGTAGGGTTTCTGCTAAGAGATCCAATGTTAGTCTGATGGGCTTCCCTTTGTGGGTAACTCAACCTTTCTCTCTGTCTGACCTTAACACTTTTTCCATCATGTCAACCTTGGTGAACCTGACAATTGTATGTCTTGTGGTTGCTTTTCTCAAGGAGTATCTTTGTGGCATTCTCTGTATTTCCTGAATTTGAATGTTGGCCTGCCTTGTTAGGTTGGGGAAGTTCTCCTGGATAATATCCTGAAGAGTGTTTTCTAAGTTGGTTCCATTCTTTCCATCACTTTCAGATACACCAATTAAACTTAGATTTGGTCTTTTCACTTAGTCCCATATTTCTCAGAGATTTTGTTTCTTTTTACTCTTTTTTCTCTAACCTTGTCTTCTCAGTTTATTTTATTAATGAGATCTTCAATCACTGATACCCTTTCTTCCACTTGATTGAATCAGCTACTGAAGCTTGTGCATGCATGACAAAGTTCTTGTGCCACAGTTTTCAGCTCCGTCAGGTCATTTAAAATCCTCTCTACACTATTTATTCTAGTTAGCCATTCATCTCATCTTTTTCCAAGGTTTTTAGCTTCCTTGTGATAGATTGGAACATGAAACTTTAGCTCAAATAGTTTTGTTATTACCAACCTCCTGAAGCCTACTTCTGTCAGCTCATCAGATTCATTCTCTGTCCAGTTTTGTTGCATTGCTTGTGAGGAATTGTGATCCATTGCAGAAGAAGCACTCAATTTTTAAAACTTTCAGCTTTTCTGCTGTAGTTTCTCTCCATCTTTGTGGTTTTATCTACCTTGTGTCTTTGATGTTGTTGACCTACAGATGGAGTTTTGGTGTAGATGAACTTTTTGCTTATGTTGATGCTCTTCCTTTCTATTTGTTAGTTTTCCTTCTAACACTTAGGTCCCTCAGCTGCAGGACTTTTGGGATTTGGTGTAGTCCACTGCAGATTGTGTTTGCCTGGGTGTCACCAGCAGAGGATGCAGAACAGCAAATATTTCAGAACAGCAAATATTGCTGCCTGATCCTTCCTCTGGAAACTTCATCCCAGAGGGGCAGCTGCCTATATGAGGTGTCTGTCAGCCCCTACTGGGAGCTGTCTCCCAGATAGGTTACACAGGGGTCAGGGACAGATGAGAGGAGGCAGCCTGTCCATTCTCAGACTTCAAATGGCATGCTAGGAGAACCACTGCTCTCTTCAGAGCTGTCAGACAGGGACATTTAAGTCTGCCAAAGTTGTCTGCTGCCTTTAGTTCAACTGTGCCCTGCCCACAGAGGTGTAGTCTACAGGCAGTAGGCCTTGTTGAGCTGTGGTGGGCTCCACCCAGTTTTAGCTTCCTGGGTGCTTTGTTTACCTGCTCAAGACTTAGCAATTGTGAACGCCTTTCTACCAGCCAGGCTGCCACATCAGAGCTTGATCTCAGACTGCTGCGCTAGCAGTGAGCAAGGCTCTGTGGGCATGGGACCCACCAAGCCAGGCATGGGACCCACCAAGCTAGGCATGGGAGAGAATTACTTTGTCTGCTGGATGCTAAGACCTTGGGTAAAGTGCAGTATTTGGGCAGGAGTGCTCCGTTTTTCCAGGTAGTCTGTCACAGCTTCCCTTGGCTAGGAAAGGGAAATTCCCCGACTGCTTGCACTTCACAGGAGGGGTGATGCCCTGCCCTGCTTCAGCTCATTCACTGTGGGCTGCACCCACTGCCCTGCCATTCCCAATGAGATGAACCAGATACCTCAGTGGGAAATGCAGAAATCACTGATCTTCTGCATTGATCATGCTGGGAGCTGCAGACTGGAGCTGTTCCTATTTGGCCATCTTGGAACACCCTCAGAAAAAAATAGGATGCATTTTTAAAGGTTTTTTTTTTTTTTTTTTTTTGAGATGGGGTCTCATTCTGTTGTCCAGGCTGCAGTGCAGTGGTGTGGAGAGTGCTTCCTCCACACACTTCCCTGTCCCTTTCAATCAACTGGCTGTGAGATCACTGAAACCAGAGATCTCAGGTTCAGAACAGGCCCAAGTGGGGTTGTGGCTGCCCCTCTGCATTTCAAGGTCACTGTGTGGCATAATGAGGTCTTTGGCTGCAGAAAAGGGCATTGCGTTTTCTGAGGAGGGCTTGGTGAGTTGATTTGAGAGACAACACAAGCACCAAGATTTGGAATGTCCCAGGTTAGTGTTGGGGAAACCAGCCACATAAGACCCAGTGTGTACCCCGAATCTGGAGGAGACAAAGGTGTTAGAAAGAGACAGAATAAGCACTTAAAAGGTAGGTCCAGGGCACCAGAGCATTGGAGACTTGCTCATGGCCTGGAGCTCTCAGGCTCCACCCAATTTATTGGTTTACAAATTCTTTGTCCTTAAGGAGATGGGAGGGGGAGGAAGGAATAAGGAAAAGGATTAAGCAGTGAAGGAGAACTCATCAGCCATTCAATAAGATGTATAGCACTGGTGGTTTCTGTGAATTTCCTTGAGCAAAGGCATGTGTCTAAACTACTTAAGATCTTCAACTTATCATGACTGAAATGGGTGGGAGTGGGTTTCAGGAGGAGCCAAGATGTTTTATTATATTCCACTGCTTCAAGGGAACGTTATCTTCCTGAGCAACCAGTGGAATGCCGCTGAGTGGTTATGCTCTGGGGGCATAAATACATGAAGGTAATAAGGAGATTTTTCTTCTCAGAGGCTGCCCATGGCTCCCCATGGGTGTCTCATACAGGGGAGACCAACTTAATTGGCACCCCAGAAACTTTGTTTCCCACAGTTAGTAATTATGGGTTGTTGGTTTAGACCAAAGATAGGGCCAGAGATGAACAAAGAATATTGGGGTGCCCCTGTGGTAACAGCATTTTCCAGCCAGCAGGCTTGCTTTACCTGCTGGGAAGAAGGATGTACCTCAGAGTCCCACAAAACCTCTTCTCCCATCTTATCTCTTTTAGAGAGACATGAATAAAATGGGCCTCAACAATCCCAAGAGACCACTCAAGGACAATGGGAGCCACTGGGCTTGGCTTTCTACTTTCCTGGAGACAAGACAATTTGAATGGCACTGACTGCCAGGTACTGTCATCATATGGGCCATGAGAACATCTCACCTGTTCAGTACCCCTCTACATTTTAGTGGGGACTAGGACATGGAATATGTGTAGGGATGATAGTGCCCTGTCACTGGGATCAGGACAGACCACAGGGAAGGGGAAGCTGCCAGCAAGGAGCCTGGGTCAGGGGCCAGGTTTGGGAAGCAGTTTCCTCTGACCCAACACTTGTTCCTGCAGCTGGACACATTACCTAAATTTATGTCTATTTTGGAGAATGGTGAAAACAGACTTAGAAAAAGACACTTGTAGGCCGGCCACCTAAAGACAAACTCAGCTGTCATTGTGGTGTGTTTATTTTTAGTATTTTGTTTCTTTTGCTTTTCTCATGTTTCTGCTACATATCAGTACTTTTTTGAGCAGCCTCCCTGCACTCTGTGATCTTTACTTGATGAGGAGGATCATTTAAGAATAAGAAAACTGGAGGCTGGCCTGCTGTGGATCTGTTCTACATTTAGGGCTGTCCTAAATCTTGTCTGGCCTTCACACCATGTGCACATTTGCTCCTCCTTTCCACATACCATTAGGATATTAGCATCTTTCTTGACACCTCTTGGGCCTGCTTCCATTTAGATCCTGCCCTGCCCAGGTATGTGTCCCTAAGCAGGTTCATGTGACCTTTCACCTGTAAAATAGAGATGGTGCCAGGATCTGCCATGGGGATTTTTGCAAAGCTTAAGTCAGGCTGGTTGTCAAAAGCCTAAGAGTACAATTGAGACACAGTGAGCATTCATGAAATACCAATGCTTTATTATCAAGTGCTGCCTAATAGTTCTTGAGGATCAACCATCATTTAATCCCATAACTATTAAGCTCTTGATAATTGTTTTCCTATTTTCAATACTGGAGAACAACACTTCATTGAAGGTCATTGTAAATAAAGTGCTAATATATTATCAGTTTCCAGTAATAAGCTTTATTAAGCGCCTCAAGGGGGCCAGGTAATTCAGAGCCTGACCCAAGTCTTTGCAGCCACAGGGAAAACGGTAAAGGCATGTAATTTGTTATATCCTGGGGTCCACAGCCACCAGTAGCCAAATTGAAACAGGAACCCACATTCCTGAGCTTGGCTTCAGTTTCTTTCCAGGTCCTACTGCTCTGGCCTGAGAGAGCCTCTGCCCACCAAAATACGGTGTTCTCTGTTTCCCACAGGCCACTGCAGGGTGGCAACATGTACCAGTAGGGGCCCAACCATGATGTCGCCACCCTCCCCCTCATCTTTCCTGCTCATTACCTCTGCCCTCTGGCTGCTTGCAGTAACATGATGGACCCCTCTATGGCTGCACCTGCATCATGGCTGGTTCCTCTAGCATTGGCATCCTCCAAGAAAATTTCCTTCCAGACTGTGCAGTTGGTCTACTGCTAGCGGCTGGACTTCATGATGCACTGCAGACACCTCTGTGGCTGTGTCTATTGATACCCTTGCTGATGGCTACACGTGGATCTGCTTTGGACAGATCTTGAGTTTTTGAGCTGGATGTGGTGATTACTTGAGTCTTGTTTGAGGGAGTGGAAGTGTGGGTAGAGCTAGGATTTTCTGCTGGAATCTGTGGTGTTTAATTAGATGTGGAACCCGTACCCTGGAACAGAGAATCTTCCTAGAGTCTCTGACACCACAAATTACTTCCCATATATTTTATTTTGAAAATAAAAATATATGCACATGACTGAAAAAT
This sequence comes from Homo sapiens, assembly GCF_000001405.40. Lineage (NCBI taxonomy): Eukaryota > Metazoa > Chordata > Mammalia > Primates > Hominidae > Homo > Homo sapiens. The sequence goes on from NC_000024.10 coordinate 22,503,345, forward strand.
ACAGAGATGAGGCAAGGGTAACTCAGAAGGAACTGCCACCATGTGCACCTAACCCTAGTCCCCTGAATTACCTGTTAACACCTGGTACAACAGAGGAAGGCTGAGTTTCTTAGACTTCTGACCTTTCCTCCACCCTCACCCAATGATAGAAATATCATGATTTTAGTTTCTTTCTTAGTTATCATTGATGTTGAAAGTAACTGTAGAGTATATGTATATTTATGTATATATTTTTTCAATCCAATGCAATAGAATCTTGTGACTTTCTTCTTGTAGGAAGTATATTGGCACTTTGAATTCACCTACATTTCTTGGTATTCTATAGGTATATACATATTTTTTCTTTAGCTTTCTCTTTTCTTGGAGTTTCTAATTGCCTTTTCTTCTTTCTTTCTATTTAAAATTAAATTAAATTAAAATTAAATTAAATTTAAAATTAAATTAAATTAAGTTGGAACTAAATTAAAATTCAAATTAAATCTCCTTTTATCACATCCTTATCATCTTCCCTCATTTCTAACCTCCCACCTGAAAAATCACTGGTGGACACCTTCCGTTTTCCTGTTCCTATCCCACCAACATCTCTCTAGGCCTGGGGTGGAGCTGTCATTCCCAGAGCTTTTATAACTGCCTCCCTGGGTTTTTACATGTCAAATGCTATTTCGCTACTGCAACTATGGGACAAATCTCCCAGAGAGCTAACCACTTTTCTTAGGTTTATTTTGTTAATTGTATGTGGTTTTGAAATATTTTTTAGATTCTGTCTTCCAATTTTTGAGAGTTACACATTTTAAGAGAATTTCAAGCTGTTGTTCCTAATCTCTGAATTTTCCTATTATCTTCCTAAATTTTGTTATTTTTCAGGGATGCAATATTTTATACTTCTCTGAGACTACGGGGAGCATGTGTTCTGAACTTTCCTTGAACAGAGGTCTTGAGGCCAGAAGGAAGAAGGATCTTAAAGACTCATTTCTCTGGAGGTGAGTTGTCTGTTGATCATATTTGCCTTTGTTTGTTTTTTTTGTTTGTTTGCATTTTTTAAAAACTGTTGGTCTCTCACGTTTGCCTCTGTAATTAGCATTAAGGCTGAAATGGGGATTGTCACACGCTCATTTCACATTGGGACAAGAGGAACTGGCCTTCAAACCAGGGGCCTACAAATGGGAAGGATGATTTCCTCTGGGAATCCCTAAGCTTCCTTCTTTCCTCTGCAGAAACCTTCACCTTCAGTTGCCCTGCTGCTTCCTTGGCATGGCGATGTTCTTCCTCCACTTGCAACCTGATCACACAACTGTGGACATTGTTCTCATGGCTTTTCCCTTCTCTTTGTCGTGAAGAGAGAAGATGCAACCCGTTTCTCTACTATGATGGAACCAGAATGTCCATATTAGAACTTTAACATTATTTCCTCTACATCAGAGGCCACATTGGCTTCTGCCTGAAAGAGGAAATTGCAGAAAACAGACACAAGGATGGGAAGGTCACATTGACATATAAAGTTCCTGAGGGGCAGCTGGGTATTGTGTTAGGTGGTCACTCTTCTGTTCAGGAGGAAGGACTGTGTGAGCCTTTCCCAAAGGCCTGTTCAGTGTCTGAGCTCAGGGCCAACTTAATTTCAGTGTGCAGCCTTATAGATTAGGAAAAGAAAACAATCTGCCTCATCAGGTCTCCTGCCCAACCTTATTCCTTGCTCTGGATCATGATTGCTTATTTAGAAACAGCTTTGTTGGCATGTGATTGGCATATGGTAAACTGCACCTGTGTAGATGGAAGAACTGATGGTTTCTCCATGTGAGTATTTCATTCACCGCAAGGCCAGAAGTGTGATGAAGGTCATGAAAACACATCTTCCTCCCATCAATAACGATCACTCCCTGGCCACCCTAGGACCACAGATCTGCTTCTTTCACTAAAAACTTGTGGGTATTTTATAGAATTACAGGTAAATACAGTATGTACTTGGGTCTTTGTGCATCGTTCTGATCTGGCTTCTTTTATTCAGCAGAACTACTTTCAGAGTCACTCTGTTCTGAGTGCATCAACAGTCCATTCCTTTTCATGCTGAGCCACATGCCATTGTATAGATGTGCCACAGCTTGTTCACCCTTCTTCTGTGTATGGGCATTTGGGCTCCTGGTTTGGGACCATTATGTGTAAGGATGTCATGAATATTTATTTATGTATGTAGCCTGTGAGCTTGCCTTCATTTCTCATGGTTCATTCCTAGGAGTGCAGTGGCCACATCATGTCATGGTAGGTCTGCATCGACCTTGTTAAGGAATCACTGTCCCTTGTGCTAAGTGTTTGGTCCATTGCCTGCTTTCTCTCTTTCTCCCTCTGATTTAGTCATACAAACCTCTTGTATCCTTCACCCTCCAGGGCAATAACTTCTTAGCATACCGCCTTTCTTTACACTTGGAATCACCAGCTCCTTCTTTATGTGCTGGCTCTGATTCCCTCACTAAATTTGCCCTTTGTGCCCCATGTGTGACCCATTCCCATTGATACACCCTATGTATGAGAGGGCTTTGGGATAAGAGACTGTTTCTGATGAGTATCGAGTACTACAATGGCTCTGAATGGAAGAAAGATGACTGGGTGGGTCTTGTCAACCATTGTCCCTGGAGCTCATCTTTGTTGTTACAAATAAGTCTGGGTGTGGCCTGGGCATATGTTCAAGTACTCGCAAACCTTTTCTAAATGACAACTGGAGACCAGGCCATGGGCTGGAATGTGAGTATGAAGTTACTTGGAAGCTGTGTGATTGAAAGTGAGTCACTCAGTCACTGGATCCTGGCATTTTTCTCTACATGTGGGACTACCCATACTTTGCAGAGTTGCTGTGAGTTCACCTGAGTAAGACACCTGCATGCACTTGTGATCAGAAAATGTTAATTTCCCTTTATTGAAATGGAACAACCCATGGATATTATGTGCTGAGGTCTGGATCAAAATAGAGCATGATACTGAAGACCTTGTAAACCCTGAGGAGGCATCACTGATCACTGGGTGTCCGGAAAGGCAGCAGAGAAAAACTGACCTGGAAGTGAAATTGGCCCGTGGGTTTGTTACAGTTGGTTAAACAGTCATGAGTGGGGCAAGAGCGGGTTCTCCACATCCGCATACCAGGAATGTCAGGCCATCGGGTGATGGTTGGACAGTTATCATATTGCTTCTCTAAAAATAATAATTTAGCGGCTGGGGCCAGGGATAGCCTGATACACAGCTGGTAACATTAAAGTGTTAATTAAACTCACATGCCAGAGAGGAGGAAAAAGGGCGTCCCATAAAATCTCAGACATTGGATGACTGAACCCAGGAGTGCACATTAAGAGACAAAATGGTGGAGTATGACTTTCTGGGGTCACCCCACCAATAAAAGGGAGGAAGCCTCAGATGGGCATACATATAACTGCTTAAACACACTGTCTATACTTACTTCCCAAGGGTAACGAGGGCACTGTGCCTGTGGGCAGCCCATGCTAGGGGAAGAATCATGGGAAAGGGTGCACCAGATGCTGGCGGTAGGCCAGCCTAAAATGTCCCAGAAGGAAGGTTAATGGCCACACTTCTTCAAGTCACCCATTTGGATCTCTTTCGAGTGCAATTTTCATTCTTTCCTGCTCTAAAGCTTTTTAATAAACGTCCACTCCTGCTGTGAAACTTGCCATGGCATTTTCTTCCTTCTTCCTTCTTTATGCCCACCAGTTGAATTCTTTCACCTGAGGAGGCAAGAATTGATATTGCTAAAGACCCGGACGGATTTGCTGCCAGTAACTCAGATACTTTTCACCGGTAACAGGTCTAGGAGCTGGTGGACACAATGGCTGGAGTATGTGTCCAGAATGTGCCTGCTCAGGCCCCAGGCACTTCCGGACTGTGGGGGGACTTGAACCCCAGGTTAAGGGGACACCATGGAATGAGAGCTCAGCCTGCTGTTGGAATACTGGGGATAGGATATTTTTTACTGAAGTAAATCCCCTACCTATTAAGGAACTACTACCCAATCTGTCCTCTTTCTGACCCCTGACAATTAGCAAATCTGCTTTCTTTCTCTATGAAATTACTTATTCTGGACATTTATATACATAAAATCATACACTATGTGACTTTTGTGCTTAGCTTCTTTAAACACAATGGTTTTGCAGTATCTTCACATTGTAGTATGAGTGTCTCAATCTTTTTATGGCTAGATATTATGCCATTGTATAGGTATACTACATTTTGTTTTCCTATTATTTGTTTGTGGACATTTGGTTTGTTTCCACATTTTAGTTATTGTGAATAATTCTTCCATGAGTATATGTGCACACACAGTTTTGTTTGAATACCTGCTTTATATTTTTTGTGTATATACCTGAGGTGGGGGGGATTTGCTGGTTTCTATGATGGTTCCATGTTTAGCTTTTTGCAGAAACACCAAACTATTTTCCACAGCAGATGAACTATTTTACTTTTGTTTTTCTCCACTTCCACGTCAACCCTTGTTCGTTCATGGTTTTTAAATAATAATAATTACAATGGGTGAAAAGTGGTGTCTTCTTGTGGTTTTGATCTGCATTTCCCTGAAATAAGTGATGTTGAGCTAATTTTTATGTGTTTTTGTGTGTGTGTGTATCTTTGGAGAAAAGTATTTTCAATTTCTCTATCATTTTTTTAATTGGGTTGATTGTCTTTTTGTTCTTGAGTTGTAAGAATTTCTCCTATATCCTGGATACTAGGCCCTTACCCTTATATATGACTTGAAAATATTTTGTCCTATGCTGTTGGTTTTCTATTGACCATCCTGATAGTGCCCTTTGAAGCATGAAAGATTTTAGTTTTAATGAAGTTCAATTTATCTATTTTTTCTTTTGTTTTCTGTGCATTCTCTGTCATACCCAGGAAACCATTAACAAGTTCAGTGCCAATAAGCGCAGAAAGATATGTTCGACATCATTAGCCATTAGGTAAATGGATATCTAAATCACAATGAGATTATCACCTTAAACCCACTAGAATGTCTTTTTTTTTTTTTTTGAAAAAGGGAGAGTTGGGGAGTATGTGGAGAAAATGGAACCCTTGTGCATTGCTGGTGAGAATGTGAAATGGTGGTGATGGTTGCACAGTAACATGAACATACATAATGCCACTTACCTGTACACCTACAAATGTTTAGATTGGTAAATTTATGTTACGTTTCTTTTACCACATACCAAAAAGGCTTCCTGAGAACTAGTCCTGAGATAGTTCCATGTGGAAAGAAGAGGACCCTTCTCTCTCCTAGAGTGAGTAGAAGCCTTTGTTTTTTGTTGCTGTTGTTGTTTTGTGTTTGTTTTTGTTTTGAAACAGAGTCTTCCTTTGTGGCCTAGGTTGGTGTGCAGTGGTGTGGTCTCTGCTCACTGCAAGCTCCAACTCCCATATTCATGCCATTCTCCTTCATCAGCCTCCTGAGTAGCTGGGACTAAAGGTGCCCACCACCATGCCTGGCTAATTTTTGTATTTTTAGTAGAGGTAGGGTGTCACCGTGTTAGCCATGATGGTCTCAACCTCGTGACCTAGTGATCCACCCAACTCAGCCTCCCAAAGTGGTGGGACTGCAGATGTGGTGAGCCACCACATCTGGCTGAGTAGAAACCTTCTTATCATGCTTGTACTACACACTCCTGGCTCTTCCACACACCAAGCATGACCTCACGAACCAGAGGCAGTCTAAGTCTAACTGGCCCATTTGTACCCCCTTTCCAACATCCTATTCCCCTATTCAACTCACTCTCTTTCCCCTACAAACCACTGTACATCACAGGTCTGCTTACCTTCTCTGTAGACATTTCTATAATGTCATAGAAATATGATCATAAAATACATGATCTCTTCAGACTGGCACTTTTTGTTATTATTGTTTTCTCATTATTCTATAATTGCTGCCAAAAGAAGCAGGCATGTGTTGTGCCACAGAAAACTGATCATATTCTAAGCTCTACTTAGTAAAAACTAAAAAAAAAGAAAGAAAAAAATATGCTAGTACATATTGTCGCATTTATCCTGTTATTTTTTTAATTCATGATTTCTACAATGAATAAATGGATGAATAAAGCACACAGATATTATGCTTTGCCAGTCCAGCTGAACATCAAGCTGCTTACAGACTACAGGCAAATTATTGCAAACAGTTTTGACTGTGGCCCCAGCCAGCTAGTGAGACTTGCATTTATTCAGTAAGGATTAATTGACCAAGGCTCTAGTTAACACCACTAAAGGGTAATTGACAGTGTGGACTTCCCAGTTAGAAAGCAATTTAGCACTGTGCTAAGTCAAATATTAGTCTTAGGACCACATGACTAAGCAAGCTACTTAGGTAAACACCCCGCATTCCTTTGTTTCTACTCTAACTTATTTAACTAAAGGTAAAAGGCCATCCTGTCTAATATGGTGAAACCCCATTTCTACTAAAAATACAAAAAATTAGCTGGGCATGGTGGCGGGTGCCTGTAGTCAAAGGTACTTGGACTCAGGAGGCTGAGGCAGGAGAATGGCAGGAACCTGGGAGTTGGAGCTTGCAGTGAGCTGACATCGCAGCACTGCACTCCATACTGGCCAATAAAGCGAGACTCTGTCTCAGAAAACAAAACAACACAAAACAAAACCAGTATTCATCACTAAAAAAAGTAGCAAAATATAAAGACCAACAACACTAAGAAGAAAGTGGATCAATTAATATGCAAAATAACCAGCTAGTATTGCCATGCCAGGATCAAATTGACCCGTACAAATATTAACCTTAAATGTAAGTGAACTAAATTTGCCAATTAAAGTGCACAGACTGACAAATTGGATAGAATCAAGACCCTTTGGTGTGCTGTATTCAGGAGACTGATATCATGGGTGAAGACACACATAGGCTCAAAATAAAAGGATGGAGGAATATTTACAAAGCAAATGGAAAGTAAAAAAAAAAAAAAAAGCTGGGATTGAAATCCTGCTCTATCCTAAAATGACCATACTGCTTAAAGTAATTCACACATCTACAGTGATCTGATCTTTGACAAGCCTGACAAAAACAAGCAACTAGGGAAGGATTCCCTGGTCTGGGAAAACTGGCGAGCCATATGCAGAAACCTGAAACTGAATCCCTTTCTTACATCACATACAAAACTTAACTCAAGATGAATTAAAAGACTTAAATGTAAAACCTAAAACCCTAAAAACCCTAGAAGAAAATCTAGGCAATACCATTCAGGATATAGGCATGGGCAAAAACTTCATGACAAAAAGACCAAAAAACAATTGCAACAAAATCCGAAATTGACAAATGGGACCTAATTAATCTAAGGAGCTTCTCCACAGCAAAAGAAAATATCGTCAGAGTGAACAGGCAACATACAGAATGTGAAAACATTTTTTCAACCTATCTATCTGACAAAGGTCTAATATCCAAAAGCTACAAGGAACTTAAAAAATTTTATAAGAAAATAAAAAACAAACCCCAACAAAAAGTGGTAAAGGATATCAACAGACACTTCTCAAAAGAAGACATTTAATCAGCCAACAAATATATATAAAAAAAGCTCAGCATCACTGAGCATTAGAGAAATGCACATCAAAACCACAATGAGATACTGTCTCACATCGGTCAGAATGGTGACCATTAAAAAGTCAGGAAACCACAGATGCTGGCGAAGATGTGGAGAAAAAGGAATGCTCTATGCTGCTGGTGGGAGTATAAATTAGTTCAATCACTGTGGAAGACAGTGTGGTGATTCCTCAAGGATCTATAACCAGAAATACCATTTGACCCAGCAATCCCATTATGTGGTATACACCCAGAGTATTGTAAATCATTCTACTCTAAGGAAACTGCACATGTATGCTTATTGCAGCACTATTTACACACAAAAAAGACATGGCACAAACCCAGATGCCCATCAATTATAGACTGGATAAAGAAAATGTGGCACATATACACGATGGAATACTATGCAGCCACAAAAATGAATAAGTTCATGTCCTTTTCAGAGACATGAATGAAGTGGAAACCGTCATTCTCAGCAAGCTAACACAGGAACAGAAAAGCAAACACTACCTATTCTCATGCATAAGTGGGAATGGAACAATGAGGACACAATGGGGCCTGTCAGGGAGTAGGGGGTAAGTGGAAGGAGATCATTAGGACAAATACCTAATGCATTCAGGGCTTAAAACTTACATGATGGGTTGATGGGTGCAGCAAACCACCGTGGCACATGTACACCTATGTAACAAAACTGCCTGTTCTGCACATGTATCCTATAATTTAAATTACAATAAAAAAAGGCAGGTTAAATGAAAAACTAAATAGTATCCATGAATTTATGATGACTCCCTATTCGGTTTTTACTTAATGCTTTTTCTGTGTTTCGTGTCTGGAGGAAAGCAAAATAACAACATATTGAACCAAACATTTTAAAACAACTTAATACAAAGGGGTTGGAGCAAATTCTTTTATCTCTTTATGAAGACAAGTGTGAGTTAAAAACCACCTCTCCTAATGCTTCTCAGTGCCTCAAGGTGCTTAGGAAAAAAATAAAACTTCCAACTTAAGGATACTTGGCAGCTTCCAGAACTTTAAGGAAAGCCGAGAAATAAAGTATCCAGCTTCCGGCTCTTTCTAGGAGAGTATGCCTAGTGCCTTCAGGACCCTTGGACCTTGGAGGAAGAGCGGAGGTGGGGTAGGTGGGGGCGGTCTCTGGAGCCACTTGCCGCTCTGGCAGCCACTGCTGCTCCCCATGGGACGGCTTAGAGTCAGCCTTCAGCAGAAGCAGCAGGCTTTCCGCAAGCAGTGTTTGGTGTGTCTGCCTGTTTTCCATCTCTGTATCTTCCTTAGTGATGTATCTACTCAGGTTTTTACCTTGGAATTGGGTTGCTTATCTTTTTGAGTTTTAGAGTTTCTGCATATGTTGTGCATACAAGTCACTTTTCAGATAAGTTTGCTAAATTTTTCTATCTATGGCTGTGGCTGGTTCTTTGGTTCTTTTTTTTTTTTTTCTGAAACGGGGTCTCACTCTGTCACCTAGGCTGGAGTGCAGTGGCGCGATCCTGGCTCATTGCAAGCTCCGCCTCCCGGGTTCACGCCATTCTCCTGCCTCAGCCTCCCGAGTAGCTGGAGGTGGAGTCTCATTTTGTCACCCAGGCTGGGGTGCAATGACCCTATATGGCCTTACCGCAATCCCCACCGCCCAAGTTCAAGGGATTCAAACTCCTGGCTCAGACTCCTGAGCAGCTAGGATTACAGGTGCACGCCAGAACTCACAGTTAAATTTTTGAATTTTTCCTAGAGACGGGGTTTCACCGTGTTTACCATGCTGATCTGGAATCCCTGTCCTCAGGTGATCTGGCCGCTTCGACCTCCAAAAGTGCTGAGATTACAAGCTTGAACTGCCATGCCCAATGGTAACAGAGTGTTTTACAGAGTAGACATTTCAACTTTCAATAAAGTTCATATTATCCGTTTTTTTTTCTTTCATGGACTTGATAATAACTCATCACTAAACCCAAGCTCATGAAGATATTTTCCAATTACAACTTTGCACTGAAAAAATTTAATGTGTGGGTATTTTTGACTAATTTTTTTAACTGTAAAATTTGTGTCTATGTTCATTTGTTTCCGTATAGTTTCCAGCTGTTTTCTTGCCACTTGTGAAAGAGACTTATTGTTTCCAAAGGACACTCTTTGCATTTTCGACAAAATCATTTGACTTGGGCCTGTTTTGGGGCTGACTATTCTGTTCCACTTATCTGCTTGTCTATTAAATCATGAATGACACACTCTTGTTTATTACATTAGCTTTAGTGTAAGTATTCATATCACATCTGGCATTGCACTTCTTCAGTCTTATTTCATCTATTCTAGGTTTAGGAAGAGTTGTTGATATATTTACCTGGAATTTGATTGGAATATAGCTGAAATAATAATAAATGTGCTTCTCCAGAACAAGAAACATCTATTTATTTACTTTGTGAGGAGTTGTGTCACCCAGGTTGGTGTGCGGTGGCATGATCTCAGCTCACAGATTCTCCCACTTCAACGACCCAAGTAGCTGGGACCACAGGCATGCACCACCAAGCTCAGCTTATTTTTTTTGTATTTTGGGCAGAGATGGGCTTTCACCATGTTCCCCAGGGTGGTCTCCAATTCATGGGCTCAAGGTATCTGCCTGCTGCAGACTCCCGAGGTGCTGGGATTACAGGCGTGTGACAACGTGCCTAGCCTGTCTGCATTTGCTAACATTTCCTTTGATTTCTCCCAATGGTGACTCATTGTTTTCTGAATGAATTCTGCATATTTTGTTACAGTTATACTTAATGGATTCAATTTTGCGGGTAGTATTGTAAATGGTGTTTTAATATTTCAAAATCCAATTATTTATATTCATTATTGCTGATATAGAGAAAATCAATTGAGTTTTGTATATTGACCGTCTTCTTTGCTTCCTTTTATCTCCATTCTAGATATGGGAAGGTTGGCTGTATCTCACTTCCACTTCGTGAGATGACCGCCTGGATTAACCCACCCCAAATTTCAGAGATTTTCCAAGGCTACCACCAGAGGGTGCACGGAGCTGATGCACTGAGCCTGCAAACCAACTCTCTGAGAAGCAGGTTATCTTCACAGTGCCTCGGACAGAGCTTCCTTCTCAGGACACTCGAGAGAGGCCGTGGTTTCAGGGCACTTGGGGACATCTGTGGCCACGTTCATGAAGAAGACTAAGCCTACTTCATCTCAGGACCCGCCCAAGAGTGGCCGCGGCTTTGGGACACCTGGGGTCGGGTCCACCATGAGGATAAAACCTCCTTCTCTTCTGGACATGTCCAGGAGTGGCCGTTGCTACAAGTCACCTGGTGCTACGACCAGGGTGAGAATAAAGACGTCTCCTCAGGACCCTCCCAGGAGAGTACATGGCATTGAGACATCTGGCGGCCAAGTGAGGAAAAGACACCCTGTCTGCAGCACCCAGAACTGAGGAGGGGCACTGCCCTGGGCCTTACTTCCCAGCCCTGGCCTCCAATTCTGACCTTACAAAAGTGTCCCTTGAGTGAGGCAGTGACCACGCATTGTCACAGCTACCAAAGTGTGGTTTGCAGATGATCTGGGCTTGTTTCTGGCAGAGATTCTGGTACAGAGAAAGGAGAGGCGCTGAGTGGAACCACGATGGGCTGAGGCCAGGGGAGACATCACAACCTCCAACAACACTTTTTTTCATGCTTTAATAACTCATTTTTCTTAGAGAACTAAAGTAGTTGAAACAATATAGAAACATTTTTTAAGTAGGCATATTAGAACTTGAATTATTATGTAAGTTTAAATATATGATATATGCCTGGTTAGCAACATTTTTTCTTTTCCTGAGACAGTCACAGTTTAACTGAGAGTGCATTTGTAATGGTAATGTAAATGTCTGCTTTATACATATTGACATCCTACATTAGCTGAGATATACTAACAATATCAAACTTTGATATTATGCCATAAAATTAGTTGAAGAATTCTGATCCAGATATGAGTGACAAATGGTCCATGACACATCCCTACTCAGGAGATCCTGAGAACATGTGCCCCAGGTGGTATGTTCACAGCCTACATTTATGCATTTTAGAGAGACCTGAGACATCAATCAAACACATGTAAGATGTACATTGGTTTGGTCCAGGAAGGATGGACAACTTGAAAATAGTGATGGTGTGGGGCTGGGCTTTCAAGTTACAGGTAGATATAAATATGTTTTAATTGGCAGTTGGCTGAAAGAGTTAAATTATTATCTAAAAACATAAAATCAATAGACAGGAATGACTGGGTTACAATAAATAATAAGGGCTGTAGAGACCAAAGTTTTATTATGATGATGAAGCCTCCATGTAGCAGGCTCGAGAAAATAGGTGGTAAATATTCCTTATCAGATTTAAGGTATGTGTTGCTGTTAGTGGTGGTCAGCTTTTTCTAAAGTTCAAAAGGGAATAGTATGTAATGAAGCATGTGTGTCCCTCTTTCTTGTCAGGAAGTGAAGCAATTTTGGAATGCTCTTGATCAAAAGGAGGGGTCCATTCAGATGGCTGTGGTTGGCGGGGGGACAGGAGAGTTAATTTTTTTTAACAAGTGTTTCATTTCTGTTTACAAAAGTATAACCTATTAAAGTGTTATAAATTATAATTATCTAAGAGAAAAAAGGGATTTCTTAAATCTAAAAACATAGAAAATAACCTAACCCATCAAACCTTATGGATTTTTTTTTCTTTCTGTTTTTAAAGTTGCCAAGGATGCTTTGCTTGTAAGTCATATATTTGACCTGTTGACCATCTGGGTATAGTTCTGTTGCTTCTTCAAAAATTGTACCCAGCAACCTTCCAAAAGTGTTTTTAAGTAAATTTCTTAAATTGTAGCAATAAACAAAATGAAAAGACAATATTAAACATTACTGAGGTTTATCAAAGGACATACAAAATTTCAACTCTTATTCCTTTCCTTCTTCTTCTCCTTTTATTTTTATTTTGAGACAGGGTCTCATTCTTTTTCCCAGCCTGGAGTGCAGAAGTGCTATGATGGCTCACTGCAGCCTCTAACTGCTGAGCTCAACTGATCTTCTGCCTTAGCTTCAGTTATCATATCTGGCTAACTTTTTGTATTTTTTGAGAGAGACAAAGACTTGCCATGTTGCCTGGACCTGTCTTAAATGCCTGGACTCACATTATCTGCCTGCCTTGGCCTCCAAAAGTGCTGAGATTACAGGCATTAATATAACATTTATGTTAGGGTTAGATAAAAATCAATCTTTTGGCTAAGTTATGAACATGCATATTATGCAATTATATATGTCTAATTTTCATCATTTTCTATGTCAACATTACTCATTTTAAAGTCATATTCAAGGGGTAAGGCAAAACCGCCTATGAATTGGCATATTTGTTTATTTCTCTGTTTGTGAAAATGTCCATAGTTTTTTCAGAATACAAATAAATTTCAACTCTGTTATGCAAAAAAACAGAATAGAATCTTCTTTGCAATTAATTTTTTTCTTTTATTACTATACTTTAAGTTTTAGGGTACATGTGCACATTGTGCAGGTTAGTTACATATGTATACATGTGCCATGCTGGTGCGCTGCACCCACTAACTCATCATCTAGCATTAGATATATCTCCCAGTGCTATCCCTCCCCCCTCCCCCCACCCCACCACAGTCCCCAGAGTGTGATGTTCCCCTTCCTGTGTCCATGTGATCTCATTGTTCAATTCCGACCTATGAGTGAGAATATGCGGTGTTGGGTTTTTTGTTCTTGCGATAGTTTACTGAGAACAATGATTTCCAATTTCATCCATGTCCCTACAAAGGACATGAACTCATCATTTCTTATGGCTGTATAGTATTCCATGGTGTATATGTGCCACATTTCCTTAATCCAGTCTATCATTGTTGGATATTTGGGTTGGTTCCAAGTCTTTGCTATTGTGAATAATGCCGCAATAAACATATGTGTGCATGTGTCTTTATAGCAGCATGATTTATAGTCCTTTGGGTATATACCCAGTAATGGGATGGCTGGGTCAAATGGTATTTCTAGTTCTAGATCCCTGAGGAATCGCCACGCTGACTTCCACAATGGTTGAACTAGTTTACAGTCCCACCAACAGTGTAAAAGTGTTCCTATTTCTCCACATCCTCTCCAGCACCTGTTGTTTCCTGACTTTTCAATGATTGCCATTCTAACTGGTGTGAGATGGTATCTCATTGTGGTTTTGATTTCTGCGATTAATTTTATAGTTACCTTGCATACAGGGAATGTGCTACCTATAAAAAATATGAACTGAACCACAGGCCTTAAACACTAAAAAAAATTTAAGAGTTTATTCTAATTTATTTTATCCTATAAATCAATTGTATTTATATACAATATAGAAAGTTCACAGCCATCAACAGTTCTACTGCAGTTTCAGGTGAAATGGGAATTTAGGAATTTCTGTGGAACTGTAGGCGCAGTGAAACATTTAGGTAAAATATGTGTATGCCTTTAGCAGCACTTGTGAAGGGACGTCTCTCAAATTAAACTCAATGCATTTCTTCTCAGCAAAATGACCTGGGCCACTCTCCCTGGCTTTCACTGTTGCTGATGTTCATGCATGTTCTCTTTTTATCATTAATTTATGACTCTGAAGATATCCATTTGACATCGTGGCATGAGGGCTTTCAAAACCACTGTAGATTTTCTACTCTTCATCCATTATGTACTTAAGTATTTCTACTTTGACTCCCCAGGAACTTGAGTAGTTTCTGCTTAGCCCATGGACAGTGCAGCCCAGGTCCCAATAAAGCAGCACAGACCCCACTCCAAGGCCACCCCCAACCCCAGCTGCCTGCTCCTGTGTGTTCAAGGGAAGTTGGAGAACATGCAGCTTGTTGTTTTTACAAATAAAATTGTTGTGTTAATTTCATTTTCATATCATTTATTGCTAGTGTATACAAATAGATTTTAGTGTATTGATATATATACTGTATGTTTGTTTAATTTGTTTATTAGATTTTATTATTTCTTGTTGATTTCTTATGATTTTCTGTATATGAGATCATGAGATCCATGAGTAGGTAGTTTTATTTTATTTTTTGACATATGAATGGCTTCATATATATTTTTCTTTTCCAATTATTTCGGATGGAACTTCTAATACAGTATCAAATGCAATGATGAAAGTGAGCATCAGTGCTGTGTTCTTCATCTTAAAGCTTTTGTTCCCAACAATTCAGACGCTGATTGTTATGGGTTTTGTATAAAGACGTGTTATCATGTGAAAGACATTTTAATCACAGTTTATTGGATGTTGTTATCAGTAAACATGTTGACTAACTTTAAGTATTTTCTGTAACAGTTGAGATATACATGTACTGTTTTCCCAGCATTTAATTTACGTGGTATATTGAAGAGGGATGGCTTCAGAATGTTAAAACAAGCCTCAATTTTCTAGAAAAAAAACGTAATCACATAGGTGCATAATGTCTTCCTCGTGTAGTTAATTCCATGTACTATTATTTGGTTACATAATCTAATGTCTCTAATTATCATATTTGTTAACATTTAGTGTTTTGTCCCAGTGACATCATCTGTTTAATTCAATTTTCAATTGGAGTTAAGAGGTAAGGTTAAGTGTACTCTTATGGGCATTAGGGGTTAGAGTCATAGATGATATATTTAAAATTCTTTGAAGGGTGATATGATAATATTAAGAATGGGATAGAAGTTTGGGATTAGGAATAGGGGTTTACAATTGCAGAAAAAAGTTTAGATTGAGGGTTAGATCTGGGGTTGGGTTAGAGGTCAGTGTTGTGGTAGGATTAGGGTTATGATTAGGATTAGGATTAGGGACAGGGTTAAAGTTTAGTGTTATGTTTAGGGCTACAGTTAGAATCAAGATTAGATGTTAGTTTTAGGGTCAGGTTATGTTTAGGTTTAGGGTAAGAAATAGGCCTACAGTTAGAGGTTGTTGTTAGTGTAGGGTTAGGTTCTGGCTTAACTTCATGGTGAGGGTTAGAGTTAGTGCTTAGGGTGAGAGTTAAGGTGACGGTGAGGGTTAGGGTAAGAGGGTTAGTGCATTAGCGTTAGGGTTTGGGTTTAGGGTTTGTGTTAGGATAAGAATAAGGATTCGGTTTAGGGTTTCAGGTTAGCATTAGGGTTAGTGTTTAGGGTGCAGTGTTATTTTTAGGGTTATTGTTTAGCATTTAGGTTAGGGTTAGGGTCACTTTAGGGTTAGGATGAGGGGTTAGTGTTTGGCCTAGTGTTAAGCTTTAGGGTTAGCGTTAGGGTGGGTTTAGTTTTAGGGTTAGAGTTCAGGGTTACAGTTGGGATTGGGTTTATTATATGTGATTATAGTTAGCATTTAAGTTTTAGTGTTAGAGCTATGGTTGCAGTTGCATTTGAGGTTGTGGGTTAGAGTTAGGGTTAGGGTTAGTGTCAGGATTAAGTTTAGGGATATGGTCAGCATATTTTTAGAATTAGGGTTGGGGTAGGAATTTGGATTAGGGATGTTGGTTATGTGTTATGCTTATGTTTTTAAGGTTAGAATTTTAATTTTCAGGTTAGAGTTAAGGGTGCTTTTAGGGTTAGGTTTGAAGGAGATTTAGGGGTCAGAGTTAGAGTTAGGGGTTAGGGTTCAGTGTTTAGAGGTAGTGTTAGAGTTAGGGTTTGGTTTAGTATTTCTGTTAGTGTTTTTCTGAGTGTTATGTTTAAGGGTAGATTTAGGGTTTGGGGTAGATTTAGGGTTAGGGGTAGGTGTAGGTGTATGTTTAGGGTTATGGGTTGCGGTAGGGTTATATTTATGGATAGGGATATGTTTTGTTAATGGTTCAGGTTGGGTTTATGTGGAGATTAGGGTTAGGGCTTGAGGGTTATTGTTAGTGTTTTAGTGTTAGTAATAGGGGTTATATTTAGGGTTAGACATCTTTTTCACCCATCTTCACCCGACTAATCAGCACTCTCTTTCTGACTTCTGAGGTTCATATGCATTCCATACGTATTTAGATTATTTGTTTATTTGTTTGTTTGTTTATATATGTTTGTTTATTTATTTATTGGAGACGGAGTTTCACTCTTGTTGACGTGACTGGAGTAGTATGGTTTGACCTCAACTCACACAACCTCCGCCTCCCAGGTTGAAGCGATTATCCTACCTCAGCTCCTGAGTAGCTGAGATTAAAGGCATCCACCATCACACCTAACTAATTTTGTATTTTTATTAGAGACACGGTTTCTCCATGTTTGTCAGGCTGGTCTCAAACTTTCAACTGCAAGTGATCCATCTGCCTTGGCCTCCTGAATTGCTGGTATTATAGACAAAAGCCACCATGCCCTGCATCAGACTTTGAAATAACCTGACTTAAAGTGGATCTACCAACAATGTGCCACCTCTTCACTGTGAGTTGTACACTTCTTGGGATTGCACGGCTGCAAATGGATATGTCTTCTCCAAACTTAAAGCTGCAGATACATCTCAACAACCTTCCTGCAGATAGACGCTACCCACTCTGAAACTTCTCTCCACTGAAGCCTTCAGTGATGTTTTAACAACCTGCTTCTTCATCTTGTCTCTCTTGGCCCTGTCTTCACTGAGTGTTGCAGAGATGCAGGTATTTCCTGTTTTTGAAATGGACTTACCCACTTTCTGTCTCCTGAAAGCTGCGCCATCACTCAATAAAGCATCTATTTACCCTAATTATTCTCCTGTTTTCCACATACATAATTCTCCCTGGATATGCATCAAGAATTCAAGACCCACTTAATGGAGAACCTGAAGATTAGTAACAGAAACAAGGCTGAAACACAGAAACCCACACTTAACATCAACACAGATTCTATTCCTTGTGCTGAGACTCAGATTTTTTTCGGCACACCACACTCTCTCATTGACCTGTTTTAACTTCATCTTTAACTTTACAGTAAATAAGGGCATTACTTTTCTCTAGCACAACTGAATTATATGAGGCAAAGTCCTTAATTTGAGTCATAACCACTTGGGGGAAAAGTTGCAGTCCAAGACACCTGAGAGACCAGGTCTCTGGCACATGCCTCCCATGCTTTCAGCTTTCTCCCACCAATCAACATTACATTGGCCTATGCTTCACCCATCATCTTGGGAAATTTAATGGTAAAACAGCAACCTGGACTCTGTCCAAAGGTCATAGAAGCAGTTTAAAACCAAGCCTTTTTGTTAGCCTAAACCAAATCACAAAGAGGAAGTATGGATGCATCTAGTCAAATGGCTGGGCTATTGGCTGATACAACAATAGGCTTCTTAAACTGAATGAAACTATTCACAATGTTCTTTACAGTATCCACTCTTTCAATGCTTTCTCTGTTTCTGTCATTTCTTAAATGCAAACAAAATCAAGACCTCAGCAAGGGACGCAGCCATCTGCACTAGGCAGCATAAGCTTCCTGTCATCTGCAGCAGCCCTATACAGAGCATTCTTGATTTTTTTTCATTACTTCAATATTTAGTGAGTTGTTCTCTGTCAATCTCATTGATAGCACTTTCTGGGTAAAGCCATCATTTTCCCTCACCAAAATGTTTCTGAGTCTACTGGCACTTTCTATTAGCCTTATGGTTAAATACATCCTTTTGATAAAAGGCTGGTCTTTTTCATCATCAATAATCTCTCTTTTCCCCCCTCTCATGCTTGGAACAAATGTATGGATGTTTTTTTCTTCCATTGGCTGTTTATGGAATTGCTAATACCAGTGTACCTTCCTTGTTAGCTGAGCCCGTAACCATGGAAGCAGTAACCGAGCCAGACCCCTGAGACATTAGTGGGTGTATCTTGCACCTGTTCTCTTCTCCAGTCTGTTCTGCATCAGGATATTTATCTTTACCTTAATCTTTGTTTATTTGTACTGCTGTTCGATGTCCTTTCATTTTACCCTGGAATAATACATAAGGCATTTATTAAATGGTTGTCTACTGGCAAAAGAATGTGGCTTTTATTTAGGAATTTCATAATTTCTCCCTCATTTTTGATGGACACTTTGTTTAAACATAACATTTGTTTGAATTTTTTTTTCTTACTGCATTTGGAATATATGAGTCTACCCTGAGTTTTCAGATAAGAAATTCCCTGATTATTTATGAGGGGTTCTTTCATACATTACTGGTCAAAATTTCTTTGGCTGCTTTCAAGATTCTCTTTGTCTTTATTTTAGACAGTTTAACTATCATGTATGTTTGAATGTGCCTCTTTGAGTTTATTTTACTTGGAGTTTGTTCAGTTTCTTCGGTATTTATTATCTTAAATTTGTGACAGGTTTGACCACATTTTTTTAGTCTCCCTATTTCTTTGTTTCTTTTCCTTGAACTTCCAAAATGGATAAGTGGGTCTGCTTGATGGTGTCACACTGGTTTCTAGACTGTTTTCACATTTATTTATTTATTTTTTCTCTTCCTGACTTAATAATTTCAATTGCCCCTTTTATTCGATTTGGTGACATTTTCTTCTGTATGCTCAAGTCTCCTTTTAAATGTCTGTAGTACTTATTTAGTTAGTTATTTATACAATTTTTTTTGAGATGGAGTCTTGCTTTGTCACCAGGCTGGAGTACAGTGCACAATCTTGGCTCACTGCAACCTCTGCCTCTCGGGTTCAACTGATTCTCCTGCCTCAGTCTCTTGAGTAGCTGGAACTATAGATACGTGTCACCACACCCAGCTAATTTGTGTGTTTTTAGTAAAGATGGGGTTTCATCATGTTGGCTTGGATAGTCACAACTTCTTGACCTTATGATCTGTACCTTGGCATCCCAAAGTGCTGGAATTGCAGGCCTCTAGTCAATTTTAATGTCAATTGTTTTATTTTTCATCTCCAGAATTTTTTTTTTTCTGAGAGCCACTGGAACTGGCCCAGAATTTTTTTTTTTTATGTTTGAAAATAAGTTGTCATGCTTTTCCAAGAAACTGTATTATTTTAGTTTCAATCTCGTTTCTTTGAACCTAAAGTAAGACTTGCATAGAAATCACGAGTGAATTGTTCTTTTAAAGGTGCATTTGTGCCAGTCTGTGTGTTTTTATGTAAGAGCTCACATTTAAAGTTATTACAAGTAAAAAATTACTCTGACATTTTACTTTTTTTCTATATGTTCTTTATTTTATTGGATCCTCAATTTCTCCTTTGTCCATTAAAAAATGTTAACTTTTTAAAACTTTTTTCTGTATTTTTATGTTATAATTCATTATATTTGGGACTTTAATTGTATTCTAAACTTAATAGAGCCTTCTTTGAATAATATTAACTTATTTGAATAATCTAAATTTTAATTTCAACAATATAAATATATGCTGCTCTTGTACTTTTCTTTCTCAGTTTATATTATTGTCTCAGATTTTATCTGCACACACTGAGTGTCCATTAAAGTAAATTTGTAATTTTTTATGTAATAGCTGCCTACCAGAGCTGTAATAGTAATAGCTAACTTTGCCAGAATTGTAATAGTAATAGCATTTCTTTTTTTTTTAGAGAAAGGTTAACCATACATTGAATACATTCCATTAGCATTATGAATAAGAGTGATATATAAACTATTATTTTTTAAATACTGGATCTGTATTAACAAATCTGTTATATTGTCTATTGTAGGAAATAACTGTATTCTTTGCTTTCAACAACTTAAAATTTTGTTTGTGACCAATTCCTGGCATTTTCAACCAAGAGTGACTTCTGAGTTTGGCAAAACAGTAATAAATATGTTTCATCAATTGTTTATTTATCTTCTAGAAAGACTAGAACAAACACAATAAATTAACACACAAGTGCTTCTTCACTCCTCCCAGAATTAGGAACCAGGGTTTAAAATGGAAAATGTGGATTTCAATTTTGAAGGCTTCATCTGTGCCTGGGAGGCAGTATGGCAATCTAAAAAAAATTTACTACTTTAAAATTGTCTCTTTGGATGGATTCCTTGGTTGATACAAACAATTGATTTACAGGGTTCAGACAGTGTTTGATTGGTGTGATGTTTCTTTGAATGGTTCAAAGCTGCCAGGCCTGCAGTTTTGCCTGCGTTTTTATTTGGGAAGCACTGATTGTTTTGTAATCTCAGAGTTTATTTTTATTTAGGAGATCTATGTTTTTGTCCCATGAAAATGTTGTTTAAAACACTTAAATTGAAAGTTACACTTTTAATTTATGTTTCCAGTTGTTAGGTTTTTGTTTTAGTGGTTACGGTATGAAGTTTGTTGTTTGCTTTCTATTAATTGATATTATCAATTTAGTATAAAGGGCAAGGGGCAATATTCTCTTATGTAGTACATCTTGGTTTTATGTAAAACATGTATATATGTAACAAACCTGCACGTTGTGCACATGTACCCGAAAACTTAAAGTATAATAAAAAATAAAAACAAACAAAAAGTATAAAATAATTTGTTTCCAAAGTGACTTTCAAGTACATATCTAAATAAAACAATAAGGGAATAATTATGTAAGCATGCAGCAAGATCTACAAGTGTGATGATCTCTGGCAGAAGCCTGTATAAACAGTTTGAAAAACGACCAGGTCACTGTGGATGGAGCAGACTGTGGAAGGAGCAGACTGTGGAAGGAAAACGATTGCAGACAATGAGCTCATGGGGGTAACACAAAGTCCATGTGATTGTCTAGGGTTTCTACAGGTCAGTAGATTTTACTTGAGTTTTACTCTAAGCCAAGTTCATGACTGGAAGTGGAATTGGTAAGGTTGTTACTAGCATCTAGTGCCAAGAGGCTAGAAATGCTGTTGAATATCTTAAAATCTAGTGTCAGGCACCTTTGAGCAATTAACAGTATTGAACCATCTCTCCAGAAAATTGTAAACAAAAAAATAGGAGCACACTTTTAGAACAATTTGATTTTATATATTCACAGTCACTTAACTCAAAATCCCTGGTTTCTGTAAATCGGAAGGATTTTAAGAAGCTCTTTTAAAGTTCAGTTGATTCAAGTTAGGGTAAGCGTTAGTAAAGTAAAGTCAGTTCAGTTAATCAATAATTAGAAATTAAACTATAGGCCGGGTGCGGTGGCTCACGCCTGTAATCCCAGCACTTTGGGAGGCCAAGGCTGTCCAATCACCAGGTCAGGAGATGGAGACCATCCAGGCTAACTTGGTGAAACCCCGTCTCTACTAAAAATACAAAAAAAAAAAAAAGAAAAAAAATTAGCTGGACATGGTGGCGGGAGCCAGTAGTCCCAGCTCCTCCGGAAGCTGAGGCAGAATGGCGGGAACACCCGGGAGGCAGAGTTTGCAGCAAGCTGAGATCGCGCCACTGCACTCCAGCCTGGGCAACAGAGCGAGACTCCGTTTCCAAAAAAACAAATAAAAACAAAAAGGTAAACTAAATATTTCCTTTTTCTCCCCTTTTCTTTTCCATTATTTTTAAATATTTATGTAAAACGCTAATATAGCAAAATAAAACCCTAGGCACACTCTATTTTTGAGATACCATGGAGAAAACTGAATCAAAGCCTTTTGGGATAGAGCTAATCCGGAATACGACTGGAAGGCATACAGAATACAGATGCACACATGTGCATTGGTACACTACATTATGCATACCCATCGAGCGTAATGATTGCCATAAGACAAATATTAAATGTCTCTTATGACAGAAAAGTTGTGAAGATTTTACAATAACCAAGCCAAATGAAAACCAAGATTTCAAGGATTATAGCCAGGGCTAGATAATTCTAGGTGTTGAGTAGAATGAATACTCAAGCATCTTCTAGGGGAGGCCATCACTGTTGCCATAACCAGCGCAGGGATTATCTCTACAGACACAGGTGGAAGGGCTCATGGCAGCATGAACTTCGTTTTTCCTGGATGCAGGAAAATAATATGAGATCACCTGAATGGCAGGGCTGAATGACCTGGAACACAAACGGGTAGAAAACATTCCCCTTGCTTATCACATTGTGGTAGACAAAAATAAAACGAGAGCTGTGGCCCTTCAGGGCGCACAGACCAGGGAGCTCTCAAAGCCAGGGAGGGCTGTCACACCTTCCTTGGGGCTTTGCCTTTTCTGGCATCTGCAAGCTTCTGGGCATCACTACATTCCCCAGTATCAGCTGTGGAGGCTGCTTGCAGTAGGCCTGGCCCAGTTGCAGCTTTTCAGTGATCTAGCAGTTCTGTTGGCACCTAAAACTTCCTGACCTGACACAGCTGGCATGACTGACCATGTCTAGAGGCTGGAAGCCACACTTGCTCATACACCTCTCACCACTCATCCATGTTTGCCCTTGGCAGGTGATAACTCCAGTAACTCCAGCTGGGTGTAGCCTGCCAGGTAGTGTGGGTAGAACAAATTTAGCAGGCTTGATTAAAGCTCAGGGAAAGCCCCACTGGCCACAGAGGATTTCATCTGACAAAGTGACTCCCCTAAAATCCCATTGCAAAAGCAGCATAGCTGGTTGTGTTTAAATGACTTACTTCTTTTAGTTCTTGAAATACTGAAAATTCAGTGTCCTACATTTTGGATTTTTTTAACCTTATTTGGAAATGATTATATTTCAAAATTTTTACAAAATCAAATTTGAAAGATTATTATTTGCATGGAACCACCTGATCCATCTTATGTATACTGCATTTTTTTTTAAAGACGGACTTTCACTTTTGTAGTCCATGCTGGAGTGCAATGGCATGGTCTCAGCTCAGTGCACCTCTGCCTCCCAAGCAGCTGGGATTACAGGCACCCACCATGGTGCCTAGCATGGCATTGGGCTTCAGATTAGCATTCTTTTAGTAGATTATGAAGCTTGCTTATGAAACAGTATTTCTAATTCCTGGACTTTGACATTTTGTACTTATGTAGTTTCTGTTTGGGAGGCACTTTTGCTGGGCATTGTAAGATGATGAGCGCATTTCTGGCATTTTCTGTTAAATGCAATAGTAACATCATTTTTCTGTGGTTGAAATACCCTAATACGTTTGTGTCTCATGGAATCTAAATTGTTGACATTTACTATTCTAGAGAGTTCTGAAGAATAAATTAAAAACCACTTTTTAAAATGTTGCAGATGCCAGGAGGGGTGGTTCACACCTGTAATCCCAGCACCTTGGGAGGCTGAGGCAGTAGGATCACCTGACGTTAGGAGTTCTAGACCAGCCTGGTCAATAGGGTGAAACCTCTTTTTCACTAAAATTACACACACGCACGCGCGCGCGCGCGCACACACACACACACACACACACACACACACATAGAGAAAGAAAAATTAGGTGGGCATGGTGGTGGACAGCTGGAATCCCGGCTACTTGGGATATTGAGGCAGGAAAATTGCTTAAATCCAGGAGGTGGAGGTTGCAGTGAGCTGAGATCACACCATTGCACTGCAGCCTGTATGACAAGAGCAAAGCTCTGTCTTAAAAAAAAAATTGCTGAAATTTTATATGAGATCTCATTTTTCTCTAACTTTTGGCTATTCTGCCATCCTGACATTTTCTCTAACTTGCTGCTGTTCTAACATTCTGTCATTTGTGAAATAAACCAGGATGTCCTGCATGTACTGTGGAACTTAATATAAAACAAAATTAAATTAATTAAATAAAAATAAAACTTTTTTTTCTGGATGTGGGGTTGTAGTAACTTTGAAATGTGTGCACACTTTATTTAAAACATTTTGTAATTAAAAATCAGAGTTGTCACAAACTGCATTGAAAAGTTAAATAAGTAGTACATCTCAATTTTTAATTGATTGAATTTGTTTTCTTTTATTTTTAGAATGATATCTCACATTGCCTCTTTGGCTGGAGTGCACTGGTGCAATCTTAGCACACTGCAGCACCCTGCTTCCCAGCTTCAAGTATTTATTCTTCCTCGGCTTCTTGAATAGCTGAGATTACAGGTGTGCACCACCACACCTCATGTGTTTTTACCATATTGGTCATGCTTGTCTCAATATTCAGACCTCAAGTACTCTGCCTGCCTTGGCTTCCAAAAGTACTGGAATTACATGTGTGAATCGCCATGCCTGGCCCCTGATTGAATTTCTAATTGAATAAAAAAGTCCATCTTGCAAAACCTTATTTTCTACATCATATTTTTGATGAGTTTCTTTATATGTCTCATAATTCAAGAAAAATAATATAATTTTAATGTATTATACTTGGAAATTAATTTATTTTTATTAATATGTAACTAAAATAGTAGGTATATTTAGAATGTTATTTTGCTTTGGTGTAAAGTTCTGAAGTTTTAGAAATTTCTGTAAAAATCTAATTTGGATAATTAGTTACATTAGTTGATTGCACTCAGTTTTTTTTCCTCAGGATTTTCTTTTGTAAGAAAATTCAAAATTGTTTCAAGATACATTGAGATGTTTAATTATGTGAAATAGACTTAAAGGTATTTTCTTTGAAAATAAAGTTTTTATAACCTGTCTTTTCTACTAATAATATGTGATTACTTCTTCTAACTTACTAGAAATTAATTCGTTTTCATCTTGCCTTCATCTAAAGTTCACCTGCAATACATAAGAAGTGAATAACTGCTAGCAGAGAAGGCTGTTCTTGTCTGTAACTGACCCACTACCATCAACCCTGGTTTTGAGCTGCTTGCAGCACCAGCTATTGGCTGTGTAAAAAATCTCACAATGATGCTAGACTGTTTGACTGAAACATATTACAAAGACAAAGCAATAACTAGTGAATATTTTAAATTATAAAGCAGTTTTTGTTCATTAATCACACTTTAGTTTAAAATTCTATTATTTCATTTGCAAAAATTAACTTATGGGTTTTTTCTTTTTGATTAACTAGTTTACCATTTTGTAGCCATCAGGTATATAATTAAAACCATGTAAGTAAGAGAACATTATTTTTCAAAATAAGCATGTATTTCTTAACTTCTCTCCTATAGCTGGTTTTGGTAATTTACCACAGTGGGTTTTATTTAGTTGTATGTGAAAAAAAAATACTAACCCTTTAGAATAACAAGAAGCCAAATTTAATGCTACAAAAACTTTATATTTAAACTGTATGCATTAAAAAGATTTTCATAACCCAAACTTTGAAGTTGTTTCATGGTATTTTAGTTATATTATAAGAGAGGTATTGTTTTAAAAATCATAATGTGAGAAGAGAACATTTGAGTGCATTTTATTACTTTTAAATGTCCATATTAGTTAAGCAAAATAGGTAGCAATGTTGAAATCTTACACAAAACTGAAACTCAGACTGGGAGCCAATGTAAGTAAATTAACAAGTAATAACATGAAATTTAGTTGATTTCAAGAGAAATCTGAGGGTTAAGTACATAATTAACAACAGCATTCTGTACAGATATTTAATTGGAAAATGTGAAATTATATTTATGTTTTTCTCTGTGTGAGTATATTTTTTAGTACATTGTAGGAGTTTCTAGCTAAACTCATTACTTAAAAGGTCAGATCATTCTGTGTCCTGTGGGATCTATGTAGAGAGAAGAGTTTCCTTTTTGAAAACACTTTTTTTTTTTTGTTAATTTGTTTAACTATTGTATTGGAATAGTAAATTTGTATTTTCAAAAGAGATTTTTTAAAATAAACAGTATTGTTGTTAAACTAGCCAATGTTTTCTTGTGATTAATATATATTTTCAAATATACAAGAGGACATGCACTAAAAACTATTATCTTGCCACCAATATTATATTTCTGGTACAGAGATTTTCTTTGAGATATATGCACATCTTCATACAATTAGCTATTTTTTTTTCTTACAGAAATGATCATATTTCTGATCAAAGTAAAAAAATCTTTTGAAAATATATATTTACTATTCTAATACAATAGTTAAACAAATTAACAAAAAAAAGTGTTTTCAAAAAGGAAACTCTTCTCTCTACATAGATCCCACAGGACACAGAATGATCTGACTTTTTAAGTAATGAGTTTATATACAATATGGTTAACCTTGTTTTGTACTTAGTCACACGCCTGTCAATACAACAAGATCTATTTAATTCTGTTTTGTAGCTACATAACTTGCAGTTCAATGTGCTCTAATTTATGTAATCCATCTCTAAGTTGGATTTATGTGTAAGTCATATTCAGTTTTACAAAAAGTAGCATTTACAATTTTCACAGGTATTTTAAAGACAACTTCTAATTGACTTCTTCTCACAATAAAACTATGAACATAGATAAAACAATTATCACTATTAGCTGAGGAAGAAAGTGATATTTATGTGAAGATTATAGTTTTTATGAGTCAGAACAATAATGTAAATGTAGTGCTCAATTAAAACTGAGAAAACTCTAAAGTTCTATTTATGTAAAGATCTGATTAAAATGTATTGAATACATTTAAGTGCAAAAGTTTTTTAATATGTAAATTTGTAATGATTAATGCTAAGTCTGTGTAACACATTAGAATTTAATATTATACCATCATGCATGACCTTTTCTAAGAAAATTGTTACAGAAGCAATGTCATTAAAAATGTGGACTTAAGAAGTCTGTGGTTAATAATTCTGTGATCCAGCAACTATACATAATCCCAGTCATCAGAAACAGTATTTCTACAATTGAAAACACAGTTAGTGATGAACTCGATGATCGTTCAAAGATGAGAAACAAAATTGTGAAGTAAGTTTTAATTATCATTTTTTGAATATTCTCATAGTAGATACTGTTGTTCTTCCTCAAATTAGTATAGTTTCATGAGGTTTTATCAGGACTGCATTTTGATGATATGGCTATAATATCTGAGATACTATGACTGGCATATTTATTGTGATCACTATCTAGTAAGTTGAAATTTTAGTTAATAATATTTATCAATGTTTTTTGTTGTTTTCAAAGCATGGTTGATATAATCACATTTGCACAACATGGTAAATGCAATTCATTCTTTGGATAATGAGAAATTTTTGTTTTTAATAATTATATTTTCATCTTGTTTTATAAAGTAGGCTTTTTTACTGTTCTATCTGTGTTATATAAGTTGTGCTTATTTTTAGGATTCTCTAAATATTTTTCTCAAATTAGGGTTTTTTCTGCTAAGGAAAAAAATTGATTTTCAGATAATGCTACATGGACCTGTTAGCAACATGACGTAACTATTACAATCAGGCTGCTAAGGGTATAAATCATCTGGTTGAAAATAAAAAGTATCTGGTTGAAAATAAAGCAGCAAAAATATTAGGTTTTAGTGGCAGATTACATATTTAAGATATAGCTATTAAATAAGTGAATACCAAAAACTTGAATTTTGGAAATGTTTGTACTCAAGTAGTTCCTTTACTTTTTGCATAGGTATTGATAGAAACTAAATAAAGAAATTAGAATATTTTAATTGTAATAAATCTTAAATTTCTACATTTCTCTTCCTCAGTGATCAGAAATAGTTTGGTTTTCAAATAGCATCTCAGCATTTATCATTTATGGAGATTAAAAACACACTTGCCTCTCCCTTTCTAGATCTGATAGATCACACCACGCAGGCATTAAAACCTTGGTAGCATTTCTTTTAGTAGAATGTCCATATGGGACGTTCGCTAACACTTGGTTAATAGTCACTAATAAACAACAACAACAACAAAAAGTAAAATTTAGTTCCTTGTACTGTAATCAGTTTTACCCCTAGGGTTTTGAATTTAAAACAGATAGAGATGGTTAATTACACTGGCAAGAAGTGAATGAGGCAGACAGAATATAAAATTCAAATTAAATCCCCACCTTTGTGCTTCATTGCTTGTGCTTTATGATGTCTTAGCGCTTTACTGTGGCTGCATGTCTGCCTAGCTGCTTTTTCTATACAATGAACTTCATCAGGGCACAAACTGGATATTGTTCATTATTGTATCAAAAACCTCAGATGTAGAGAAAAACATACAGAAACATGAGAGATATGTGTAAAACAACTGTATTTTGCTCTGTAGCTATAAGGAAATTATGACCTTTGGCGTTCCTGTGTGTGCTCTCATTCCTTCCACAACTACTCTTAATAGCTGTACTTATTGTGCAGTAATAATTCCAAATACATCACATAAATTATATCATGAAATCTGTAAAAATGCATTAAAATCACAAGAAGACACTGAATTCTAGGAGAACAAAGTATCTTATTCCTCATATGGCAGAGCACTGATTTGTTTTTAATCTGTCTACTCAACAACACTGTAGTATATTTTATTACCTGCAATATATGCTATTGTTTTATTATTGCTAAGGATAATTTTTCTGTGATCTCTTTCTGATGGTCCCCCTGTGAAATAATCACTAATCCTAAACATTAAAAACAATAAGTTCTTTGAAAATAATATTAAAACATGCATATCATCTTATTAACTAAGTTTTGGTATTTATTTCAACTTCTTTTATTATATTTTAACGTTAGATTAGTGCATCACCAATGTATTTTGGTTTCTATAGCAATGCTCATCTCCAAAATGATGTACGTAGTTAACGTCATAAATTTAAAGATGAGCCCACATTAAACAAGATAGAAGATAGGAAAGAGAACAATATTCGTGTCCAAAGACACCTTCAAGCCTCTTTTACATTTAGTTGCCTTCTGACTAAAATACTATGTACTGAAAATTTTTTGGAAACACTTCAGGTAAATTATGGGTGATTTATCAATTTAATTTTGATAAAATCGTCTGTACATTAAATTTTTTAAATAGATCTTTAAAATACATAGTTTATTTGGCATGTAATATTTAAAAAATAGTAATATCCTAGCTGCATTTCTTGATCATTTTTATTATTGTCATACTAATAGAAAAAGGTTAAAATTGTCACAGCAAAGACAGGCCACTGTATTCTTTCATCTCTTAAGGTATAATTGACTTCTTATAGGAAGATTTGTAATCTATATAATCAAAATATTAAAATGAAGTCATCTCCTTGATTTAACAGTTCTCAAATGAAGCAAATGTCAAGTACATTTTTTAAGTGTACAGATATTTTAATACATCCCTAAAGTTTTTTCAAAAATATATGACCAGGGTACTGTTATCACACATAATACAAATTATTTTACAACCTTGGGCAACGTAGAAAACCCTGCCTCTATGAAAACAAAACAAAAATTATTCAGGTGTGGATATATGAGCCTGTAGTATCAGCTACTTGGAAAGATAAAATACCATTTATTTGACTAACTTTGATATTTGATTACACTTTCCTCATTATACTGTTCAATTTAGACTAGCACATCAATGATGTCTTTTAGTTTCTAGAGTAATGTTTATGCCTGAGATTATGTATAATAATCACCTCAGAAATCCATATTACTCATCATCAAATAAGCATTTTTATTATCAAATAAACCTTTTAATCACTGACAAAAAAGTACTGCTTCCTAGTCCTGCAAGATAAAATATATATGATATACTTTTATATAAATATATAATCTATAACTTCATGTAATATACACATAATTTTTGCAAGCCTGAATGTAATCTCATAGATTTTGAGCCTCTTACAAAAGTGACCAATAACACTTGGTCCGTGTTTAGATTTGAAAAATCTCAACTAGGCCAGGCCCTGTCACTCACATGGATAGCCTTAGCACTTTGGGAAGCCAAGGGAGTCAGATTACTTGATTTCAGGAGTTCAAAACCAGCCTGTGCAACATGGTGATATCCCATCTCTACTAAGATGCAATAAATTAGCTGAGTGTAATTGTCTGCACTAGTCCCATCTACCCGGGACACTAAGGCGAAAACATCACCTGAGCTGTAACCGTGTTGCTGCATTGCAGACTGAGTAATGAAGAGAAGCTGTGCCACACAAACACACACAACCACACATGCACACAAAACCACACACACACACAGAGAAAGAGTTTAGTGTTCTTTCAAGAAGGTATTTCTTAGATAGCTCAGAGGTAGGAAGAAAAAGGGATCTTCTGATTTCTGGGCTGTCTTCTGTTTTACTCACAGTAGTTCCCTTTCTATGTATTAGCATATCACTTAGATTTCCTTTAAAAGTCTTTAGTGCACGTGTAATTAACTGACTGCCCATTATAGCTTTCAGTAAAAGTTTCCAAATTTCATAGCTAAACTGTAAACCTAGGTTATAAATATGATTTGCATATATAATTCTAATTTACATATTTCAATTCTTTATCTGCACACGTCCCTCACTCTCATTTTTTCTTGTGTCAACAATTTATTTTCATTAGCTTTCTCTACTCAAAACATTTCTTTTTCTGCAATCTAGTCAACATTTCTGTTCTTGTTCTCTCAAATTATTATAACTCTTTGAGCTTCTGTCTTCAAAACTTTCACTCAATAATTTATGTGTGCATGCATCTATATGTGATCATCTGCTATCACTTGGCACCAGGGCCTGTTTTTGTGAAAGACAAGATTTTCATCAACTGGGGTTGTGGAGACAGTTTTTGGAAGATTTGAGTACCCTCCATTGATTTTGCGCTTTATTTGTCTTATTATTACATTATAATATTTAACAAAATAATTATACATCTCACCATAATGTAGACTCAGTGGGAGCCCTAAACTTATTTTCCTGTAGCTAGATGGTTCTATCTGTGGGTGATGGGAGACTGTTGCAGGTGATCAGTTGTTTTGATTCTTATAAAGAGTGCAAAACGTAAATTTCTCTCAAGTGCAGTAAATAGTAGTTCCCTCGCTTCTATAAAAATCGGATGCTGCCACTGATCTTCAGAAAGCGGATCTCAGGCAGTACTGTGAACCATACTTAGTGTTTTAAATAGAGATAAGGTTTCCATGCTTGGCCACCACTCACCTGTTGATGTGTAGCCCCAGTTCATAACAAGACGCAGATGGATACTGATTAGGGAAACCCCAGCTCAAGCCAAAGAGTTTGAGACCACAGTGAACTGGAATTGTGCCACTGCATTTTAGCTTCAGTGACAAAGAACCTGTCTTCACAAATAAAAGTAAAAAATACATTTTATAATTTGTATTTTAAATAATATCTTTTGATACAAATGTGAGAAATCTTTTACAACTTTAAATGTGGACATGAACAGTCTTCAAAATCTTCTTCATTCTTTGGAACAGTGTATCAAATTGAATGTGCAAATGCACATCATTGTAAAATGTGATAAAAAGTTTGTTTTGTTCAGTTTTGAAAAAAATAATTATCTCATTGAAAACAACCAGAAGACAATTAGAAGTGTTTGTGCTCATCCACAAAATTAACTTCTGCTTTCTCTTTAGTATTTGCACGGTATCAGAGAGGTAGTCAAGATGATAACTGGCTTAAAGGAGAATGTTATTGACAAAATCGAATGACTGACTAGGAAAAAAAAAGTTATTCTCATTAGGTGAATAATTTGAGATGTAAAATAATCTCCCAGATTGTTTTCATCTCTACTCTAAAATAAATTGCATTTTAATGATTGAATCTTGAAGAGTTGGTAGAAGAAAGCATTATTCTTTTTCTACTATAAAAATCTCTTGAAGCAAAAATGTTCCTTCATTTTATGGGCTTCCAACAGATTTTAACGACCACTTGTAGTTTCACAAACAGGTCTCTTTCTTTAGGCCTAACCAGCTAATTTTATTTCTTCGCAATTTGACTAGGATATATAATGGTAAAATGTCTTTGAAGATATTATATATTAAATGACAGGTATGTCTTTCTTGACCTTCATAACATCTCACCTCCAAGCTGTCTGCATTATCTTGCACTTAGCTGCCATTTAAATTGTGGTTTATTTTTAACAGCATACTGCCTGCTATTTTCACCTCTGAGACTTGGAACAATTTCTTTTCACCCTGCCTGCCACTCTTAATTCACACCGTTTAAAGTATTATGTATAGGTTTTACCTTTTTATAAGACAGAGAGTCCAGCTTTGCCAACAGGGTGAAGCCCCATCTCTACTAAAAATATGAAAATTAGCCAGGTGTGGCGGCAGATGCCTGTAATACTAGCTACTGGGGAGGCTGGGACAGGTGAATCGCTTGAATCTGGGAGGTCTAGGTTGCAGTGAGCCTAGATCCTGCCATTGCACTGCATTCTAGGTGAAGAGAGTGAAACTGTCACACAAAAAGAAAGGACAGTGAGGATTAAATTTATTAATATGTGTGCAGCTCTTAGTGTATTACCTTGACTTTAAGCACTATAAGTATTAACTGCTATCATTATTGCTTACTTTGTATCTTCAGTTTGCTCACACCAAATTCTGCTTAATTGCATAAAAGAAAATATTAGAGAAGTAACACAGATAGTAGTGGCTATATGGAACCACATAGCCATCACTCTCTGTGTCAGTAATGTTTTCTGATTTGCAACAAATAAGAGACCTTTTGCATATAAAGGTTCTGCAAACAGATTTCCCTAGACATATATTAAAGTGTTTGAAAACAAAAACAAAAAAATCAATACTATGGTAAAATGTAACAAATTTAAAGTCATTAGAGTAAAATATCTGTCTACATAGCATTTACATTTTATTAATTATTTATGTAGAGATAAAGTAAACTACACAGGAGGATGGGTGTGCATTATACTTACCTACTGCATCATTATAAAGCAGAAGCTTGAGCAGACATACATTTTGGTATTTGAGATGTTTCTGGAGCCAATCCCCTACAGATACCAAAGGATTGCTATATATAAATATGTTAAGCTTTGATAAGAAAGTATTGCTTAAGTTAGTTATGGCATAATTACCATGATGATGTTAATGATTATTTACTTACCTTTTTATAAATAAATTAAAAAGATTATAAGCTTTAAAATTATCATTACATTGTTTTTGATATTTGCTGGGGAAATGAGAACATTTGTACATGGGGACACATTCTCTGTTTATGGTATGGTAACACAATTAAGCACTTGCTATTTAAATAATTTCCTTTTTTTGTTTTGTTTTGCAATTACCTATGCTCCTGTCACCAATCTAGTAAGTGTGTGTGTCAGGGAGAAAATTACATTTATTTCTGGGATTGAGGACATTATTTTCTTGTTTATTTAAATCATGCTGAAGGGATGAGATTTTTGCAGCTGACACTGTGTAAGTTAGCAGTGTATATTTGATTTTCAATGGATACATTTCTCAGACTGGGAAGGAAGCACTTTTGGTCAGATTTTTTGTTGGTTGCTAGGAGACCAAAATCCTCTTGTGATGTCATTGCTACTCACCTTGGGAACATCGTGATGGTCTAGATTTCTTTACCTGCCTAGGCCTTCTGAAGCAGCATTTGAAGCCACAGTCTTGAAAACCATGCAGGCTGGAAGAGTAGCTAAAGAAATGTTTATTTGAGATGGCACATGTTTCTTCAGAAATTCAAGATGTTTCTCCCAAAGATTAGTTAACTGGTTCAGAAGCCTCCAGTAGGTCTCCGTTGCGACAGAATTTTCAAAGATCTGCCTTTCTAGCCACCTTTCTGGCAGAAGAGAAAGAATCCGATGCCTTAAGCAAAGCATTTAACATATTTCAGTTACCACTCTATGTAAAGTATGTATGTAATTTTACTTTGAACATCAGTAAATATGTTAATACATGCAACAAGACCAGATGTTGAAAATTATATAAAATATTAAGGTAGAAATTATTTATTTTTTTGAAATTATTGAGTTCAGCTTGAGCATCAACCTTTCAGAGTTTTCAGAAATGTTGCTAAAACTTTGAATCTTACCAGTGAACTCCAAATAAATGTATCAAAGCCACTTAATGTAATGTTGCTATTAATATATAACATGTTTTCACCTGAGGGCTTAACAATTTGAGTGCTTTTTTTTCCCAACAAGCACTTTCTTAAAAATAGCAAATAATGTTCATGAATTATTTGATGTCATTAAGTTTGTGTGACGAAAGAGAAATCTGATATTTTATGTGTTATGTTTGTTATTGTCACTTGTCTCCCGGTTTAAAATGGCACTGAATTACCTTTTTCTTTGGTTTTAGTTAAAGTTTTATTATAATCCAAATTTCAAACGTGGCTGTCCCCAGCATTTAGTAAGGGTGAAAAGAAGAATTGGTGTTAAAAATGCTTCACTTATACCTACTTTATTCAATGAAGATTTCAACAAGAAGCATTTTAGATCAGGAGCTAACATTAACAGTACACACTTTTGATCTTACATTAAAGGATTCCAACATGTTTGTGCCTTTCATTACCTCCTGTTAGAGTCCATGTTTCATGTTTTCTAATGCACATTTCCTTGCTTCTTTTTTTCTTTGAGATAGTCTTACTGTGTTACCCTGGCTGGAGAGCAGTGGCATTATTTCAGCTCACTGCAACCTCAGCCTCTGGGTTCAAGTAATTACTGTGCCTCAAACTTTTGAGTAGGTAAAATTATATATGCCCACCAAGCTGGGCTAATTTTTGTATTTTTCGTAGAAACGGAGTTTCACCAAATTGGCCAGGATGGTCTTGAATTCCTGGCCTCACGTGATCCACCCACCCTGGCCCCTAAAAGTGCTGGAATTACAAGGTTGAGCCACCAAACCCCTCCTCTAATACAGATGTTCATCACATTGGTTTCATCTATACAAAGTCAGATTTCATGGCTTTTGTCAGGATTTGATACCTTTTAGATTCTGAATCCATATCCTCAGCATGGCTGAACAAATCCCTTCCAGACCTAATATTTATTTTCCTGTCAGCTTCATGTCTTTCTGTTTCACCACAGTCCAGTTGGAGCAACATCTGGACAACTCCACTTTCAGCCATGCCCTTTCCTATCTTGTAACTTGGGCCCCATTTTTTCTTGGAGATAAATGCTCTCTCCCGATTTGCCTACTTAAGACTCCTACAACACAGACATCACTCCTTCCAGAAGGTGCTTCTTATCTGTCACATTAGTTTTCTTGTCTGTCTGTCTGTGTCTCCTGGACACCCAGCACTGATGTCACACAGTACCTAATACATATATGTACATTTTTGTATTTATATACACACACACACACACACACACACACACACATATGTATGTGAATTTGTGAATGTTGACTGTGGACATACAACCATAAAATCTATTTTCATTGTCAAAAATGAACATTATTGGTGTTGTGGTATTACTTGTTATTCTTCATTACTCACCACAACTTTTCATAAAAGGGTAGGTCAGAGTTTTGTTCACTAGAGGTGCAATAATTTTGACTTACTGAGATTAACATCCCTGGTTATCATTTCAACTATCACGCTTTCTTTTTCGGTATAGGTATGTTTTTTTATATATGTATATATTTGTATATTTTTTGTATATGTATTTTTTATATTTGTATATGTTTTATATTTGTATATTTTTGTTTGTATATTTTTGTATATTTATTTGTATATGTTTGTTATATTTTACATTTTTGTAAAAAATTTATTTATATATTTATATTTATATATATTGTAAAAAATATTTATATATTTATATATTATATTATTCATATATTATATATTTGTATAATGTGTATATATTATTTACATATTTGTATATTTTATTTTTTTATATTTGTATATTTTTATATTTGTATATTTTTTGTATATTTATTTGCATATTTTTCTAAATATATTGTATATATTTTTATATATATTTGTATATTTTATTATACTTTAAGTTCTAGGTTACATGTGCACAACGTTCAGTTCTGTTACATATGTATACATGTGCCATGTTGGTGTGTTGCACCTGTTAACTCGTCATTTACATTAGATATATCTCCTAATGCTATACCTCCCCCACCATTCCACAACAGGCCCCAGTGTGTGATGTTCCCTTTCCTGTGTCCAAGTGTTCTCAATGTTCAATTCCCACCTATGAGTGACAACATGAGGTGTTTGGTTTTTTTGTCCTTGCAATAGTTCCCTGAGAAGGATGATTTCCAGCTTCATCCATGTCCCTACAAAGGACATGAACTCATCACTTTTTATAGCTGCATAGTATTCCATGGTGTGTATGTGCCACATTTTCTTAATCCAGTCTGTCATTCATGGACATTTTGGGTTGGTTCGAAGTCTTTGCTATTGTGAACAGTGCCACAGTGAATACACACGTGTGTGTGTTTTTATAAAAGCATGATTTATAATCCTTTGGGTATATACCCAGTAATGGGATGGCTGGGTGAAATGATATTTCTAGTTCTAGATCCTTGAGGAATCACCACACTGTCTTCCACATGGTTGAAGTAGTTTACACTCCCATCAATTATGTAAAACTGTTCCTATTTCTCCACATTCTCTTGAGCACCAGTTGTTTCCTGACTTTTTCATGATTGCTATTATAGCTGGTGTGAGATGGTACCTCATTGTGGTTTTGATTTGCATTTCTATGATGGCTAGTGATGACAAGCATTTTTTCATGTGTCTGTTGGCTGCATAAATGTCTTGTTTTGAGAAAGTCTCTGTTCATATCCTTCACCCACTTTTGGATGGGGTTGTTTGTTTTTTCCTTGTAAATTTGTTTGAGTTCTTTGTAGATTTTGGGTATTAGCCCTTTGTCAGATGAGTAGATTGCAAAAATGTTCTGCCAGTCGTGTAGGTTGCCTATTCGCTTTGCTGGTACTTTTTTTTTTTTTTTTTTTTTTTGGTCTGCAGAAGCTCTTTAGTTTAATTAGGTCTCATTTGTATTTTGGCTTTTGTTGCCATGCTTTTTTTGTTTTTGACATGAAGTCCTTGCCCATGCCTACATCCTAATGGTATTGCCTAGGATTTCTTCCAGGGTTTTTATGGTTTTAGGTCTAACATTTAAGTCTTTAATACATCTTGAATTAATTTTTGTGTAAGGTGTAAGGAAGGGATCCAGTTTCAGCTTTCTGCATATGGCTATCCAGTTTTCCCAGCACCATTTATTAAATAGGGAATCCTTTCCTCATTTCTTGTTTTTGTCAGGTTTGGCAAAGATCAGATGGTTGTAGATATGTCGTATCATTTCTGAGGGCTCTGTTCTGCTCCATTGGTCTATATCTCTGTTTTGGTACCAGTACCATGCTGTTTTGATTACTGTAACTTTGTAGTATAGTTTGAAGTCAGATAGCGCAATGCCTCCATCTTTGTTCTTTTAGCTTAGGATTGACTTGGCAATGAGAGCTCTTTTTTGGTTCCATATGAACTTTAAAGTAGTTTTTTCCAATGCTGTGAAGAAAGTCATTGGTAGCTTGATGGGGATGGCATTGAATCTATAAATTACCTTGAGCAGTATGGCCATTTTCACAATATTGATTCTTCCTATCCATGAGCATGGAATAAACTTCCATTTGTATGTTTCCTCTTTTATTTTATTGAGCAGTGGTTTGTAGTTCTCCTTGAAGAGGTCCTTCACATCCCTTGTAAGTTGGATTCCTAGGTATTTTATTCTCTTTGAAGCAATTTTACATGGGAGTTCACTCATGATGTGGCTCTCTGTTTGTCTGTTATTGGTGTATAAGAATGCTTGTGATTTTTGCACATTGACTTTGTATCCTGAGACTTTGCTGAAGTTGCTTATCAGCTTAAGGAGATTTTGGGCTGAGATGATGGGGTTTTCTAGATATGCAATCATGTCATTTGCGAACAGGGACAATTTGACTTCAGCTTTTCCTAATTGAATACCATTTCTTTCTTTCTCTTGCCTGATAGCCCTGGTCAGAACTTCCAACAGTATGTTGAATAGGAGTGGTGAGAGAGGGCATCCCTGTCTTGTGCCAGTTTTCAAAGGGAATGCTTCCAGTTTTTGCCCATTCAGTATGATATTGGCAGTGGGTTTGTCATACATAGCTCTTATTATTTTGAGATACATCCCATGAACACCTAATTTATTGAGAGTTTTTAGCATGAAGGCTGTTGAATTTTGTCAAAGGCCTTTTCTGCATCTATTGAGACAATCGTGTGGTTTTTGTCTTTTTTTCTGTTTATATGCTGGATTGCATTTATTGATTTGTGTACATTGAACCAGCCTTGCATCCCAGGGATGAAACCAACTTGGTCATGGTGGATAAGGTTTTTGATGTGTTTCTGGATTTAGTTTGTCAGTATTTTATTGAGGATTTTTGCATCAATGTTCATGTGGGATATTGGTCTAAAATTCTCTTTTTTTGTGTGTCTTTGCCAGGCTTTGGTATCAGGATGATGCTGGCTGCATACAATGAGCTAGAGAGGATTCCCTCTTTTTCTGTGGATTGGAACAGTTTCAGATGGAATGGTACCAGCTCCTCCTTGTACCTCTTGTAGAATTCAGTCGTGAATCCATCTGGTCCTGCACTTTTTTTGGTTGGTAAGCTACTAATTATTGCCTCAATTTCAGAGCCTGCTATTGGTCTATTCAGAGGTTCAACTTCTTCCTGGTTTAGTCTTGGGAGGATGTGTGTGTCAAGGAATTTATCCATTTCTTCTAGATTTTCTAGTTTATTTGCATAGAGGTGTTTATAGTATTCTATGATGGTAGTTTGTACTTCTGTGAGATCAGTGGTGATATCCCCTTTATCATTCTTTATTGCGTTTATTTGATTCTTCTCTCTTTTCTTCTTTGTTAGTCTTGCTAGCGGTCTATCAATTTTGTTGATCTTTTCCAAAAACCAGCTCCTGGATTCATTGATTTTTTGAAGGGTTTTTGGGTCTCAATTTCCTTCAGTTCTGCTCTGATATTAGTTATTTCTTGCCTTCTGCTAGCTTTTGAATATGTTTCCTCATGCTTCTCTAGTTCTTTTAATTGTGATGTTAGGGTGTGAATTTTGGATCTTTCCTGCTTTCTCTTGTGGGCATTTAATGCTATAAATTTCCCTCTACACACTGTTTTAAATGTGTCGCAGAGATT
This sequence comes from Homo sapiens, assembly GCF_000001405.40. Classification (NCBI taxonomy): domain Eukaryota; kingdom Metazoa; phylum Chordata; class Mammalia; order Primates; family Hominidae; genus Homo; species Homo sapiens. The sequence continues at coordinate 22,542,508 of NC_000024.10, forward strand.
CTGGTATGTTGTGTCTTTCTTCTCATTGGTTTCAAAGAACATCTTTATTTGTGCCTTCATTTTGTTATGTACCCAAGTAGTCATTCAGGAGCATGATGTTCAGTTTCCATGTAGTTGAGTGGTTTTGAGTGAGTTTCTTAATCCTAAGTTCTAGTTTGATTGCACCATGGTCTGACAGACAGTTTGCTATAATGTCTGTTCTTCTACATTTGCTGAGGAGTGCTTTACTTCCAACTATGTGGTCAATTTTGGAATAAGTGAGATGTGGTGCTGAGAGGAATGTATATTATGTTGATTTGTGGTGGAGAGTTCTGTAGATGTCTATTAGGTCTGCTTGGTGCAGAGCTGAGTTCAATTCCTGGATGTCATTGTTAACTTTCTGTCTCATTGATCTGTCTAATGTAGACAGTGGGGTGTTAAAGCCTCCCATTATTATTCTGTGGGAGTCCAAGTCTCTTTGTAGGTCTCTAAGAACTTGCTTTATGAATTTGGGTGCTCCTGTATTGGGCGCATATATATTTAGGATAGTTAGCTCTTTTTGTTGTATTTATCCCTTTACCATTATGTAATGGCCTTCTTTTTCTCTTTTGTTCTTGTTGGTTTAAAGCCTGTTTTATCAGAGACTAGGATTGCAACCGCTGCCTCTTTTTGTTTTCCATTTGCTTGGTAGATCTTCCTCCATCCCTTTATTTTAAGCCTATGTGTGTCTCTGCATGTGAGATGGGTTTCCTGAATACAGCACACTGATGGATCTTGATTCTTTATCCGATTTGCCAGTCTGCATCTTTTAATTGGAGCATTTGGCCCATTTATATTTAAGGTTAATGGTGTTATGTGTGAATTTGATCCTGTCATTATGATATTAGCTGGTTATTTTGCTCGTTAGTTGATGCAGTTTCTTCCTAGCATTGATGGTCTTTAAAATTTGGCACATTTTTACAGTGGCTGGTACCAGTTTTTCCTTTCCATGTTTAGTGCTTCCTTCAGGAGCTCTTGTAGGGCAGGCCTTGTTGTGACAAAATCTCTCAGCATTTGCTTGTCTGTAAAGGATTTTTTTTTCTTCTTCACTTATGAAGCTTAGTGTGGCTCGATATGAAATTCTGGGTTGAAAAATATTTTCTTTATGAATGTTAAATATTGGCCCCCACTCTCTTCTGGCTTTCAGAGTTTCTTTTGAGAGATCCACTGTTAGTCTAACGGGCTTCCCTTTGTGGGTAACCCGACCTTTCTCCCTGGCTGCCCTTAACATTTTTTCCTTCTTTTCAACTTTGGTGAATCTGAAAATTTTGTGTCTTGCAGTTGCTCTTCTCGAGGAATATCTTTGTTGCATTATCTGTATTTAATGAATTTGAAAGTTGGCCTGCCTTTCTAGGTTGGGGAAGTTCTCCTGGATAATATCCTGCAGAGTGTTTTCCAATTTGGTTCCATTCTCAACTTCACTTTCAGGTACACCAATCAGACGTAGATTTGGTCTTTTCACATAGTCCCATATTTCTTGGAGGCTTTGTTCATTTCTTTTTATTCATTTTTTCTCTAAACTTCTCTTCTCACTTCATTTCATTCATTTTATCTTCAATCTCTGATACCCTTTCTTCCAGTTGATTGGATTAGTTAATGAAGCTTGTGCATTCATCATGTAGTTCTCGTGCCATGGTTTTCACCTCCCTCAGGTTATTTAAGGACTTCTGCACATTGGTTATTCTAATTAGCCATTCAGCTAAACTTTTTTCAAGGTTTTTAGCTTCTTTGTGATGGGTTTGAACTTCCTCCTTTATCTTGGAGAAGTTTGATTGTCTGAAGCCTTCTTCTCTCAACTCATCAAAGTCATTGTCCGTCCAGCTTTGTTCCATTGCTGCTGAGGAGTTGTGTTCCTTTGGCGAGTGAGAGGTGCCCTGATTTTTAGAATTTTCAGGTTTTCTGCTCTGTTTTTTCCCCATCTTTGTGGTTTCATCTTCCTTTGGTCTTTCATGATGGTGATGTACAAATGGGGTTTTGGTATGGATGTCCTTTCTGTTTGTTAGTTTTCCTTCTAACAATCAGGACCCTCAGCTGCACATCTGCTGGAGTTTGCTGGAGGTCCACTCCAGACCCTGTTTGCCTGGTTATCAGCAGTGGAGGCTGCAAAACAGTGAATATTGCTGAACAGCAAATGTTGCTGCCTGATCATTCCTCTGAAAGTTTCATCTCAGATAGGTACCCAGCCATGTGAGGTGTCAGTCTGCCCCTACTGGGGCATGCCTCCCAGTTAGGTTACTTGGGGGTCAGGGACCCATGTGAGGAGGCACTCTGTCTGTTGTCAGATCTGAAACTTCGTGCTGGGAGAACCACTACTCTCTTGAAAGCTGTCTGACAGGGACATTTAAGTCTGCAGAGGTTTCTGCTGCCTTTTGTTTGGCTATGTCCTGCCTCCAGATGTGGAGTCTGTAGAAGCAGGCAGGCCTCCTTGAGCTGGGGTGGGCTCCACCCAGTTCGAGCTTCCTGTCCACTCTGTTTACCTACTCAGGCCTCAGCAATGGTGGGTGCCATTCCCCCAGCCTCACTGCCACCTTGCAGGTGGATCTCCAACTGCTGTGCTAGCAATGAGTGAGGCTCTGTGGGCATGGGATCCTCCGAGCCATGTGTGGGATCTAATCTCCTGGTGTCCTGTTTGCTAAGACCATTGGAAAAGTGCAGTATTAGGGTGAGAGTGACCTGATTTTCCAGGTGCCATCTGTCACAGCTTTCCTTGGCTAGGAAAGGGAATTCCCTGACCCCTTGTGCTTCCTGGGTGAGGTGATGCCTTGCCCTGCTTTGGCTCATGCTCAGTGCGCTGAACCCACTGTCCTGCACCCACTGTCTGACAAGTCCCAGTGATGTGAACCCCGTACCTCAGTGGGAAATGCAGAAATTACCCATCGTCTGCATCAGTCTTACTGGGAGATGTAGATTGGAGCTGTTCCTATTCCACCATTTTGGAAAAAAAGGTCTGGTTGTGATTTTTCCCAGCTTCTTCTAAAAATTATTTTTCATCTTCTGCTTTGACTGGCAGGTCCTTGCCTGAAAGAATAGCTTTATCTTTGCCACTCCTTCCTTTATTTGCTGTAGAGATTCCCAGTTGTTGTGCTGAAATGGCTTACACTGGGGATCCAGCTGCACAATTGTTCAGAAGGAGCATTCACTGTGGATTTGGTATATTATGCAACATTTGGTGTCACCAGCTAAGGCCTGACAAGATTCATCACTCAGTTTTCTGGGACAACTGAAATTGGAATGGAGTATGGATTTGGTCAGACAGATTCCTCAGTATGGAAACCTAGTGGTGCCATCTTACCCTATGCCTATATTTTCAGATTGTGCATAAGTAGAAGAAATTTAGAATCAATGCTATAAAAAGGGAATCCTGATTTCCTTTCCTGGCAGACCATGACACAAGACAAAGATCATTTCACCTATGTCCACATACTATTAACTTTTTAGTTCTCACGCTGGATTTTCAGAGGGTAGTGCGATGGACATGGTTAAATAGTTAATATGAAGAATGTTTAAAAAAATTAGGCCAGTGGTGATGGCTCAGGCCTGTAATCTCAGCATTTTGGGAGGCTAAGATGGGTAGAACACCTGAGGTCAGTGGTTCAAGGCCAACATGGTGCAACCATATCTTTTCTAAAAAATCAACAATTGTGAAGCCTGGTGATGTGTGCCTGTAATCCAAGCTAGTTAGGAGGCTGAGGCAGGAGAATCACTTGAGCCTGGGAGGTGGAGGTTGCAGTGAGCTGAGATCCTGCCTTTGCACTCCAGCCTGTGTGATAGAGTAAGACTTCATCTCAAAAGAATGGACAACAATAAAATGGATAATGCCAAATAAATAAAAAGTGAAAAGATTAACTTGGGTGAACCCCAAGACAACAAAGAAAAAAGAAAATGATATTTTAGAAAGTGAGGATAAAGTAATGAAAGATGGACTGAGACAGATTAAAATGTGGAATACATTATTGTAAATTTAAGGCCAGAATAATGCAAGTGTCAAAAAAACAACAAAAGCAACAATAAAACAAGCACAGGGAGGGGTAGAGAGAGGGTGAATGAGGAAAAAGAGAAAGCAAATGCAAAATGTAAAGTAATCAGCATGATTAGAATATCTGTTCATTCCCACTCTCTGCAAATTCTTTGTATTTTGAGGAACATCCTGACAAGATTTTAATGTAATCAATCACGGAGTAGTCTAACCCAGAAAATATCCTAGCTTCCTCTAGGATTCAAAGACCTTGTACCTTCTTAGGTATTCTCTCTCCATCTAGGTTAAACTAAACTGTTTCAACAACAAAAACTACTTTGAATTTTCTGCCCAAAAGGAACATCACGGACGTTCTTCATCTTGGGTCATCACTTGAGTAATGAAGTAGATGGAGCAAATGTACTTTCCCCCTTACATAAATACAATTAATAGCACCACATAATGTATATAAAGCAAACATAAGACTGAAGGATGGAGCAAGAAGATAAACGGGTGAGGAAATTTAAGATGCAACAAGTGATAAGATGGTTGAGTTTCCTGGATTCTTTTTGCCTGGTGTTATCACAGACTTGATCCTAATGGAGCTGGTACCCAAAAATGTAAATAAGTACAGGCAAAAAGTTCTCCCAAAACCCAACTTCTATAGCCACATGGCTAGGAAAGGGACACCTTACAAAGAGAAAAATATTTTTACAATAGCCTTCCTACTTTAGTCAAACATTACAACAGAAAACAAAGCAAACCAAAAAAGCTAGCCAGGACAACAATGTTTAAGTTGAAACATAGAGAGCACCAGGCAGTAATGAGGCACCCCAACCCTCTGCTGGAGTGGAATCACATAAGGGAAAGTAGAGAGTTAGAGTTTTCAATGCTGCCATATGGGGACACCCTTCTGCTTCTAGCCAGGGAGGTACAAGTAACACCCAGGTTGAAGCTGGAATCTGCATATTTTTTTATCAGTAGCTAGAAGGGCTGCCTTGGATGTCAAAGGAAGTGAAGAAGAGAATTTGGAATTGTGCCCTTCCTTTACAAGCATACACTTTCCTTTGTTATGGTGGTATCAGACAAAGCCAGCTACAAATGAACAAATAGGATGTCATAATATGGTTCAGAGTTTCCTAACATTTCCCCAAATGTTTAACTTTCAAATAAAAATCTCACACAGAAATGTTAGTGCTACTGTTAAAGGATCACTATGGTGTCAGTTTTTCTTGCCAGAAACTTCTGTGGCCATGATGCCTTTGCTTGACTTCTTGTCCTGTTTGCAGGAAGAATGAGGTACACAGACAGGTGAAGGGTAAAGAAGAAGCAGAGTTCTATTTGGCATTAAAACGGTTCAAAGTGTTGGGATTCCTTCAGTACGGTCGCAGAAATATGAAATGGAAATATTATGGAAAGGTATAGGGAATAGTCACAAACTTTTTGGAAGGCCGAAAGATTACATAGCTTGTAATAATTGAACAATTATTCAATTGGAGGGAGGTCGACCAAGGATATTGCCCCATACTGTAATTTACTTTAGACCACGGTACCTGAGCTTTAATCATTCATAGGTCTACTCTCTCAGCCAGGTTAATTATCCACAAGTGTGCTGACTCAAAGCTTCTGTTGTTAATTGTATACTAAATAAATGCCTGGAGTGCGAGCTGCTCAGGGCCGGCCTCAGTAACAAACTTTTCTTGTCATGCAGGTGCTCAGACATTCAGCTAGACTGGCAAAACAGAGTATCTATGTGCTAGTGTGTGGTTTATCCATCTGCAATTTGGGTCAGGGTCTGCGGGCAGACCCCTGAAGCTAGTGCCCTCTTGTGAGGAGCAATACCTCACAAAGGAGTGGGTAGCTCTCCTCTATAGGCAGGTCTTCCTATGGTGTGTTCACTCTAGAGAGAGAGGCTCCTCTCTGTCGGCAAGTCATTTAGATGTCTCTGCAGGTCTGTGAAGCTCTCTGTTGCAGCTGCTGCTCTCAGCGGAGAGGGTACTGCTCTCCTCCCGTTGTCTACAGCAATCAGCAAGAAGGGTACTCCTTTCTTTAGCAGACTGGCTTTTGAATGTCTTCATAAGATCCTTCACAGAGCAGCAGTTTTTAATTTTGATTTGATACAGTTAATCTTTTTTTTTACTTTTATGGCTTATGCATTTGGTATCAAATATAATAACATTTTGCTACAACTAAGAAGCTTGAATTTTTTTACGTTCTTTTTTTCTGAAAACGTTTTATAAAATGTGTTGTAATTTTATATTACATTGAAATTCATGAGACATTTTGAGTTAATTTCTGTAGTATAAGATTTATGTTATGGCTTTATTTCTTAAATTTATAAATATCCACGTGCCCTGGCACCATTTGTTTAAAGGCTGTTTTTCCTCCACTGATTTCTGCTTGCCAGATTTGTGTCATATCACTTGGTCATATCCACACCAGTGTGGCTCTATTCCTGGGCCTTCTCTTCTGCTCCATTTTTATATGAATCTATTTCTATGCCAATACCAAACTGTTATGTTCATTTTAGCTGTGTAATAAGTCTTAGAAATGTTGATGAATTTCTCCCACTATATACTTGTATACTCATAATTGTCTTAGCTATCATGGTGAGTAAGTTTGCTTTGTCTGCAAAAATTCTTGCTGAGATACTGATAGGAATTTCACCAAATATATAGATCAAGCTGGGGAAAATTAACAGGATATATTGTCTTCATATCCATGAACACAGTGTATCTCTCATTATCTCTATTTGATTTCTTTCACCAGTGTTTTACATGTTTCAGCACATAGATCTCATACATGTTTTCTTTTGTTTAAATGCATATCAAAACATTTGATGTTCTTTGGAGCAGTTGTAGATCATACAGTTGCTAATTTGGGGTCCTGTTGACCTGCAGTGTGGGAAAATAGCAGAGTGCTAATTAGTTTGGATTTACTTCAGTTGTTCAGTTCCTAGGAGGGTGGGTGGTGGTAGATGGTTAACTCTCCACTAAAGCCCACTGACAGGATAGAATAGAGGAGGGTGGTGCGGAGGCAGTCAAACCACACAGTGCAATCAGTCCTAATCAGCTCTAGCCCTTTAAAAATTGTTGTTGTTGAGTCAACCTAGATGATCAGCTTGCTACCAGAGACTCCTGACATAAGGGAATTGGAATGCTCTCCTCTGCTTTCTCCGGGAGGGTGATAGAAGATTCCCTCTGGCCAGATGTGGTGGCTCACGCCTGTAATCTCAGCATTCTGGGAGGACGAGGCAGGTGGATCACCTGAGGTCAGGAGTTCAAAACCAGGCTAACATGGAGAAACCCCGACTCTACAAAAAATGGAAAATTAGCTCAGTGTGGAGGCACATTCCTGTTATCTCAGCTAGTCAGGGAGCTGAGGCAGGAGAATTGCTTCAACCCAGGAGGTGAAGCTTGCAGTGAACTGAGATTGCATACCATCGCACTCCAGCCTGGTCAACAAAAAAGAAACTCCAGCTCAAAAAAAAAAAAAAATTGCTGCCTACTTTGACTTTATGGAGAATCAAGCATTACTGCCCCGTGAGAAGATTGTCTTTGTATATGGCTCCACACAAATGGCAATACTAGCTTTTTTTTTTTTTTTCTCGTAGCGTTTGTCTGGAATAGCTTGGTTATTACCCCTAGAAATGTTTTGTGTGATTGTGTATGGTTAGGCCATCCTCTCCTGGTCCTTTGGCTGAGAGAGAACAGGATTTGCTTGAAGTCCTTTTTATCTGTGCCTATTGGAGATTCTGTGTTGGAAGCTTCTACAGTCCATCATCTGTGATATATGGAAGAAAATAGGAAAACCCAGAAAAGTGACAATGTTATCAATCTTTAAGTCCTAAAGTCCCTAGACAAACTGCCTTCCTCTTTCTGCCTTTCAGAGCCTGTCCTTGTTTTTTTCTCGTTATATCCATGGTGTTTTAGTTGTTTGGAGGAAACACTGGGCTGTTGCATCGTAACTGGAAATCCTAGGAAGTGAATGGTTGAGAACGGCTTTGAAAGTTCCATGCAAACCAAATCTCATAACGCAAAACATGGGAAGATATGATTATAGAGAATGACATGATATGATTTACCTACAATAAAGTGGTTTTATAAAATAAAGTCTTCACCAAAATTAAATATTCTTAGAGAAGTCTGCTGAGATCAGCTAGGTCGTGAAGACCTTAACCCAGTGGCACTAGAGGAATTAAAGACACACACACAGAAATCTAAAGTGCAGAGTGGGATCAGTGGGCTGACAGCCTTCAGAGCTGACAGCCATGAACAGAGTTTTACCCACATATTTCTTGACAGCAAGCCAGAGATCAGCGTTGTTTCTATAGATTATAGATTCAGTAAAATGGAAGACAAAGGGAGGGGTTCTCGTTAGTTATCTGCAGCAGGAACATGTCGTTGAGGCACAGATCACCCATGATATTATTTGTGGTTCAAGAACGCCTTAAGTGGTTTTCTGCCCTGGGTGGGCCAGGTGTTCCTTGCCCACATTCTGGTAAACCCACAACCTTCAGTGTAGACGTCATATCTATTTTGAGCATGTCATAGTGCTTCAGAGATTTTGCTTATGGCCAGTTTTGGGGCCTGTCGATGGCCAAATTTGGGGGCCTTTTCCCAACATGTCTTCTTTTTTTGTTTTTCTAAGACAATAAAAGCAAATGCAGCTTTACTACTCTGAGCTACTTCTCGCAGGAGTCGGGATCTGCATCTGCAGACTATACAAAGACAAACAACAGAGGCTAAAAGCACAATCATCATTAAAATCACAGAACCTCCAAGAGTTCTTATCCATTTTATTGGATTAGTAGCTGCTAATCCATCTGCAGCTCCTTCAAGTACCCCTGTTCCTGGCATTAAGGTTAAGTGTGCCTGGGATACTTCAAATAATTGTTATTTTAATTTACAATATCCAAAGACATGTTCATAGAGTGTCCTTCTAGATGCTTTTTTATTCTTTCCCAAATGTTTATACTACGAAGAGCCATTAATAGGTTCCACAAATCCTTATTTTTAGCTCCTAGAGCGAGCCATATCATTTGAGGTTGAGGTGCCATTATACCGCCATGTTTCCAGAGGAACTCTTGCGGTACTTCTTACCATTTTTACCATCTGATGGCTTTGTTCAGACCAGCTGAACATAATGTGGCTGTGGCACATAGACTGAGAGTTGCAATTTAAGGTAAACATCCCCTTAGGGGGCCAAACAATAAGGATTCCCTAGGAATTGTTACACAGCACCTCAGTCTGTTCTGCAATGCAATTTTCCCAAACAAGTACATTCATTTTCTCTGGCCACGTCCAGCTCTGTTTACAAATAGGTTTTTAAGGGTGGTATGCCTCAATTATAGGAGCAGATTTATTATGAAATATACTGAGACCAGAAAGCATGTGTGTCAGCATGGACAGGACTGTGTCAGTTCTGTTAAAGAAATACTCATGGCAATGGTGATCACCGCTTTGATAGCTATCATTAAATTACTCACTGGGACTGGTTGTCCCACCTCAGATTTTCTCTCACCATCTGTGACAGCTTCTTGATCTGTCCTCAGGTGGGTGGCTGCTTTTGATGGGTGTTGCTCATGATATTTGGGGTCCTCCTCAGGGTCAACTTAGACAAGACTGCCACCGATGTGTCTTTGGAATCCTCTCAAAACCACTTTCTTGGTATCTGGCTCATAGCAGGGCTTTAGATGTCTCAATGGCATGCACATTGGCAGTTGATTTGGTACTGGAGAAACACAAGCATAACCTCCACTCGATGTTATTATTTTACCTATTTCCCAACTTTCCATTATTGGATCTCTCCACCAAACCAGTTTTTCTGCTTCTATCTTTGCAGCTGGCTTCTGTAGATGCTGTTTGGCTGCAGATAGCATCTGGTCCTAGACAAGCTCAAAAAATTTAGAGTAAATCATGCTAGATTCAATTTCATATGTGGCATCCCACAGTCCCTGTTTCCACCTTTTGCTTTTGCAACTGTTGTTTAAGGAAGAGATTCATTCTTTCCACTATGGCTTGTCCTTGAAAATTATATGAGATACCAGTAATGTGTTTAATATTCCATATAGAGAAAAATGTAGCTAGAACTTGGCTACTATAGCCTGGGTCACTGTCCTTTTTAAAGAAGCTGGAATGCCCATCACCACAAAACACTGCAAAAGGTGACATTTAACACAGGCAGAAGACTCTCTTGATTGGCAAGTAGCTCAGACAAAGTGAGAAAATGTGTCCACACATACATGTATATAAGCTAGTCTCCCAAACAAGGGAAAATGTGTGACATTCATTTGCCAAAGAGAATTAGGTCCTAATCCTCGAGGATTAACTCCTCCTGTAAAAGATGAGGAATGCACCATTTGGCAAGTTGGGTATCGCTGGATAATAGCTTTCACTTCTTTCCAGATAATGCTGTACTGTGTTTGAGACCAAAAACATTAACATGGGTTGAATTGTGAAAGTGTCTGGCATTAGATATTGTAGTAGCAACTGGCGGATCAGCCATTTGATTCCCTGCAGTCAAATGTCCTGGAGGAGGTTTATGAGCTCTAATATGAGTAATGCAAAAAGGGTTCATTCTACTTCTAGCTGCTGTGTGTAATTGGGTAAATAAAGTCATCAGTTGCTCATCTGTGTGGAATCATAGCTGAGCATTTTCAAGTAACTGTGTAGAATGAACCACATATGAAGAATCAGAAATCACATTTATAGGCATACTAAAACAAGTCCATACCTCAATTACAGCTGCAAACTCCACCTTTTGAGATGAAATATAGGGCATTTCCTGAGCTGGAAATGCCCTGGTTTAGAAAGCGGACTGGGACGGCCCCTCCTGGCATTTCCCAAAATCAGGTTTCCATCTTTATCAAACTTAGAGTGACACTGATTATCCGAGTAATTTTCTTTTTGCATTTTGGACATATTCCAGGCTCAGCAGTTTTCCTTTTATCCCTCAACTTGTGGCCTGACTCACTGATTTTTTTCACATTCTTTTCCAGTGTGACCATGCTTCCCACAGTTAAAACAAGCTCCAGGAAATGGAGTATTTCCTTTACCCACTTTCAGTCCTGTCATGGCTTGCACCACCAAAGTAGCTTTATGCAGATTACCTCTGATACCATCACAGGCCTTGATATAGTCAATTAAATGTGCTTTCCCTCTAATAGGTCACAGAGCCACCTGGAAATATGGATTTTCATTGTCGAAAGCTCATAACTGCAACATTATATCCTCAGCAGCTAAATCTGCAGTCATTTTTTAAGAGACTCCTATAACCAAGCTATAAAATCTGCATATGGTTCTTTTGGTCCCTGTTTTATAGCACTAAAGGAAAGATATTGTTCTCCTCCTGAAGTTATTTTTCCAAACTCTAATGCATACTCCTCTAAGCTGTTCTATGGCATCACCCAGCATGACCACTTGTGCATCCAAACCAACGCAGCTGCCTACCCCCAAAAGATGGTCTGTAGTTATATTAATTTGAGGTTGGGCCTGCGCATTGTGAGAAGGCTGAAAAAAGCTTCTTCTCCTCACCAAGTTTTAAACTGTAAAAAGTGAGCGAGAGTCAGGCAAGCTCACGTAAGAGCATCCCATTCAGTAGGAATCATCTGACTGGGGACAGCAACATTCTTTAACGGTACCATTACCAAAGAAGAACCTGGTCCATATTGATTAATAGCTGGTTTAAATTCTTTGAGTAATTTAAAAGGAAAAGGCTCAAAAGTAGTGATAATATTTCCCTGTTGACCTGGGGCATGTATCCTAACAGGGAGCTGCCAAGCCTCTATATCACCCTCTCGTCTAGGTTGCTGAATTCCTGCCTGAATAGAACGAAGAGCAATTGCTCATGGCACTGCTTGAACAATCATGGGGCAACTAGTTTTTGGTCAGTGGGTTCCAGAAAAGAAAGATCTACAGGGTCAGACCACTCTTTTTCTTCAAAATAGTGAGGGAGTGAAGAAGGGCAGAGACAAACCTCTCTCTCCTTTGCCACTTTAGCTTTAGCTGGCAAACAAACCTATTCTGTCACCTCTTCTGTTACTTTGCTATACTCTCCTTCCTCCTAATCATCAATGTGAAAATGTTCCAAGGTGGAACAAACCAGAACCTGGACTTGTCCCATTGTTAACCTGATGCTTCCAAACTCCCCTTCTAACTCACTATGGCGATTGCTTAAGAGTAGCCAGATGTCCTCCAGTGTAGTCCTACATTCTCCAACCATTGCTCCGGTGACCTTTGACCTGGGTTTGAGACCCCGTATAGTCACCACTTGCCGAGGCCAGCTCGGTCATGGAAACCATAACCCAATGGCACTAGCGGCATTAAAGACACACACACACACACACACACACACACACACACAAATATAGTGTGCACAGTGAGAATCAGGGGGCTAACAGCCTTCAGAGCTGAGAGCCATAAACAGAGTTTAACACACATATTTATTGACAGCAAGCCAGTGATAAGCATTGTTTCTATAGATTACAGATTAACTAAAACAGGAGACAAAGGATGGGCTCTGGCTAGTTATCTGCAGTGGGAAAGTGTCTTTGAGGCACAGATCGTTCATGGTATTATTTGTGGTTCAGGAATACCTTCAGTGATTTTCTGCCCTGGGTGTGCCAGGTGTCCTTGGCCTTCATTCTGATAAACAACCTTCATTGTAGTCATCATAGCAATCAGAAGCATGTCACAGTGCTATAGAGATATTGCTTATGGCCAGTTTTGGGGCCAATCTATGACCAGATTTTGGGGCCTGTTCCCAACAAAGCCTTTATAATATATGTAAAATAGCCAATGATTTAGAGCATATTAATAATATAGATCAATGAAAAAATTATAAAATACATATCCTACCCTTCAAAATAAAACAAAATTGGGAAGACTTCCAGAAAATATAAGCAAAAATGTGTTCTTCCTCAAATGCTGAAGGGTTATAGTAGAAAGACCTTTGTCAGAGATTTTATTTGTTAAGTGACAAATGATTTAATAGAAATCAAGCGTTTATTTTTCAGTTCACTGGAGCAAAGTTAAAAGCTGCAAAAACAACTCCTATGAAAGCCAGAGCTTCTAAGTGTAAGATAAAATTTTAAAAAAGAATAACACACTGACTATCAAGAAAAGAAACATCCCTGAGGTTTGGACTCCAGCAATATTAGTGTGAGATTAAACCTGACAGTTCATTGATACAGTAAACTGAGGAGTAAATTTAGATATATTTTCAGGAAAGAGACCATTTCTGTGTCCAGTGGGGTTGGGCACCCTGCCTAAATAATTGGTGGAAGAAAGCATGATTCAGACATTTTGGTAAAATACTTAAGTCAGTACAGAGAGTCATGTCTCACAGATACTAGGATCTAACACAGAATGAGGTTTGTATTCAAATACATGAGAGAAAGATTTATATCTCAGCCTCTATCCTGTGGTATATTCAAGACTGAGGTTAGATTTTTTCATGTTGCCTACAAAATATAAGGTCCCCAAAGGCAGAAATGGGTATACAATACTAGATTGAACAATTAACCTAAAAGGTTAACCTAAAAAGGTTAACACAAAACTGCCCCACTAAGAATCACTTTACACTCAAGAACTAAAGATTGCTTTATCACTTCACAGACGACATTAACAATTCACAGATGGATGTTCCATGTCCTAAGGGGTAGCAAAGGAAGACACACTTAATGGTCATACTCAAGGATAAAAAGTTGAATCAAAAAAGTCTTCATAATGAGTAGGTTTAGGAGTTCTCTGAGATGAAGAAATGGAATCTAAAGGAAAAAAGATGTGGGTAGGAGGAAAAAAATAATCTTTTTTAAATAGACAATTATACATTATTGAAAAATCAACCATATATTAAAGGAACTCAAATAATATTTTGTTTGTTTGTTTCTTCTGCAGTAGACCCCGAACAAGTACAGTAGGAAAAGTACTTTCCTATGTTGATCTGTAGTAAGTTTGCCAGGTGCAGGGACATAACATTTCAATTTAAAATTTGATTACTTTTTGACAAACAATAAAGAATTTGTTTTCAGTATGAGCCTGTCCCATGAGATAACGAGAATTTTAGTAAGTTACTAGAATATTGAGAATTATACTAAAATGCTATTTGCTTATTTAAAATGAAAATATAACTGGTAATCCTGTATTATATCTGGTGACCGTAAATGAAACAGAAGTCAGGAAAGTGGAACTCAGTGGTGGAAGGTTTTATATACATTTACAAGAAACAAAAGAAGACAAAAATATACAGAAAGGGAAACACACAGATTTTGAAAATAATCTCTACAGAAAATATTTATCCACATAAATTATCATTTACTAGAAACATATTTTTAACTCTCAAAGATTATGCCAATATTAAAGACTTATCAAAAGACCAAGAGAAAGAAACATAAAGCTTATTTTATTTTAGCAAAGAGAAAAATAAATCTCAAAATAAAAGAGGTAGGCAGGAAGTTTTTGTTTGTTTGTTTGTTTTGTTTTCTGAACGGGGCTAGACATAGGTTTTACTTTGTTTAAAAAATGCTATTGAATTTTTTTAATTTGATTCTTTAATTTTTTTAATTTGATTTTCTGATTTTTTTAATTTGATTTTTGAATTTGATTAACTACAGAAACTGTAGAAATTTGGTGATTAATGTCAAAAGCACAAAAAGAAAAAAATACGAGTAAGAAAAGTAAATGAATACAATTAGAAAAACAGGTGACGGGTGGGGAAAGGGAGAGAAGAACAAAGGCAGATAGGAGGCAAAGGCAGAGCCAAAGAAAATCTAGGGTAAATGAAAAACTGACTGAGCAGGTGTTAGTTATTTAGATAAGAGAGTAACCATATTAGATGTAAGCTGTTTAAACTCATGTGTTAAAATATAAAATACTCTACCGTTAGATTGATAAAAATTTGCTTTCACCTAGGAATAATCACACTGAAATATTGAAAATAAGGATTTAGAAAAAATTAACAAGTATTTATCCAAAAAAATTAGGCCACTGTTATTATATAAGGAAAATGAGAATTTTAGAAAAAATGCAAGGAATAAAGATGGAGAACTATAGATGCAAGGCAACAGACAAAATATGAAACATCAAAATATTAAAAAATTTTAAAGATAATATAACAGTCACAAACATAAATTCCTCAGTAGCATTATCACAATATACATCTGAGGCAAATTTTATGAATATCTATTTATATAGACAAGCCCCAATTGTAGTGAGATGTGTTATATATGTGACTCATCTAGACTAATGAGTATACAGACATTTAGTCATCAATAGAAACACTTTGCAATGTTTGTGTACTTACTTTTCTTCAGTTTCAAAATGTGAAGCCAAGTAGTAGAGCATGTTTTCAGAATTTCACAGCTCTGCAATAGAGCAAATATTAATACAGAATAACACTTTTCCCCTTCAACGTCAACTCCATCTAACCTAACTAGCATGATGCTTTGCCTTCTCACATGCTCTCTAGACATCCTACTCACCCTTCTTTTCTAGATCCACATTCTCATGATACTGTCTTCTAACAGAGCTTACTTGGATGCCAACACAATGCAGGCTTGTGAAGATATCCAAGCAAAGAAGGAACAGGAACTGCAAGATATCAAGTCGTAGTAAAATGAATAACTCAATTCTTACACATAAATATTTGGCAGAGTGTTTCAGCTGAAGCATTTACAGCTCTGACAAATCATCACATGGCTGCTCTGCAGTAAACATATGTATTCCACCAAACTAATGTAAATGTTCAAATACCTCACTTTCTATCTCAAGCTACTGGGATGTATCTCCAAGGAAAACTTCCCAGTGGTTAAATCTTTTTATTCAGAAAAAATATGAGAGGTTTTAAGTTAGCAATTTTAAAAGGCAACCCTTTGTTAAAATGATTGTTCATACTCCGGAAATTTGTGGCATGTTCACATTTGTTGCTAGAGCAGTTCTATTAAGACACTCATTGGAATATGTGATGCTTCTTGATAGGGACCTGTAACATGCCAGCTTTCAAGGGATGAGACCACGAATTCACATATACGCCATCTATCCTCAAATAACTGCTATCTACATAGGAAATAAAATGGAATAGGGGTGAAGTTTCAATTCTTAGAGCTGGCATTTATTAAACTTTGCCTCAAAGATAATGTGATTTTTATGACTGACTTTTCAAATTAGCTTTTCTTCCCAAGTCCAGGCTCCCTTAATTTCCTCAGCCAATAAGAAAATATTTTTCAAAAATGCAAAAATTAGCAACAATTATGCTGACTCCACTACAGAAGAATTTGGATTCTGACTCATTGATTAGCTTTCCAAATGCAATTTTATAATCTACTCCTAACAGATCTGGATTAAGACTCATTCACAAGATTTCCAAAAGCAATTTTTTAATAGGTTATATTCCAACAACATACTCATCCATTTTTCATTATCCTTGGGATAAAAATGTCAGCTCCATCTTAAGGAGGATATGTTTAAATTTCTAAGAATTTGTATCACAACCACAGACCCAAATATGTTTCATGTAATTTTGCTCCATAAATATTTTTCTTAAATAGAAAATGTTACTTTATTAAAATGACCCCCCAATTTTAACCATTTCAGTGGTCTAGTTAAACAGTTTCATACCAACTCTCTAAAACCTAAATTTAAACTGACCATAGGCCACTAATCTCTTACTTTTATAGACTCGAAGACAGAATTTAAATTAGGTTTAGTATTTATTTGTTTAATCTAAATCTTAGTTTCCTGGAATAATAAAGTTTGATGTTTAGCAAGAAAAGTACTTGAGTTTAAGCCAGTTTCAATACAAGCTTGCCTTCTGCATTATTATTGAGTAGCAGACATTAAGTGACTATAGTTACTGGGTATTAGTGATGGTAAACTTTGTGTTTTTCATTATGAAATAATCTGTGTAACTGTTGGGTATATCAGTGCTTTCAAATGTGCTGCTTAGAATAGGATTAACTGTAAATTCATGTCAAGAATTAACTTGTGATTTGGCTGTTTCCTGAATTTTATAATATACATGTGCAGAAATGTATTCAAAATTGAGTAAGGAAGCACACCTCTATCAGCATGCTATTAAACTTGAACATCAAGTATCATATATCGGTAGAGTTTTGGGGGTTTTTTTATTATTTGGGATTTTTTTTTTAATTGAGAGAAGCTCTCTTCTGTGCAGAATGGCTATTTCAAAGTATCTCACTGTTTGTTTTCCTGTTCCATGACTATTTTTTCCAGCAGTGGTGATGCATTGAAGTCCAGTTTTCTAGAAGGGGAGTGTCTCAACCCTAATTTTACTTTTCTAATTCTGGTAGCTGCAGGAATTTTTGAAAGTTTTGTTTAAGTAGTCTAATATTTTTTATGTAAAGAGCATTAAATTTTGCTGTGTATAAATTGTCATAATCTAAAAGTGAATCAACATTTTCAGTCCTTGAATCCTAGAACTTTTGGGAGGCCGAGGCATGTGGATCATGAGATCAGGAGATTGGGCCCATCCTGACTAACACGGTAAAACGCAGTCTCTACTAAAAACACAAAAAATTAGCCGGGCGTTGTGGCAGGTGCCTGCAGTCCCAGCTACTCCAGACGCTGAGGCCAGAGGATGGCGTGAACCCGGGAGGCAAAGCTTGCAGTGAGCCAAGATTGCACCAATGCTCTCCAACCTGGGCAACAGGGCAGACTCCATCTCAAAAAAAACAAAAAAAAAGAAAAAACTTCCGTCAGTGCCCAAGTGCCAAGCGCTTCCTATAGTTCTAATCAAGCGTTACAATAAATACTTGTAGAAAATAGTCAATATTTATGCATGCTTATTTTGCTGACATCCATAAGTGGAAATAGTTGTAGATGTACTAAGAGTAATGAAGTAATATTATAGCTTCATTTACTTGCCTTTTTACTATATATAAATCTATCTTTGTCCCCAGTATGGTGTCACATTTGAATAATGTGCATAGTAAAGATTTCATGTTGTTATAAAAATCAAGTCTGTGAGTGCTACTTGTTTTATTTTTGGCAAAAATCTCTTCAGCAATTTAAGAAAATATTATAATCCACTGGGCTGTATTGGGCATAAAAGTGCCACTAACACTTCTGTAGTTCTCTGTATAAAGTTATACGTTTTATGACCAGTTTTGCAACAAATAAAATCTATCTACCAGTAAGATTAACAAGGCTTAAACTTGGGCAAAGTACAACAATAAGTTTCCCTGTGTAGTTGGTTATTTTTTCAAATCAATAGTACAAAATTCTATGGAAAGGTTTACTCAGGAATATATAAAAAAAAAAAACCTGGTTCTAACAGTTACTCTCTAGAATAGCAGAGCTAAATATGTTACTCAGGATTTTATTTAATAATCTGTTTGAACTCCTTATCTGTCAACATGATTCTAAATTTGGGTTCTCTGCATCTGACATTTCTTAGTGCCTCATAGTCTTTATCACTATTGACACATGGCCATCTCTAATTCAGGTTCTGACTCTGGATCATCTCCTTTCATTCATGCATGGCAGGAGAAGAGTACACAGTTCAATTGGTGTACTATTTGTCACACTACATACTACCTTCTGTTTAAGTAACAATTTGTGCAATTATTTAATTCACACAAATCAACAGAGGAAAGTGTAAGTAATAGATAGGATCACCAGAAGTCTCTAAATTGTCAAAAGTGATCTTGCCACCTGGGAAGGAACCCTATATTTATAAACTAATGAAATACTTGAAGCCAATTCATGAAGTATTATGACCAAAGTTTCCACAATAAAGATGCTATCTCAGTATCTTCCTGTTCCTATAACACAATACCTTAGACTGGGTAAGTTATGAAACCAGAAATATGTTTCTTACAGTTTTAGAGGTTGGGAAGCCCAAGGTAAAGGCACTGGCAGGTTCAATGCCTGGCGTAGGCCTAGTTTCTGCTTCCAAGATGGTATCTTGTTGCTGTGTTCTCCAGAGAGGACAAATAAAGTATCCTTAAATGGTGGAAGGGCAAAAGGGCCCAGTTATTTCCATTAAGCCCTTTTATAGCGTTGCTAATTGCACTCTTAATTGCCTCCAGAAGCCCCCACCTTTTAATTCTATCACACTGGAGGGTTTAACTTCCAACATATGAACTCTGGAAGGACACACACATTCAAACCACAGGTATTAAATGTAAAGATCAGAGGCAATATTGTACTATTCATAAAGCCTAGGAATTTCTGTGTGTTTTTATGTTCCGGGAGAAAACTGAAATGTGCCGGCAAAAGATGACCTCATTTTACAGATGGCAGTCCTTCACTGGAGAGGAAAGAAAATAGCTTAATCTTTAAAGAGTAGGCCTGGAGTTAATCAATATGATAGGTTATACTCATTTAAAATTTAGGAAATATAAGCTTAGAAAAACAGCTCTTTTTAGTGTAATGAATGAGAAATTCTGTGACTGGAGAAGCTGTCGAACATCTTCATTGATTCCAGAATCATCTTCTCTAAAACAGATGGGCATGAAAGCACAAAATACACAAACACATTTATAAAACATTTTAAGTGTTTAAAAATGCAGTACTATAATTCCATCGTGTATGCCAGTGAACTAATTTTTAAAATTGGAATCATTGCTATCATCAATGGAAAACAAATAGGTCATCTCAATGAAGGAAGTGATTAATTTCCCTCAAGTGTCCTGTGCTTCAGATTTGAATTAACCAGGAATCTAAGGAACATTCATATGTTGCTGTAATTCAAGCAAGACTTAGCAGGTCTATTAATTGGACAGATAAATTTATCTGCTAGGCCAGAATCAGAATATAGAAGGGAAGCAGAGAACCAGAGGAAGGAGGGAGGCAATGTATGCCCCTGGAAGCAACCTTGGACTGGCAGCCACCTTCACTGTTTGGTTCTTCTACAGCCAACTAGCTGACATTGACAGCCTCTTATTTCAGCTCTTTTTTAAATTTATTATTATTCTTAATTTTTTGTTTGTGTTGAAACTGAGTCTTGCAAATGGACGGCAGCCCTTCTTAGAGTTTCAGCGATTACTCTGATGTGGATCCTTTCCATATCTTTTACTCCACTCCTGATCTCTATACCTAGCCTCCCATCCACATTTCTGATAGTTTCTTTCCATACACATGTAGAAACTCCACAGCACCAGCTTCATCCCAGGAGTGATCATCCCAGTCCTTCGCTCATGAGCCATCTTCCATCCACCCAGTAACTAGCCCTGGCACATTCACACTCTCTGTCCTGTGGCTGCAAGAGGGGTCTTCCTCATCATCTGCCTGGAATACTGAAACAGCCCTGTCAAGGCTCTCTGTGAATTCAGTCTCTGCCTGCGAGAAACCTGTGGTCATCTGCACCAGGCATTCCCTGAGGGGAAGATTGTATCTCATGTACAGTGTCTCTGCTCTGGTAGAGTCCAATGCCATGGTATTCTGGGCTCTGATAATCTGCCTTTTTCTTTCCAGATTGATTTCACATAACACCACCAACATTGTACTACAAATGTTTCATCTGTACCAACCCATTTTCTGGGGTCTGACTATGGCTGTAGCTTCCTTGCTTGGCATTTGCCTTCACTATCTCCTCAGCTGGTGACATTTCCATTCTGTCATAAAGGGTGATATGCTGTTGGAGACCAAACTGAAATTCCAACTCTTCCTTATTTCTGAAGTGAAAAGTAATCACTCCAGCACATTAATTGTGCAATATCTTGTACCTGCTTCTTGAAAATATACACATACTTGTTTCTTCTGTTTCTATCTCTTCCAGGGAAGGCCCATATTTCAACAAATTGTCTGTTCCCTCTGCATCATGGCACGGGTCCCTACATCTCAAATGTTTAAATAGACCTCATTCTCAGAAACAATTATGCTGACCTTTCTCTTCCAGTTCTACCCATAACCTATTTTTTTATGAGTAAGCAATGCAAATATACAGAAGAATTTATAGGTTCACCAGAGGGTCATGAACCTTTTTGCTCTGCCTTGTTCTAAAGTCATCAGCAGGGACTGAGTTAGTTTCAAAAACAGGAGAAAAGCAACACAGTTTTTTCTCTGTCTCCACCCACCATCTCTTCTCAATCCTTCTCATGAAATTAAAATACCTTAAGAGACAGTTAATCATTTCTGCAAGTAGAAAGGCAACTTTCTGTGTGCTAGAAGAACAAGAAGAAAAAAGTTACTTATAAATGAGATTGCTTTCTTATATGAAATAGTAATTTCAAGATAGTAATATTATTTAAGCACCTCTTTATTAAGGAAGAAAGGAAGCAAAACTACTTCACTGCTCTGGTTTATATTTTGTACCTACGTGGTGGAATACTGAAACCTCTTTGGACACAACGGAAAGAAATGAAGTATGTCCATTGTGCCCCTTGCATCAGAGAGAGCATATTTCAGCCTTTTCAATTTCCATTGAGGCTAGAAGAAGTGAAATGATGAATATAAAAAATTCTCAGTAACACCAATGTTACTCACTATGCTGCTTAATAATGTTTTTTTATATTATTATTATTATTATTATTATTATTATTATTATTGAATCTCACTCTTTCACCTAGGCTGGAGTGCAGTTGAGCAGTCAGCTTAATGCAACCTCCACCCCCTGGGTTCAATTGATTCTCCTTCCTCAGCCTCACAAGTAGGTGGGATTACAAGCCCATGACACCATGCCTGGCTAATTTTTGTATTTTTAGTAGAGATGGTGTTTCACCACGTTAGCCAGGATGGTCTCAATCTCCTGACCTCATGATGCACTCATCTCAGCCTCCAAAAGAGCCACTGCACCCAGTAAATAATTTCTAAATCCAGTATTATAATCTACATTCCACCTCAGAGGCAGAACACCAAGTTATTCAGTTGAATTCCTTTATCTTATTACCTTGTTTCAGTCCCTTTCCCAGGTCTGTGACAAATGGCTGCCGGTCAAAACTCCCTCTTGTAGCCATGGCCCCTACTCATCTGCTTCAGCCCAACTCTACTACAGTCTTGGGTAATGGTTTGCTGACCATCTGCCTCAGTGTCTAGAAATTCAGGATGACACGAGCTTGGTTTGATTCACTGTTGTATGATCAGCCCCAAGGAAACTGCCCAGCAGAGACAGGCTCTAGATCAGGTCTTACAGAGTGGTTTCCAAAACGCATTTATTCTGGAATAAGCAAAATCAAACTTCTCAAAATCCCTTGCCTCTTTAAGTAATTCTATATGTTACTGAATGCCATGACTATACCCAAGAAACTGCTAACCAGACATTTTGGAAATATTTTTAAGATGTATTTCCAATGTTTGGGAGGGAGTAAGAGGTGGCTTTCCTTGAGAAAATTACTTTCATATTTGAGGATGAAATACTTTGGTCCCAAAAGAAAAGAGCCTGGCTGTTTGCTCATCCCTGAAACAAAGGACAAAGCTCCCACTCTTGTGGGAATTAAGGGACAGGAGAGACCAATGGGTGGAACAGGAGGATTTTATTGGGCGTACGTTGACTTAGCGGAATAACATTTAAAGACTGAGCCCTGAACAAAGATAGGGCTTGACTTTCATACATGCAACTGAAGAGGGTTGGCAGCTAATGGCATGAAATCTGCAGGATGGGCAAGCAAGCTTATAGGAGTAGAATGAAGAGAGTTTTTAAAAAAAAGTGACAGGTGTTATAACTCAGGCATGTATCATGACTTTCAATAATATATGGATGGGAAAACAGAAACCTACAAAATTTTTGTCAACTTCCAGAAGTAGTTATAAAAGTATATGTGAGAGCACATCAAAGAATAATGGTATTGGGTGAGAGTACTATAGAGGGGAAACAGATAAGAACGTGTTATTTTCACTCCTGCTCCTGGAACCCATTCTTTACAGGCCCCATCTCTGCTGATAGTGCTATCAGAGCCCCAACAGGGCCTGGCTTATCCCTGGGTTTTTGGAGTGAGTCAGCTCAGTACACAGAATATGTTTTTTTTTTTAACATTCCCTGTTTCATTTCCACCTTTCATGCTTTTTGTAAATGAGGATTAATAGAGAGAATCACCTAGTAATTCTTCAAGGGGGAGCAGTTCCCTATTTGGCAGGGGTTGATGTTTAGTTAGAGCCATTAGTTGAGTAGTCGTGTGTTTGTTTACAAGAGCCTCTATGGCTGCTTGAATGTTTTTAACAAGGAGGGTAAGAGACAAATTAGAACAAGGCAGAATCCTAGTATGGCTAGAACTATTTTTACTAAGATCTTAAATTCTTCAAAGGATGAAAACAAGCCCCCAAAGAGGGAAACTGGAGACTACCCTTTAAAAGGCTGGACTGTAACATGGGCCAATTTTTGGATTTTGGAAGTTGTATTCTTAATGATCTTTCTAGGCAGCATTTAGTTAGATTGAACTTTCCACATACCCTTCCTTCCTGGACTAGGAAGTAGTTTAAAGACAGTCTATTTCGATGAATAGCATTCTTCATTTTTGTGGCTTGTTGGGCCTGCAGATTTAGGGTCTTTGCAGTGTTATTAGTAATAATTTTCAGCACTGCCTGTAACCTTATGTTGTGGTAGAATATGTAAATAGGAGTGCAGTATCCCCAAATTCCATTTTCTGTCCAGGTGGCTGAGCCATGGTGTTGGAATTTTTAGGGGGTCATTAATTGTTTTACCAATTTCTTATGGTTATGTCTTTTGTTTGTTTGTTCTGTATTTGTTTTATAATAGACCGGATACCCTAAAGGTCCTCCCTGTCCTAAGGCGATTAGAAAGGAGACAGCCTAATTTTTTCCAGTACACTGGCCCCTGACCATTTAGCCAGCAATGGGCAATATGCCCATGGCCCACAGATCCAGTAGAGCTCAGAGGGCACCTGACGGGTATTAGGAGCGTTAAGTTGGTACAAAGAATGCTTTAAAGAAGGGAATCAGGAGAATGGGCCTGGTTGGGGCAGTTTGGAATTATTTTTACCACAACATACAGTTTTTCCTACTGTTTTATTGTAATATTATTGTTCTAGGCAAGTTGACTTTCCTACTGGGCCTGTAAGGTTTTTCTCCAACAAGAAATGCATAATATTCTGATAATGGAGGTCTTTAAGAATCAGATGCTCTGGCTTGTGAACACAGGTTCAGGGGAAGAGACAGTAAGAGTGAAGTTATCTTGGGGCATTAGCTTTCTTGCCTCCCATGGCCATTGGTGTCCCATGTTGGTCCAACCACAAACATAGCATGAGGAGATATGTAGGCTGCTGGCTATGTTTTCAGCCAGTTGAATATACATCAACTGAATAGGCTTCCATATACTTCAACTGAATAGGCTTCTGGCTAAGAGAGAGGGTTCAAACAGTTCCTGGTTGAAATTTTTACAGAATGATTTTAAAACAGAGTTTTCAGGTGTAACCATCCGAGATTTCTTGATAATATGTAAATAGGCTTTTGAGTCTGTTTTCTGGCCACTAACTTGTATTCCTAGAGGAGCCTTTAAACTTGTAGCCCATACAGCCAGATACGGTTTTAAGGTACTGAGATTTTCCAGGTAGCAAGTGCTTGCCTTACAGTTTGTTTTTGCTGTAAGTATGACTCACCCCAGTGATTGCAGGTTACAGGACTGAATTATGCAGTTCCAGCAAATTGTCTCTGAGAAACTGGCAAAGAAAGCAAGGGGTGAACATATATTTTTGTGGCAACTATTATAGTGCTCTTCAGAATTAGAGATTATGGGAAAGGTTGAGCCCATGGATGTTAACTGGCATATATTAAAGGATAAGGACATAACTCCCCAATGGGAGGATGAGACCTTGGTTTGGTGTAGCAGGTTTCCTTCTATTGACCCATGAATTTTAAAAGAGGTCTCAGGTAGGAATTTGGGGTTATAACACATATAAGTCTAGCCATTTCCTGGGTCACAGACTGAGTAGTTTCGTTGTGAGTACAAGTTTCTAGGTGGGTCCCTGTACACTTTTAATAAGTGTGATATAACAGGGTTTTGGTTATGGTGCTCCCTGACCATATTGTTAGTGCAGTGTGGGCACTCTTCTCTGGTCTCCTTTTCTGAAACAAATAAGGGGAGTATTATAGTTAGGAGGAAAAGAAGTGGGCTTAGCTTTCCTATTGCCTGGAATAGGAAATAAGTAAAGAGTAACATGTTTATACCAGGGAGGAAAAGAAGAAGTTTTTACACAGGGGAGGAGGTTGAGCAAAGTGAGAGAACAATAGTAAAACAATGATTGGATTTAAGATTTTTATCACTATTTTATTATATTTTACTCCAGCTTCAAACGTACGTACAGTAGTCAGCTTCCAGGATGACTACAGCAGGGCTGTTGACTCCTCAAGTTTTAGCTGAGAACAGACTAGTCAGCTTTCGGAATGACCAGAGTAGGGCTTCATCATTTCTCAGGGCAAATAGGTCATAGGATTAGCCAGCTCAGATGGTCTGGGTCATGTTTGCTGGTCCACTTGTCTTGGGCTGCAAGTTTTAGTTGACTGTGGTGGATCCAACGCACAATTTCTGCAATGTTAACAGCAGTGGAAGTGGACAAGGTTGCAGGATGGGGCCCATCCCATATGGGTTCTAGAGTGGTTGGATTTTATTTCTGACCTACACAGAGTCCCCAGGTCTAAAGTGGTGTGCTGTGTTTGTTGGGCTTATGGACAATCTTTCCCATACCCAGCCATGGACCTCTTGCATGGCTCTCTTTAACGCCTGCCTTTGCCTTCTTAAAGTTAATTCCCTAGTTTGCAAAGTTCACCCCTAATTTGAGCTATGATTGGGGATGGCCAGTGGAAAATAGTCCCTGAACTGTCTCGGTCACAAATTTCAGTCCATTTTCTGACCCTAGAGTTAGAGGCATTCTCAATCTGGGGATATCGTCTCTTAACAGTACTTCTGTTACTTCTCATGATTTCTCTGTTAGGGTGGGGAAAGCCTCAACTCATCCTGAAAAGGTACAGAAAATCACCAGTATGTACTTACAGCCCACTGATTGGGGCATCTCAGTGAAGTTTCTAAGAAGGTTTTCACAGGGTGTGGCTCCCATTTCCTGAATTCCCAGGGGCCAAGTGGGCCCTTGTCATGGAATGTTCTGGGCACAAGTTAGACATTGTTTGCAGACAGATCAAGTGATGACAGTGAGCTGTGGCACATAGAAATGGTGTCCTAGCAGTGTTTTCAGTGACATTTTTCCCATGTGGGTTCCTTGATGGAATTGTTTTACAAATTTTGGGGCCAGCATTTCGTGGTTGGCTAGCCTCCTATTGGAGAATTTTCACCGTCCCTTTTTATATATTTTCCAGACCCTTGGGAAAAGCAGAGCTTCTCATTTGGAGGTAACTTGAAACCTCTGAGAGGTGCATATTTGGGAGGAGAGTCAGCTATGGCTGTCTGTCTGTCTATGGGTAGTCATTGCTGCCCCTTTTGCATACCTGTCTACCTTTTTGTTCCTTTTGGCCTCCAGTGATCCTGGCTTTTGGTGCCCCTTGCAGTGCATAGCAGCTGTCTTCTTTGGAGTCCATACAGCATCTAAGAGTTGCAGAATTTTTTCTTTGTACTTTTTTTTCTTTTTGGCCCACCGCAGTTAAGAATCCTTTTTCTTTATATATAGCCCCATTATCAGGCAGCGTGGCAAAAGTATACTTGGAATCAGTATAAACATTGGCCATTTTACGTTTTGTCAGCAGAACGCTCTCATTAGGGCTATTAGCTCTGCCTTTTGGGCTGATGTTCTGGTGGGCTGAGCTTCTACCACTGAATCTAATGTTATCACTGCATACCCAGTTTCACGGACCCCTTTCAGTATATAGTATTTACCATCTGGGTCCCAGAGGGGTTGCTCTATAAGGTCTTTCTGGCTTGAGAATACATCATCTACTGTTTCCACAGAGTCATGAAGGAGGACCCCTGGTTTGACTGGGACTAAGGTAGCCAGGTTAAGGGTGTTTATTATTTCCAAAGTTATGTCGGGATTTTTGCATATGAGCCCCTGGTACTGAGTCACTCTTGGATTTGATAACTAATAGTGCGCTGTCTAATCCATTAAAGTTAGAACTGACTGTGGTATACCCAGATGGTCAGCTGTTGTCTTAGAGCTAGTTTTCTATCTTGTTGTTCCAATAGGGTGGTGTCAGCTAGTGCCCTAAGGCAAGGAGGCTATGCTAGGGCCAAGGAGTTCAATTGTGTGGATAAGTACATCACCGGGCGAATTCATGATTTCACAACTTGGGTCAGGACACCTATAGCCAATCCCTTTTATTCATGGACATGTGGAAAGAAAGGCTTACTTATATTTGGCAGTCCTATGGCTTGGGCCTGTGTTAAGGCTTCTTTGGCTTGTTTAAACACCTTCTTTTCCTGGACAGCCTCTCAAAGGAGGGGTTTCCTTTCCCCTCTCTTTGTGCCTTTATATAAGGGCTTGGCAATTAGTGAGAAATTTGGGACCCAGATACAGCAGAACCCTGCATTCCCCAAGAATTTTCCCATTTGGCACTGGGTGGTTTGAGTTGAGAGTGCATAAAGACATGGCTTTTGCTCACTGCTGAGCTGGTGTTCCCATTGGCTTACTATGAAGTCCAGATATTTGACACTTTCTTGGCAAATTTGGCCTTCTTTCTGAATACGTTATAACCAGTTTTCCATAAAGGAGATGGAGGAAGTCTTGGATTCCTTGGTATCTGCCCCCTGGGGTTGGGGCTGCTAGGAGAAGGTCGTTTATGTATTGTAGCAAGGTGTAGTTGTCATTTGGTGTGGTGAAGGCCTTGATGTCTGAGGCCAGTGTGTCTCCAAAGATTGTAGGAGTGTTTTTGAATCTTTGTGGGAGTCTAGTCCATGTGAGCTGCTCCCCTGTGCCTGTGACTCAATCGTCCCATTGAAATGCAAAGATGGGCTGACTAATTGGTGCCAGGCACAGATAGAAGAAAATATTCTTTAAGTCTAGTCAAGTAAATCAGGCAGCACTTGCCAGAATGAATCTTATTAGCATGTACGGATTTGGTATCACCAGGTGGAAGGTTACAGTAGCCTGGTTCATTTCATGTAAGTTTTGCACTGGTTTAGATTTACCAGACTCTGTATTTTGTTTTGGTAGCAGTGGAGTGTTCCAGGGTGACTCACACCAGACTACCAGACTAAGATTCTGTGTTTGAAGGGTCACTTTAAATGTTTGTGAATACCCCGCGTGTCTTCTCAGAGAAATAGGTATTGGTGAACCTGAACTGGAGTTGCTCCTGGTTTTAGCTTTACTATTATCAGTGCCTGATTTACAGCCTTTACAGCCAGGCTCAGTGGGTTATTGTTAGCCCATACTCCAAAAATTTTACCCAGTAGTGTAAACACTTTCTCCAGCCCTGGCTTATGAGACAGTTCTGGTGACTGTTTTGTCTATACTCTTCATTCCTCAGCCTGCAGAATAATGAGGGTTAACACCATGACCTTTGGGTGAGTTAGGCTTAAAGTTATATCCTCGTGTGGCCCAAAAGAAATCTGTGCTGTCAGTTTCTGGAGCAGATCTCTTCCATGTAGGGGATCTGAGCAACTTGGGAGGTATAGGAATTCATGTTGGACTTCTTGTCCCTCTATGACATACCTTCTAGGCCAGCAAGATGGCCTCCTTTCTGGATCCCTTGTAGCCCCAATAATAGTTGTATCATGTTTAGATAGTGGCCCTATGGGCTGTGTCACTACTGAGTGTTTAGAGCTGGTGTTCACCATAAAGTCCATCTGTTGCTCCCCTACTTCTACTGTGATCATGGGCTCCTGGGGACTTGGGAGATGGAGCCCGGTCTTGCATAGTCTTCCTATTTTTCGGTCTCTGCCAGCCCAATTAAGTTGATGCCTGGCTCCCTCATGGTGTGGTGGTCCTTGGCTGGCTGTTTGATAGTTTTGTGTCCTCTGTTATTTCTTTTACTACCCTCTAAACACTTATTTTTCCAGGGACCCCCTTTTTTTGCAGTGCAAATATTGATCTCTATCTAGTCTCAGCTGACTTTTGGGTCTCTGCCCTGCTTGGCCCCTTCCACATCTGAGTCTGCATCTGCATCTGCTTGTGATGATAGCTTCCCTTTCCATGAGGGCTGCCACTAGTAGATCGGCCTTCTTCCTGAGTCTCCAATCAGCCTCACTTTGTGCTTTCTGGTCACAGTTAACATACACCTTCGTGGCCAATTCTGAAAGCTGGGTGGCATTCATGCCTGCAAAACCATCTAGCTTTTGCACTTTTCATCTTATGTCCCCCTGGGCTTGTCCTACAAATGCTGCATTTACTATCTGCTGGTTCTTATCCTTGGGGTCAAATGGAGTGTAAAGCCAGAATGCCTCAAACAGTTTCTAATAAAACTTGCTAGGGCTCTCGTCAGTTTCTTGAAGCACTTCTGAGATTTTTTCTATATTGATTACCTGTTTTCTGCCTTCCTTTAGCCTTTGCAAGAGTGGTTTTCAGTATGCCTGCAGATGCTGAAACTGGTCAAATCATCTGGGTCCCAGTGGGAGTGTGCTTCTGGGAACTGGACCTGAGAGTATGCCTGGAAATTAAATGTGCCTTCTGGCACATGGGCTTCTGGCCAGTTGAGGGCTGAATGAGCCATCCTTCCATGCTCTTTGGTGTTAAACAGCATCAGGAGAAGATGTTTACTATCTGGACAAATTGAATTATGTGTCTGGAAAATGGACTGTATCAGATCTATGAGGGCCAGGGGCTTCTTCATGTAGGAGAGAATATGGTGTTTCCAGTTAGGGGATCAGTGATTGAAATAGGCTGGTAGATAAGGGTCCATTTCCCCCCTTACGTATGGCCATATTCATCAAAGTAGAGGCCTCCCCAAGTCTCCTTGAAAGGCATCTGCAGAACCAGGGCATGGCCATAGCAGAGGCAGCTCACTTGATTATTCTGACACTCCTCCTTGACCTCCTGGGGCAGGGGCTCTGATTTCTCCCTTTGGGGTGAAACCCAGGGTGTGTCACCATCTGAATTTGACTCCTCATGGGCCATTGGCCTTGGTAAAAGGGGGCTAATTGGGGTATAGGGAGGAGGGATTTCTGTCTCTTCTGGTGGTTTCCACAAAGCCAGTTTTTCTTGCCCTTCTTATGGCTTTCCCTTTTTCTCCATTGCTGCTGGTGAAGCTGATTCCTCTTTCACTTTAGGCTCAGCTTGAGCAACAAGCGTTTTGCAGTAAGCCATCAGGAAAGACTGTAGCCATGCTGGTTGGGATGATATTTAGCCATAAGTCAATATAAAAAAATTGGTCTGGATACCCTGGCTATTCTCTGACCCCAGTCACCACTTGATGTGCATGGTCAATTATTCCCCATCTATTGTTCCTTCAGCTGGCCACCCAACACTAAAATAGGGCTTCTCTATTTTACAAAGACTCTTTTACCTCTGGGGAGTCGACTTGATACTACAATTCCCAGTGTAACATTTCTTAAACTTTTTAACGTGTATTCTAATATGGTGGGTTTTGACAACTTCCCTCACATCTCCTCCCAGTTATAGTGTCATACACTTACTCTTTTACTTTTGCTTCAGAATGATTAGACCACCTCTCCTGTGGGAGTATTTCAGATGATGCTTAGCTTTAATGGATGGTTTGTATAACCCCTGAACCCAGACCACCACAATCACTAAATTGTGTGGTGCCTGACTAAGCCATATGTGGTAGTTCCGGAGGACATATGCCAGTAATCCTGGTTGGTCCCACACTTCACTTGGGACATATGGTCTATGCTAAGAGACTTGCAGCCCCACATACATCGCCCTACTCTTGCACATGCATTCACACAGTTTCCACTCTCAGTTCCTCTTCAGAGGTTATGGTGTAGGTTTCATCTGAATTAGAGAGCAAATCTTGTGTCCTGATTTGGATAACTAGATACGCACTGGGAGGTGATCAGACTCCCATTCCATCTTTATGGTATGGGTCCTTCCTTGGGCCCCAAACCTTCCCATGGTTCAGCAGCATGCTGTCCCTGGAATTGTCCTGTAGCCCCTTAAGTTCCATTGTGCTTTCGGGGGGTGCACAGGGTCACAGGACATCTGGCCTCTCTTTCAGGTTGAAGTTCTTCTGATGGTGCACCTGGGGTCACAGGTCTTTCCTGGCCTGGAGCTCCAGTCTGACAGGCAAAAGAAACAGCATACCTGTTGTCTCCAATCCTGGATGAGCTCCCAGAAAATGTTGCAGGAATTAAGGAATAGTAGAGACCAGTGGGTGGAAAAGAAGAATTGTATTGTGTGCACCCTGATTTAACAGATTAACATTTAAACACTGAGCCCCAAACAAAGACAGGGCTTGACTTTTGAGTAGCTTGGATATTCTCTCTAGAAGTGTTCTTTGGATTTGTGTGTTGGTAGGTCATCCTCTTCTGGTTCATTGACTGGGAGAAAACAGTATTTCCTTGAAGCCCTTTTTATCTGTGCCTATTGGACTTTGTCAATTAGAAGCTTCTACAGTCCATCATCTGGGATACATGAAAGACCTAAAAATCCCAGTAAATTTACATACTGTCACTCTTCAAGTTGTGAAGTCCCTAGAGAAAATGTCTTTCTCTTTCTACTTTTCAGAGTCTGTGTTTCCCTTCTGACATTATGTCAGAAACATTGGTGTGTTGCAGTGTAACTGGGAATTCTAAAAAGTGAAAGTTATAGAAAGGCTTTTAAAGTATCATGCAAAGAAATCATAGGAAGATAATATTACAGAGAATGGCATGATTAGATATACCTACAATGAACTGATTGTATAAAATAAAGTTTTCACCAAAATTAAATAATCTCAAAGAAGTTTTTATAATATATGTGAAATATATGTGAAATAGCCAATGATTTATAGCATATAAATAATATAGGACAGTGAAGAAAAGATAGAATACCTTCCATACACTTGGAAAAATAATACCATTGGCAATGTTTTCAGAAAATGTAAGCAAAAATATGTCTTGCTTCAACTGCAGAAGGGATATAGTAATAACACCTTTCTCAGAGGTTTTCTTTGTTAAGTAACAAGTGATTTGATAGAAATCAAGCACTTATTTCTAGCTCTCTGGAGCAAAGTGAAAATTTGCAAAAGCAACTCTCATGACACCCAGAGACTATAAGTGTAAGACAAAATTATTTTTTAAAAATTCAAACTCACTATCAAGAAAAACATCATTTCTGAGGTTTGGACTCCAATAATATTGGTTGAGATTAACCTTAGTAGTTTGTTGAAGTAGTCAATTGAAGAGTAAAGTTGGATATACTCCCAGGAAAGAAACCATTTCTTTGTTCAAGAGGGCTGGACCCCCTGCCTAAATCATTGGTGAAAGTTCATATTGCTCAGACATTTAGTGGGAACATTTGAGTCAATACTGAAAGCCATGCCCACAGATACTGGGATCTAACACAGAATGAGGTTTTTACTCAAAGCCATGACTTAAAATTTCATATCTCAACCTCTATCCAGTGTGATATTCTAGACTGAAGAGATGATTTTCATATTACCTGAAAGATACAACTACCTTAAAATAAGAAACTGGAATAAAATACTAGATTGAACAATTAAGTTCTTAAAAACCTGAAAAGATTAACATAAAACTGCCCACCCACCAATAATAACTTTACATTTAAAAGGTTAACTTTCATTTACCACTTCAAAGACAACATTGCAAAATCAATGTTGGAAGTTCCATGCCCTAAGAGATAGTCAAGATGCTTAGGGGTCACCCTCAAAAATGAAAAGTTAAATCAAAAGAGTCTTCATAATAACTAGGGTTAGGTGTTTTTGGGGATGAAGAAATGGAATCTAAGGGAAAAACAAGTGGGTAACAGGATACAAATTTTTTAAATAGACAATTATTCATCATTGTCTAAATGAAGCATATATTAAGGGAAATCAAATAATTTTTTTTTTTTTTTTGACGTGGAGTCTCGTTCAGTCACCCAGGCTGGAGTACAGTGGCACGATCTCGGCTCACTGCAAGCTCCGCCTCCCGGGTTCATGCCATTCTCTTGCCTCAGCCTCCCAAGTAGCTGGGACTACAGGCGCCCGCCACTATGCCTGGCTAATGTTTTTTGTATTTTTAGTAGAGACGGGGTTTCGCCGTGTTAGCCCGGATGGTCTTGATCTCCTGATCTTGTGATCCACCCGCCTTGGCCTCCCAAAGTGCTGGGATTACAGGCGTGAGCCACCGCGCCTGGCCTGTTTGTTTTTTATACAGAAGATTCAGCATAAATATAGCAAGAATAAGTAATTTCCTAAGTAGATGTGAAAGTAAGGTTGCCAGATGTAGGGGGAAAATACAGGAATTTAAATATCACATTTTAATTTGAAATTTGGCAATGTATTGACAAACAACAAAGAATTATATTTCAGTATAAGTCTGTCCATGCAATATTGAGAATATTACTAAATTACAAAGCTATTGAGAATTATACTAAAATGCTGTTTGTTGTTTATTTAAAATGAAAATGTAACTGGGAATCCTTCATTTTATCTGGTGGCCATACATGAAAGGGAAGTTATGAAAGTTGAGCTCAGATTAGGAAACTTTCATCTGCATTTAAAAAAAACACCATGAGACAAAAATGTTTAGAAAGGGCAACAGGCAGAATACAAAAATTATCTCTACACAGAATATTATTCCACATATGTTTTTGTTACTTAGAGATACATTTTTCAACTTATGAAGACTATGCAAATATCAAAGACCTATCAAAACACCAAGGAAAAGAAGAATAAAGGTTTCCTTGTTTCCTTTTTTTAGCAAGAAGAATAAATATCCAAATGAAAGAGGTATTACAAGAATTTTTTATGAGGCTAATAAATGTGTTACTTTGTTAGAAAAAAGTTAACTAACTGGGTTCTACTGATAAGCTAAGAAAGTTTAGAAATATCGTGACAAATGTCAAAAGCAGGAAAAGAAATAAATATGAGTAAGAAAATTAAATCAACACAATTAGGAAAATAGGTGGCAGGTGGGGAAGGGGAGAGAAGAACTAAGGCAGATATGCCAAAGCAGAGACAAAGAAAATCTAGGGTAGAACAACTCTCTAATCAGATATTAGTTAGAGAGCTATGAGAGTAACCATATTAGATGTAAACGGTTTATATTTCTGTGTTAAAATATAAAGTACTCTAATATTAGATTGAGAAAAAATTGCTTTTACCTAGAAATAATCACCCTGAAATATTGAAAATAAAGGTTTAGAGAAAATCAACAGGTATTTATCAAAAAAGTAAGGTCACTGATATTATACAAGGCAAAGGAGAGTTTTAAGGAAAATACAAACAATAAAGAGGGATAATAAAATATAATTTATAAGGTAACAGACAAAATAAGAAATATCAAAATATGAAAATATATTTTAAAGATAATATAACAGTCACAAATTTAAATGTCTCAGCAGCATTGTCTCAACCTACACCTGAGGCAAATTTTATGAATATCTATTTATGTAGACAAATCCCAATTGTAGTGAGAGGTGTTTAATATATTACTCACTTAGACTGATGAGTATACAGAAATTTAATAGTTAATAGATATACTTTGCAATGTTTATGTACTTACTTTTCTTCAGTTTTTTAAAGTGAAGCCTAGTAGTAGAGCACATTTTCAGGATTTGACAGCTCTGCTAGTAGAGAAAGAATTAATACAGAATAACCCTCATCCCCTTTAACATCAAGTCTATCTAATCTAAGTAGCACCTTGCTTTACCTTCTGACATGCTTACTAGTCATCATGCTCAACCTTCTTTTCCAGATCCACTTTCTCATGATACTGTCTTCTAACTGGCTTACATGGATGCCAGCAAAATGCAGGCTTACCAGGGTATCAAAGCAAAGAAAGAACACGAACTGCAAGATATCCAGTTTCTCTAAAAGGAGTAACTCACTTCTTACACATAAATGTTTGCCAGAGTGTTTCAGCCAACACATTGACAGCTCTGACAAATTATCAGACAACTGCTCTGCATTACAGATGTATATCCCACCAAACTAAAGTAGACGTTCAAACACCTTTCTGTCTCAAGCTGCTGAGATGTAGCTCCCGGAATACCTTCCAGTGAGTACATCTTTTTCTTTAGAGCAAATATTGCAGGTTATATGTTAGCAATTTTAAAAGGTAACACTTTGACAAAATGACCTTTCACTCTGGAAATTTGTGGCACATTCACATTTGCTGCTAGAACATTTCTCTCAAGACACTCAATGGAATATGTGATACTCTTTGATAAGGACCTGTGACATGCCAGCATCAAAAGATGAGACGATAAATTCATATATATGCTATCTATTCTCAAATAAGTGTTACCTACATAGGAAATAAAGTGAAATTGGTGTGAAGTTTCAATTCTGACAGCTGGCACTTATTAAACTTTGGCGCATAAGTAACGTGATTCATCTCATGACTTTTTAAATTAGCTTTCTCTCCGAAGTCCGTGTCCCATTAATTTCCTCAGCCAAGAAGAAAATATTTTTCAATAATCCTAAAAGTAGGTACAATTCTGCTGACTCTACTAGATACTCTAAAAAATCTAGATTCAGACTCATTGACAAGAATTCCAGAAGCACTTTTATAATAGGTTTTATTTCAACAAAATACTGATCTAGTTTTTATTATCCTTGAGAAATAAATGTCATCTCTGCCTTAAAGAGTATTTGGTATACATTTTTCAGAATTTATATCAAAACCAATGACCTAAATATCTTTCACAGAATTTCGTTCTATGTATTTTTTTAAATTAAGAATTTTTACCTCACCAAAACAACCACCAGTTTAAACTATTTTTCAGTGCTCTGGGTAAACAGTTTCACATCCACTATCTAAAACCTAATTTCAAATTGGCCAAAGATCTGTAACCTTTGACTTCTATAGACTTGAAGATGTAAGTAATTTAAATTAGGGTTGGTATTTCATTTTCTTCTTATCTAAATCTTAATTCCTTGGAATAACAAAGTTTGGTGTTGCATAAGAAAACTTCCTGAGTTTAAGACATTTTCAAAAGAAATTTGCCTTCTGCCTTATTGTATTCCAGATATTCAGTGACTATAGTTACAGTGTGTTAGTGATGGTAAATTCTGTGCAGTTCTTTATGAAATACTCTACATAACTGTTAGGTACATCAGTGTTTTTCAAATGGGCTGCTTAATACAGGATCCATTGTGTATATTCACCTTAAAATTTAACTTGTGATTTGGCTGTTTCCTGGATTTGAGAGCACCACATGTGCAGAAATGTACTCAAAATTAAGAAAGGAAGTACAATTTTATATGGATGCTATTAAATTTGAACATCAAGTATCACATGTATCAGTGGGTTTTTCTTTTTTTTTATTTTTATTTTTTTGGTTACTCTATAAAAATGCCTGTTTGGGATTTTTTAATTTTAACTGAGAGAAGTTCTCTTCTGTATAGAACAAATATTCCAAAATAGTTACGTGTTTTGTTTTCCTGTTGCATGACAAAATTAACTATTATTTCCAGCAATGGTGGTGCCTTCAGAGTCCAGTATTGCAGAAGATGTAGTGCCTCAAGTCTAATTTTAACTTTCTAATTCTGGTAGCTATTGTCAGAAACTTTTGAAAGCTTTGTTTATGTAGCCTTATTTTTTATGTAAAGAGAATTAAATTTTGCTATGTATAATTTTTTGTAATCTAACAGTTAATCCACATTGTCAATCAGTGTCAAGGGCTTCCTATTGTTCTACTCAAGTGTTACAATAAGTATTTGTAGATAATAGTTAATCCTTGTCTATGCTTATTTTAAAGATCTATATTGGTGAAAATAGTTGTGGATATATTAAGAGAAATGAAATAAAAGTATAGCTTCATTCACTTGCCTTTTTACTTTATACAAATCTTATCTTTCTTTTTCCCTAGTATGCTGTGACTTTTGAATAATGTGCGTAGTAAAGATTTCACACTGGTGTGGTAGTCAAGTCTGTGAGTGCTACTTGGTTTATTTCTGGAAAATTTTCTTCAGCCATTTAAGAAAATATTATAATCTACCGGGCTGTACTGGGTATAAAAGTGCCAAAAGCACTTCTGTAGTTTTCTGTATATAGTAAGTACTTTCCTGACTAGTTTTGAAACAAATAAAAGCCACCTACCTATGAGATTAACAAGGCTTAAACTTGTGCAAATTACAAGCAATCAGTGCCCATGTGTAGTTGTTTATTTTTCAAATCGATGGTATAAAAATTGAAAGATTTACTCAGAAATATAGAGCAACCAGTTCTAACAATTACTCTCTAGAGTTGCAGAGCTAAATATGTTACTCAGAGTATTATTATATAATGTTTTTCAACTCCTTATTTGTCAATATAATTCTGAATTTGGATTGTCTGCATCTGACCTTTTTTAGTGAGGCCTAGCCTTTGTCACTATTGACACATGCCTACTCTTCATTGAGGTGCTGACTCTGGATCATCATCCTTTATTCATACATGACAGAAAAACAGTCAACAGTTCAATTAGTGTGCTATTTGTCACCTTCCTTTCTTCCTACTTTTAAGTAGCATTTTGTGCAATTATTTAAGTCACATGAATAGACAGGAAACTAAATAATACATAGATGTGATCACAGGCAGCCTCTAAATTATCCACAGTGATTCTGCCAAAAAACCTAGGACAATCTACAGGTTTCAGTAGAGATTTTTTTTTCCAGTTCTGCATTGTAAACGTTGATTTTTAGAAAATAAAAATGAAATCAATTGTAAAGAAGGAGCCGTGTGTTTTAAAATTAATGAAACACTTGAAGCCCATTCATTAAGTATGAGGACCAATGGTTCCACAATAAAGATGCTATCTCAGTACCTTCCTGCTGCAATAACACAATACATTGGACTGGGTAACTTATAAAACCAGAAGTAAATTTCTTACAGTTTTAGAGACTGAGAAGTCCAAGATCAAGGCATTGATGGTCTCCATGTCTGGTGAAGGCCTGGTCTCTGCTTCCAAGACGGCACCTTGTTGCTGCCTTCTCTAGAGAGGACAAATACAGTGTCTTCTAATGGTGGAAGGGCTAAAAAGCTTTGTTAGTTCCATTGAGTTCTTTTATAAGGTCGCTAATTGCTCTCTTATTTGCCTCCCAAAATCTTGAATTTTTACTTCTACCATTCTGGGGTGTTTAAATTCCAACATATAAATTCTGGAGGGACACAATTACTAAAGCCACAGGCATCAAATGCAAAGACCAGAGGCAATATTGTACTATTTCTAATGCCTAGAAAAATCTGTATTTTAGTGTTCAGGTAGAAAACAGAAATGTGCTGGGAAAAATGGCCTCTTGTTTTACAGAAGGCAGCCCAGCTCTTCAGAGGAAAGAACACAGCTTACCCTTCCCAAATATAGGCCTAGATTTGACAAATAAGATAGGTTAAACACATTTAAAAATTTGAGACCAAAATAAGAATGTTTTTTAAAAAGAACAGCTCCTTTTAGTGTAATGAATGAGACATTTTATGACTGGAAAAGGGGTTTCACTTGACTCGATTATTCTTGGTTCATACACTATAGTATCAAATGCAATTAGGAAAAAACAAATACACTGGATTACACAGTGATTTCTATCGAGAGTTTTGTCTGATGACAGAGAAACATTTACAAAGGGGTAAATGTTATGTATCTTCTCATTATATTTGCAATAGAAGCTGGAGAGCAAACCTGGTTTTCAAGAGTGATCTGGTCCTTCATGAGAAAATCCTGTTCAATTACCAAAGGGGAGACAAAAATTAAAACGTAAAAATTTTGAAAATTTGTGTCAGATTTATTTGGTATCTTTGTAATGTTCTCAATTTATTTTCTGGGGAGTTTCTGGTCTTGCTTATCAATTATATTAGGATCAATTTCACAAGTTAGAAAATCCAATCCTTTCTTTTTATAGTCAGTAATTCTGACTGATTCAATAACTTCTTACAGGCAACCTCAAATTTCTAACCATTTCTTTTGGCTGAAAAAATAAGCAATTAACCGTTCACACATAAAACACAGTGTGGGGAAACCAAGTCCATTTCAACTTTGTCACTAGATTGAAGCATGTCTATAGGGAGCCTTCCTGAATCACCTTTCTTGAGCTCTGATTACCTGGGGGAAAGGGAAGAATTTTGAAATTAGGTATGCATTAATTTTATGAAATACTTGGCTAAGAACCATTTTTGAAACATACATGTAATTTGAAAGCCTAAAAAAGCAGTGATTTATAAACACAAAATTTAGCAAGCACATCAAAATAAACCATAAGGTATGCATTTAACACCATGATGCTTCTGACATATAAAATATTAATGTCAGTACTAATGTCCTTGTTATATGATAATAGTTTTTTTTCTCTTGGTCCTAAAACAGTGAACCACCCTACCTTACAAATTTTGACAAACTAAAATCTCTTAAATATTTTATCTTAAGAATGAAATATTTTATCTTAAATGTTTATCGGAAGAGTAATACCTTTAAAAGACTCGAGGTTCCATCTGAACTTTCGATTTTTTATGCTTTTCACCTTTTTGTCTTCAATGGAGAAGAAAGATTACTTGGATGTGCATTCTTGTTTCGAGAAGTAAAAATAAACCACAGAAGCCCTGTGTGTCCCCGCCCACAGTGTGTGTGCCAGTGAACTAATTTTTCATAATGGAAGTCATTCCTATCATCAATGGAAAACAAATAGATCATCTCAATGAAGGAAGCCATTAATTTCCCTCAAGTGTCCTGCGCTTTAGATTTGAATTAACCAGGAATCCAGGGAACATTCTTATGTTACAGTAATTCAAGCAAGACTTAACAAGGTTGTTAAGTGGACAGAGTAATCCATCTGATAGGACAAGAATCAGAATACAGATGTGAAGAAGAGAACCTGAGGAAAAAGGGGTGCAGCATACGCCCCTGGAAGCAAACTTGGACTGGCAGCCATCTCCACCTTTGGGTTCTTCTAGTACCAGCTAGCTGACACTGACAGCCTCTTCCTTAAACTCTGATTTCAAAGCAACATTCTGAAGCAAAGCACAGTCTACTTTTTTACAGCCTTATTTAAGGATCAGATGAGAATGCACAAAAATTACCTTCAAAAACAACCATTTACTACCAAACTCCTAAGCTGCATATTCTACACAGCATTTCTCACTGCTTGTAAGACAAGAAGAGGACAGGGATTCCTTTTCGGGCACCTGCCACTCCTCTGAATTTGGACACTAATTGACTCCCTTCACTCACCTCAATGTAGTTACTAAAGGTGAACAATGCAGCAACTTGTACAGAGAATTAAGTCATAATTATTACCCTTTCTTGATCCAGTTTTTCTAGTTCCCTCTGTTCCCTTTCTAAAATGTAGGTTACTCTGCCTTTTTTTCTTCTCTCTGCCTTCATTCTTTCACTTGCTGTTTCCACATTTTTTTCTTCTTCCTTTTGTTCTTCAATTTCTTTCTGATCTAGATCTAATAGAACAGAAAATAAAGAATTGCTGCCTGTATCACATTGTTCAAATGAATGCAGGACCATTCTGCAGGAGTCCTTGCCAAGATCCGGAGAGACTCTGCTGGGCTTTTGGTTGACATGTGACCTGCTTCAAGTTGCTCTTCCCTGTTCATTGACTTCAGGCCCCCAATCCCACTCCTTGCCACTGCATTCCACTTCACTTGGCTGAGATGAATACAAGTCACCCTCATCATGGCCGACTCCAACTGACATATCCTCCCTCCATGTCACAGGTTCTTGTCCTTTACACAGATCTCCTTTCTCTTCTTGAAAGCAAAGCCTACATTTCAACCTCTGCCTTTCATTATAATACCTCTCCTATCTGTATGACCCTGACTGAGCCACTGATCCCTATTTCTATACAGATCAGTTTTATAATTCTTACTCCCATAAAGATGCTCAACTCTGTTCTACTCTGAAAAACAGAACAGACATCAAACCCCTGCACTCCCCCAGCCATTCTAGCCATCTCACTGTTCATTTCCCACTTCCTCCAAATGGACAGCAGCCCTTCCTGGGGTTTTCACTATTATTCAGATAAGGATCCTTTCCATATCTTTTCCTCTATTCCTGCTCTCTTCACCTACCCTTGCATCCACAGTTCTGATAGTTTTCTACTATACACATGTGAAATCCCCACAATACCAGCTTCATCATGGGTGTGATCATTCTAGTTTTTTGTTTTGTTTTGTTTTTTTGTTTTTTGTTTTTTTTTTTTTTGTCATGCTCTTTCCATACTCCATCTGCCC
The DNA here is from genome assembly GCF_000001405.40 of Homo sapiens. NCBI lineage: Eukaryota > Metazoa > Chordata > Mammalia > Primates > Hominidae > Homo > Homo sapiens. The sequence goes on from NC_000024.10 coordinate 22,583,588, forward strand.
AGCAACCAGCGCTGGCACATTCATATTCCCTGTATTTCAGCTGCAACAGGGGTCTTCCACACCATCTCCCTGAAATACTTAAACAGCCCAGTCAGGACTCTCCTTGAAGTCAGTCTGTACCTTCTAGTAACTTGTGATCATTTCTACCAGGCATTTCCTGAGGCATTTCCTGTGTATCTGCTGTGCAGTGTCTCTGCTCTGGTAGAATTCAACACCATGGTAGTATGGGCTCCAATAATCTGCCTTTATCTTTCCATATCGATTTCCTGTAACACCACCAGCTTTGTACTAGAAATATTTCATCTCTCTCAACCCACTCACTGGGGCCTGGCCATGGCTGTGTCTTCCTTGCTTGTCATTTGCCTTTACTGTATCCTCAGCCTGTATTAATCCCATGCTGTCATAAAGCCTGATATGACCTAACTGAAATGATAAAACCTAACTGAAATGTCATCTCCTCCTTATTTCTGAAGGGACAAGTAACCAAACCAGTCCAGCACCTTACTTGCACGATATCTTGCACCTGCTTCTTGAAAACCTACAGATACTTGTTTCGTCCACTTCTATTTTATCCAGGGAATGCCCATGTTTTAATAAATTGTCTCTTCCCTTTGCATCTTGGCACAGATCTCTGCATCTCACATGTTTAATTACATCTCATGCTCAGAAACAATTTTACTGACCTTTCTCTTCAAGTTCTGACACGTAACTTATTTTTTTATAAAGCTAGCAATGCTAATAACAAGAAAAATTCATAGGCTTACAGGAGGATTCTGCACCCTTTTGCTCTTCCTTATTTTAAAGTCATCAGCAGGGAGTTAGTTAGTTTCACGAATAAGAGAGAAGCAACACAATTTTTTCTCTCATTACCACCCATCTCGTCTCAATACTTCTGATGAAATTAAAATACAAAAAGGGACAATTTCTGCAGACAGAAATGCAACTTCCTCCTTGTTTAAAGAAGAAACAAAAGTTACTCTAAAGTGAGATTGCTTTCTTATGTGGAATAGTATTCTCAAAATAGCAATGTTGTTTAAGCACATTTATATTGAGAAATAAATAGGAAGAACAAACTACTTTTCTACTCTGGTGTGTATTTTGCACCTGTATGGTGGAATACAGAAATGTCTTTGGACACAAAGGCAAAGAAATAAAGTATGTTTATTGGGTACCTCATAGCAGAGACAACAAATTTCAGCCTTTTCCATATCATCTGTGCCCATGCAGAGGTGAAATGATGAATATAAAAATTTCTCAATAACAACTATGTTACTCGCTATGCTGCTTAAAAATTTTAAGGCAAATATTATAATGTACATTCTCTCTGAGAGGTAGAACACCTTGTTACTCAGTTGATTTCGTTTATTCTATCATGTTATTTTTATTCCCTTGCTTAGGCCTGTGAAAAATGGCTGCCTGTCAGAAACTCCCTCTTGTGGCCATGTCACCTATGCATCAGCTGCAACCGGTTTCTTCTGCAGTCCTGGGTAATGGCTTGCTGACCATCTGCCTCAATGTCTAGAAATCAGGAAGACAAAGGCTTGGTTTGGTTCACTGTTGTATGTTCAGCCCCAAGGAAAGTGCCCAGCAGACAGAGGCTCTAGATCAAGTCTCACTGAGTGCTTTCCAAAGCAGATTTACTCGGGAATCAGCAAAACACAATTTCTCAAAATCCCTTGCCTATTTAAGTAATTCTATGTGTTCCTCAGTGCCATGAATACACCCAAAAAACTGCTAACCAGACGTTTTGGTAATGTTTTGAAGAAGATGTATTTTCAATATTTGTGGGGAACAAAGAGGTGGCTTAACTTGAGAAATTATCTTTCATATTTGAGGATTAAACACTTTGATCCCAAAAGAAAGGATCCTGGATGTTTGCTCAGCCCTGGAACAAAAGTGCAAAGCTCCAACATCTCTCTTCCCATCTCCCTCCATCTCCAGCAAGGAAAGTTGGTAATCTTAAAGAAGGCTGGAATAAGAAAGTGGGACAGACAAGAGAAGTCTGATGGCCAGTTTTTGTATAGTGCTAAGTTAAACCAGTGTTACAGCTTTTCCAAAAATTGAAATACGAAATCTATTTCCCCAATTCCTTATTTTTTTTTACTTTTTTTAAATATTATACTTAAATTCTACAGTACATGTGCATAATGTGCAGGTTTGTTACATATGTATACATGTGCCATGTTGGTGTGTTGCACCCATTAACTCATCATTTACATTAGGTATGTCTACTAATGCTATCCCTCCCCGCTCCCCACACCCCAAGACAGGACCTGCTGTGTGATAGTCCCCTTCCTGTGTCAAACTGTTCTCGTTGTTCAAGTCACACCTACGAGTGAGAACATGTGGTGTTTGGTTTTTTGTCCTTGTGATAGTTTGCTGAGAATGATGGTTTCCAGTTTCATCCATATCCCCACAAAGACATGAACTCATCTTTTTCTATGGTTGCATAGTATTCCGTGGTGTATATATGCCACATTTCCTTAATCCAGTCTATCATTGATGGACATCTGGGTTGGTTCTAAGTCTTTGCTATTGTGAATAGTGCCGCAATAAACATACGTGTGCATATGTCTTCATAGCAGCATGATTTATAATCCTTTGCGTATATACCCAGTAATAGGGATGGCTGGGTCAAATGATATTTCTAGTTCTAGATCCTTGAGGAATTGCCACACAGTCTTCCACAATGGTTGAACTAATTTACTGTCCCACCAACAGTGTAAAATTGTTCCTATTTCTCCACATCCTCTCTAGCACCAGTTGTTTCCTGACTTTTTAATGATCACCATTCTAACTGGTGTGAGATGGTATCTCATTGTGGTTTTGCTTTGCATTTCTCTGATGGCCAGTGATGATGAGCATTTTTTTCATATATCTGATTGTTGCATAAATGTCTTCTTTTGAGAAGTTTCTGTTCATATCCTTCACCCACTTTTGGATGGGGTTGCTTGTTTTTTTTCTTGTAAATTTGTTTGGGTTCTTTGTAAATTCTGGATATTAGCCCTTTGTCAGATGAATAGATTTCAAACATTTTCTCCCATTCTGTAGGTTGCCTGTTCACTCTGATGGTAGTTTCTTTTGCTGTGAAGAAGCTCTTTAGTTTAATTAGACACCATTTGTCAATTTTGGCTTTTGTTGCCATTGCTTTTGGTGTTTTAGGCATGAAGTCCTTGCTCATGCCTATGTCCTGAATGGTATTGCCTAGGTTTTCTTCCAGGGTTTTTATGATTTTAGGTCTAACATTTAAGTCTTTAATCCATCTTAAATTAATTTTTGTATAAGGGGTAAGGAAGGAATCCAGTTTCAGCTTTCTACATATGGCTAGCCAGTTTTCCCAGCACCATTTATTAAATAGGGAATCTTTTCCCCACTTCTTGTTTTTGTCAGATTTGTAAAAAATCAGATGGTTGTAGATGTGTGGTATCATTTCTCAGGGCTCTGTTCTGTTCCATTCATCTATATCTCTGTTTTGGTACCAGTACCATGCTGTTTTGGTTACTGTGGCCTTGTGGTATAGTTTGAAGTCAGGTAGCGTGATGCCTCCAGCTTTGTTCTTTTGGCTTAGGATTGACTTGGCAATGCGGGCTCTTTTTTGGTTCCATATGAACTTTAAAGTTTTTTTTTCCAATTCTGTGAAGAAAGTCCTTGGTAGCTCGATGGGGATGGCACTGAATCTATAAATTACCTTGGGCAGTATGGCCATTTTCACGGTATTGATTCTTCCTACCCATGAGCATGGAATGTTCTTCCATTTGTTTGTATCCTCTTTTATTTCATTGAACAGTGGTTTGTAGTTCTCCTTGAAGAGGTCCTTCACATCCCTTGTAAGTTGGATTCCCAGGTATTTTCTTCTCTTTGAAGCAATTGTGAATGGGAGTTCACTCATGATTTGGCTCTCTGTTTGTTATTGGTGTCTAATAATGCTTGTGATTTTTCCACATTGATTTTGTATCCTGAGACTTTGCTGAACTTGGTGATCAGCTTAAGGAGTGTGAGATGGTATCTCATTGTGGTTTTGATTTGCATTTCTCTGATGGCCAGTGATGATGAGCATTTTTTCATGTGTTTTTTGGCTGCATAAATGTCTTCTTTTGAGAAGTGTCTGTTCATGTCCTTCGCCCACTTTTTGATGGGGTTGTTTGCTTTTTTCTTGTAAATTTGTTTGAGTTCATTGTAGATTTTGGATATTAGCCCTTTGTCAGATGAGTAGGTTGCGAACATTTTCTCCCATTTTGTAGGTTGCCTGTTCACTCTGATGGTCGTTTCTTTTGCTGTGCAGAATCTCTTTAGTTTAATTAGATCCCATTTGTCAATTTTGGCTTTTGTTGCCGTTGCTTTTGGTGTTTTAGACATGAAGTCCTTGCCCATGCCTATGTCCTGATTGGTAATGCCTAGGTTTTCTTCTAGGGTTTCTATGGATTTAGGTCTAAGGTTTAAGTCTTTAATCCATCTTGAATTGATTTTTGTATAAGGTGTAAGGAAGGGATCCAGTTTCAGCTTTCTACATATGGCTAGCCAGTTTTCCCAGCACCATTTATTAAATAGGGAATCCTTTCCCCATTGCTTGTTTTTCTCAGGTTTGTCAAAGATCAGATAGTTGTAGATATGCAGTGCTATTTCTGAGGGCTGTTTTCTGTTCCATTGATCTATATCTCTGTTTTGGTAACAGTACCATGCTCTTTTGGTTACTGTAGCCTTGTAGTATAGTTTGAAGTCAGGTAGTGTGATGCCTCCAGCTTTGTTCTTTTGGCTTAGGATTGACTTGGCGATGCAGGCTCTTTTTTGGTTCCATATGAACTTTAAAGTAGTTTTTTCCAATTCTGTGAAGAAAAGCATTGGTAGCTTGATAGGGATGGCATTGAATCTCTAAATTACCTTGGGCAGTATGGCCATTTTCAGGATATTGATTCTTCCTACCCATGAGCATGAAATGTTCTTCCTTTTGTTTGTATCCTCTTTTATTTCATTGAGCAGTGGTTTGTAGTTCTCCTTGAAGAGGTCCTTCACATCCCTTGTAAGTTGGATTCCTAGGTATTTTCTTCTCTTTGAAGCAATTGTGAATGGGAGTTCACTCATGATTTGGCTCTCTGTTTGTCTGTTGTTGGTGTATAAGAATGCTTGTGACTTTTGTACATTGATTTTGTATCCTGAGACTTTGCTGAAGTTGCTTATCAGCTTAAGGAGATTTTGGGCTGAGACAGTGGGGTTTTCTAGATATACAATCATGTAGTCTACAGACAGGGACAATTTGACATCCTCTTTTCCTAATTGAATACCCTTTATTTCCTTTTTTTTTTTTTTTTTTTTTTTGAGATGGAATCTTACCCTGTAGCCCAGGCTGGAGTGCAGTGGTGTGATCCTGGCTCACTGCAAGCTCCACCTCACAGGTTCATGCCATTCTCCTGACTCAGCCTCCAGAGAAGCTGGGACTACAGGTGCCTGCCACCATGCCCGGCTAATATTTTGTATTTTTAGTAGAGATGGGGTTTCACTGTGTTAGCCAGGATAATCTCAATCTCCTGACTCATGATCTGCCCACCTCAGAAGAAATACATTCTCTAAAATCACTCATTTTAAATCTGATAAGTTAATGATGTATTTATGAGCTTAGCTCAAACTCTGAAATTTGTCATGCTGAGATTTTTAAAAGTAAACAGACACAACCATAAAAAGTTTCATGATAGGAAAATGAGGTGATGCAGCTGTACTTGTAGTTTTATCACAGAATAAAAATGTTCCAATTTGTAGCTGCTTTTTTTTAATACCAATAGATATGTTTCACCAAAACTAATTTTTCTACAACTTCAACTTATAAAAACTGATACTTATGTTGAAACTTACCTTTAAAAGGTGAGTCAAATTAGTCATTGTCCTTAAAATTTAGCTTGTTGACAACTGAAAATTCACTTTTGTCTTGAAGTTCCCTCTGTCTGTGGTAAAGGCTAGATTGGAAAAATAAAATTCATGAATATGAAGTTCTAATAATGGAAAACCCAAGAGCATCAGGTGGCAAAAATCCTTCTGTTACTCAAGAAAATGCTCTGAAAAATTTCTTTTCTCTTTTTTTTGTAAAGATTACTCCACCTCACCACCATCATGAGGCACTGTTCTCAGCAATTAATACCTGCTTACTCAGTTACTCACTGTAACTATGTTATACTGTGAAGTGGGTACTACAGTTGTTAAGGAAGAATAATGTTGGACTCTGAATGCTACTCCTAGGAGTTTACTTTTTCAATAATGATAAAACATTTCCAAAACAATTTCTGCATATAATCAGCATGAGCCAGATGAGGAGGCATTAGCAAAAAATTGAGTGAACAGAGTGCCCTACTTAGCATATGTGTGTGTCTTATCCTTCCTTTTCGCTTATCACAAGTACAAAAAAAAAAATAACCTGGCCATGTGTGGTGGATCATGCCTGTAATCCTAGCACTTTAGAAGGCTGAGGCTTGCAGATTACTTGGTCAGGAGCTTGAGACCATCCTGGCCAACATGGTGAAAACCCGTCTCTACTAAAAATATAAAAATTAGGTGGAGCCAAGATGGCCAAATAGGAACAGTTCCAGTCTACAGCTCCCAGCAAGAGCGATGCAGAAGATGGCTGATTTCTGCATTTCCAACTGAGGTACCGGGTTCATCTCACTGTGGAGTGTTGGAAGGTGGGTGCAGGACAGTGGATGCAGCATAGTGAGCATGACCCAAAGCAGGGTGTGGCATCACCTCACCTGGGAAGTGCAAAGGGTCAGGGAATTCCCTCCCTAGTCAAAGAAAGGGGTGACAGATGGCACCTGGAAAATCAGGTCACTCCCACCCTAATACTGCACTTTTCCAATGGTCTTAGCAAATGGCATACCAGAAGATTATATCCTGTGCCTGGCTCAGAGGGTCTTATGCCCAAGGAGCCTCACTCATTGCTAGCACAGCAGTCTGAGATTAAACTCCAAGGGGGCAGCGAGGCTGGGGAAGGGACACCCATGATTGCTGAGGCTTGAGTAGGTAAATAAAGAGGCTGGGAACCTCGAACTGGGTGGAGCCCACCGCAACTCAAGGAGGCCTGCTTGCCTGTGTAGACTCCATCTCTGTGGGCAAGGCATAACCAAACAAAAGGCAGCAGAAATCTCTGCTGACTTAAATGTCCCTATCTGACAGCTTGAAGAGAGTAGTGGTTCTCCCAGCATGCAGCTGGAGATCTGAGAATGGAAAGACTGCATCTTCAAGTGGGTCCCTGACCCCCAAGTAGCCTAACTGGGCGACATCCCCCACTGGGGGCTGACTGACACCTCATACAGCAGGGTACTCCTCTGAAACAAAACTTCCAGAGGAACGATCAGGCAGCAATATTTGCTCTTCACCAATATCCGCTGTTCTGCAGCCTCTGCTGCTGATATTCAGGCCAACAGGGTCTGGAGTGGTCATCCAGCAAATTCCAACTGACCTGCAGCTGAGGGTCCTGACTGTTAGAAGGGAAACTAACAAACAGAAAGGACATCCACACCAAAACCCCATCTGTATGTCACCATCATCAAAGACCAAAGGTAGACAAAACCACAAAGATGGGGGAAAAAACAGAGCAGAAAAACTGGAAACTCTAAAAATCAGAGCACCTCTCCTCCTCCAAAGGAATGCAGCTCCTCACCAGCAATGGAACAAAGCTGAATGGAGAATGACTTTGGCCAATTGAGACAAGAAGTCTTCAGACAATCAAACTACTCCAAGCTAAATGAGAAAGTTCAAACCCATGGCAAAGAAGTTAAAATCCTTAACAAAAAAATTAGACGAATGGCTAACTAGAATAACCAATGCAGAGAAGTCCTTCAAGGACCTGATGGAACTGAAAACCAAGGCAAGAGAACTATGTGATGAATGCACAAGCCTCAGTAGCAGATCAGTTGGAATTTGCTGGATGACCACTGCTGTATGAGATACAGCTACTACTGGATCTGCACTGAATCTGCTACTGGATCAACTGGAAGAAAGGGTCTCAGTGATGGAAGATGAAATGAATGAAGTGGAGAAGAGAAGTTTAGAGAAAAAGGAATAAAAAGAAACAAAGAAAGCCTCCAAGAAATATGGGAATATGTGAAAAGACCAAATCTACATCTGATTTGTGTACCTGAAAGTGACGGGGAGAATGGAACCAAGTTGGAAAACACTCTGCAGGATATTATCCAGGAGAACTTCCCCAATCTAGCAAGGCAGGCCAATATTCAAATTCAGGAAATACAGAGAACACCACAAAGATACTCCTCAAGAAGAGCAACTCCAAGACACATAATTGGCAGATTCACCAAAGTTGAAAACAAGGAAAAAATGTTAAGGACAGTCAGAGAGAAAGGTTGGGTTACCCACAAAGGGAAGCCCAACACACTAACAGCTGATCTCTCAGCATAAACTCTACAAGCCAGAAGAGAGTGGGGGCCAATATTCAACATTCTTAAAGAAATGAATTTTCAACCCAGAATTTCATATCCAGCCAAACGAAGCTTCATAAGTGAAGGAGAAATAAAATCCTTTACAAAGAAGCAAATGCTGAGAGATTTTGTCACCACCAGGCCTGCCCCAAAACAGCTCTTGAAGGAAGCACTAAACATGGAAAGGAACAACCAGTACCAGCCACTGCAAAAACATACCAAATTGTAAAGACCATTGAGGCTAGAAAGAAACTGCATCAACTAACAAGAAAAATAATCAGCTAATATCATAATGAAAGGATCAAATTCACACAAAACAAAACAAAAGCCAAAATGGACAAATGGGATCTAAAGAAACTAAAGAGCTTCTGCACAGCAAAAGAAACTACCATCAGAGTGAGCAGGCAACCTACAGAATGGGAGAAAATTTTTGCAATCTACTTATCTGACAAAGGGCTAATATCCAGAAGCCACAATGAACTCCAACAAATTTACAAGGAAAAAAAAAAAAAAAACCCATCAAAAAGTGGACTAAGGATATGAAGAGACACTTCTTAAAAGAAGACATTTATGCAGCCAAAAGACACATGAAAAAATGCTCATCATCACTAGCCATCAGAGAAATGTAAATCAAAACCTCAATGAGATACCATCTCACACTAGTTAGAATGGCAATCATTAAAAATCAGGAAACAACAGATGCTGGAGAGGATGTGGAGAAATAGGAACACTTTTACACTGTTGGTGGGACTGTGAACTAGTTCAACCATTGTGAATGTCAGTGTGGCAAGTCCTCAGGGATCTAGAACTAGAAATACCATTTGACCCAGCCATCCCTATTACTGGGTATATACACAAAAGATTACAAAACATGCTGCTATAAAGACACATGCACACGTATGTTTATTGTGGCACTGTTCACAATAGCAAAGACTTGGAACCAACCCAAGTGTCCAACAGTGATAGACTAGATCAAGAAAATGTAGCACATATACAACATGGAATACTATGCAGCCATAAAAAAATGTTGAATTCATGTCCTTTGTAGGGACATGCATGAAGCTGGAAACCATCATTCTCAGCAAACTATCACAAGGAGAAATACCCAAACACCACATATTCTCACTCATAGGTGGGAACTGAACGATGAGAACACAGGGACACAGGAAGAGGAAAATGACACACATTAAGAAATACACCTCCCTAGCTACAAGTTTCATTTGAATAACTTGATTTCCATAAATAATGCCAATGCACTTACACCAGTTAAAATGTACCAATATCTGGATCTCTGACTCATTGAAAAATTACTGAGCCAAGTAAAAACTCCAACAAATATATTTCTCTACATACAATTTAGCCCGGAATAACTTGAATTCTATCAATAATGCCAGCCCACATACACCACTTAAAGTCTGCTAATGTCTAGATTTCACATTGTCTGCCTGGTCCCAAGAATGTGCCTAACTAGCATAGCTTTTCCTTCATATATTAAATAACTTTTTTTTTTTTTGTATTGAGCAGCAATCTTTTAATCTCAGGGAGAAAGCAAAGTCTGTCTCTGTAGGGGTTTTGCTTTGTGGATTACTCTCTAGCATTAAGAAGAGAACCTGTACGTCAGGTGCTTATTTGTTTGGATTCTTTTAAAACAAGAAAGAGCATAAATATATTGAATCCTGGATGTCTACTTTAAAATCATCTATCAAATATCTTTCTTAAACAGTAGAGAGTACTTGACGGTTATTTCTGTTTAACAGCTTCTGCAAAAGAAGAATTATCTAGCCCCAACTATAATTCTTGAAAACCTGGTATTTGCTTGGCTTCTTTATTACAAGATTCTAGCAACTTTTGTATCATAAGACACATTCATTTTCTTAATCCAGTCTATCATTGTTGGACATTTGGGTTGGTTCCAAGTCTTTGCTATTGTGAATAATGCCGCAATAAACATACGTGTACATGTGTCTTTATAGCAGCATGATTTATAGTCCTTTGGGTATATACCCAGTAATGGGATGGCTGGGTCAAATGGTATTTCCAGTTCTAGATCCCTGAGGAATCGCCACACTGACTTCCACAATGGTTGAACTAGTTTACAGTCCCACCAACAGTGTAAAAGTGTTCCTATTTCTCCACATCCTTTCCAGCACCTGTTGTTTCCTGACTTTTTAATGATTGCCATTCTAACTGGTGTGAGATGGTATCTCATTGTGGTTTAGATTTGCATTTCTCTGATGGCCAGTGATGATGAGCATTTTTTCATGTGTTTTTTGGCTGCATATGGCACATATACACCATGGAATACTATGCAGCCATAAAAAATGATGAGTTCATGTCCTTTGTAGGGACATGGATGAAATTGGAAATCATCATTCTCAGTAAACTATCACAAGAACAAAAAACCAAACACTGCATATTCTCACTCATAGGTGGGAATTGAACAATGAGATCACATGGACACACGAAGGGGAATATCACACTCTGGGGGCTGTTGAGGGGTGGGGCGAGTGGGGAGGGATAGCATTGGGAGATATACCTAACGCTAGATGACGAGTTAGTGGGTGCAGCGCACCAGCATGGCACATGTATACGTATGTAACTAACCTGCACAATGTGCACATGTACCCTAAAACTTAAAGTATAATAATAAAAAAAGAAAAATGTTCACACACACACACACACACACAAAAAGACACATTCAGTATCTGTCTTATAAAAACGTTAGGCATAATGTGTATGCATAATGTGGTGTGCCAATATACATATGTTGATGTGTATTGTGTATGCCTTCCAGCTGTAGTGAAATTTAGCTCTTCACCAATCATCAGTGACTGAATTTTCTTTCTTGGGACCCCAGAAACTTAGACTGTCTACAGTTTCATTTGCTATATTAGCGTTGCACAGAAATTATAAAAATGTAATGAGAAAGAAAAGGGGAGAAATATAAACTCTATGGTTTAGCTTCTAATCATAAATCAACATAATTGACTTCACCCCATTTATCTCAACTTGAACAACCAAATTTTTCAAAAGCTTCTTAACATCTCTGATTTATAAAAAACACAGATTGGGTTAAGAAACCTTGAAAATATAATATCAGAAAGTTCTACATGTACGCCTTTCTTTACAATTTTCAGAAGATATAGTCCAACGCTATCAATTTTTTATAGGCACCTGAGACTCTAGATATTAAAATACTTAGATTTTAGAATATTTATCTTCATTTGTAGCATCTAACCACTAGATGCTAAAAGCAACCTTAAGAATTCCACTCCCAGTCATGAATCAGGCTTAGAGTAAAATCTATTGATCTATAGAAAACCCTAGAAAATCACAAGGAATGTGTGTCAGCTCCATGAGCTCATCAATAATTGTTCCCCTTCCACACTATGCTTCAGCCACGGTGATCTTGCCATTTTTCCTAACACGATAAGCAGGCTTATGCCAGGAGTCTTTACACTTTTTGATCCTACTGCATAATTACAGGCTTATTCTCTTGTTCTTTCATTTAGGTATTGACAGTCTCCATGTAAGCAAATTATTTTATAAGTTTTTTATATACAACCAAAACGTACTTGGTAATATAGAATCCTGCCTAATGTATTTTATATGGAATTGATAACCTCACTTAAGAACAAAGCAAAAGCAAAACAAAGCCGACTTTATACTATTACCACCTAATATTCAGGAATCCAAATTAGTAGATTGACTTATTTTACTCAACGTTAGTAACAGGTAAAATTATAAATCTTCTAAATATAAATAAACTCATGTGAAAATACAATTATCGCTTCATAAATAACAAGTAATTAAAAAAATTGTCTAGACCTTGGAAACCAATAATTATTTATATCAACCAATCAAAGAGTTAATCAAGAAAGACAAGTTGAAACCGCTGGGAAATTTTTTGCGGTCTTTGCATTCAACCATCCAGGCACAGATGACGTTTCAAAAGTTAAATTCCACATTCGCAAAGTGAGGCTGGGATTTCTGATCTAGGAAGGTGTGAAGAATAATGTCTGTGCTAATTTATTGAGTTTGTTCTACCCTTTAGGGGTTACATAAATTATTGATGAGGCACACTTATCTCTGTTTTGTCTGATGCAGAACTGATTTATAGTTAAAAATGTTAAGCACAGGTAACTAACATTTAAGTCCTGGGAGCAAAGGATACCGTTGATGTATAAAATAGACAACGTGTAAAATAAAGTAAAAGATGAATAGATCTTTATTTCAAAAAAAATCTTGACTTTCAAAAGTATTAAAATAACCTGAGGTATTTAAAAACTTAGTTACATAAACATAACAGAAGATATTTTCAAAAATGCGCAAAACTCTAAGCATTAATTCAGAAAATTAGCTATAATTTTAATGTGAGAAGAAAGTGAAGGCTAACGCAGAATTTTAAGCTATCTCCCTACATGATAAAGGGGAGTGTTAATACAGACCCAATTTTAAAAATTGATATTTTTATATTACACTCTGTCAAAACGCTGTTGGAATTCCAGCTAAGCCTTAAACAACAAAGGGCACATCTTGAATAAATAAAGAATACCTGACTATCAGAGTTAACATGTTATAATATTTTAAATATAGCATTCTAAAAAATAAAAGCACAAAAAATCCCACAAATTTATGGCTAATGTGAAGTAAAAACACAAACTGAAACTGTCCTAAACTTTTTAGACAAAAACTTTAAACCTGCAGTTTTAAGTATGAACAAATAAAAAATGACAGATGAAAGATAAAAGATCAACATGGGAATATCAGTGAGATTGGAACAGGAATTAAAAGAAATTAAAGAATGTGTAAGCAGAAACTCAGTTGTATGTAAGAAAACCAATCACCCCTTATTCAGCCTGTGACCCAGGAAATAATCAGCTATATGTATGTTATGACCCTAAGTGCTTACCCTGTGAATTCTGGTTTGAGGTACATATTAAATCAGAGGGAGAAAAAGAAGGAGAGTTTATAGGTCAACATGAAGAAGCCCCTCCCTCCTATAAAGGGCCTATTCTCTTGTACTTTGATGCCTGCCAGGCTGGGGATGATCATAATCTTAAAACAAAACAAAACAAAACAGAAACAGAAGCAGTCCGCGGTGGTTTGACACAAGAAAGGTTTAACAGCAGCAGTCTCAAATATCTAGATGGAGACCACAAATCGGATACCCAGACTGTAACATTCAGTGATCTATACTAACACAGCTCCTTAAAGCCAGAGCTACCTTTTTGGTCTAAAGGATGCACAGCACTATTACAAGTTGATAGACAAGGAGCTGGCTCTGGAATTCTGCTACTAACTGTCAAAAAGGCTAGAAGTAAGCATTTTGATCAGTCAATGCCTGAGCTTTCCCCATCAACCAAAAATGTGTTTGTTCAACTAGCTGAAAACATAGCTGGCGGCTGAGGAATTTCCTCATGCTATGTAAGTGTAGGAACTAATACGGGGGACCAGTGGCCATGGGGGGGCAAAGGAATTAATGCCACAAGATAACTTCACTTCGCCAAACCCTACCAATAAAGCCAGCAGTCTCAGCCAGTGTTTGCTTGTTGCAAATCTCCATAATTGGAAAGTCTTGTATTGCCTGATGGGAAAAGGCAGAATGCTTAAAAGGTAACTTAACTCTTTGTTCAGGGCTCAGTCCTTCAGAGGTTAATCTGAGTGGGCCGGTGCATCTACATAATAAGTATCCTCCTCAACCCCATCGGTCCCTCTGACTCCTTAAAAAAGTCCTTCCAGAAGACAAATTAAAAAAGAAAACCTGAAAAATCTAGAGATAAGAAGCACAATTACTTGGATTAAAAAAAAACTATTAAATAACTTTAACAACAGATTGAGCTTCAGTAAATCTGAAGACATAAAAATTGAAACAGCCTAAAATGAGAGCAAATATCTTTGTGTCTTGTCAATGAAAATACTTTAAAATTTCCTATTCTGGAGTGTTCTGAAGAAGAAATAAGAAACCACTTGAAAAGAAAGGTTGGTGGAAATTTTACAGAAGTGCTGATTTTTCACCAACTGTTTCCTGTTCTACTTTCCAGCCCCTTTGTATCTCCATCTTATAAATTGGGCAAATAATATTTTTCTTTCAGAATAGTGTTAAAAACTCAGGTGAAATGGCTATTGAAGAGCTAATACTGGAAGACCAGGTTAGAGTAAGAAAAGAGTTATTGGTCCTTCAAACTTCAGAGGGATATGACACATGTACTGTAAAACAGGAGCTAATCTTATTCTAAAGAGTTCTTAGCTTTGGCACTAACACTATTGCTCATGGCCTTATAAATGTTTGTTATCAAATCTATCTAATTAAACCCTGTATGTGGTGTCTTTGAGTAATCATCTTGATTTTTTTCTTGACCTATTTTCTCTTAAAAGGTTTTTTTTAACTCAGAAAGGGCAACATCATTAATCAGTAGAGAAATACAAATCAGAATCACAATGAGATACCACCTCAGGCCTGTCAGAATGGTGACTATTAAAACGTCAAGAAATAACAGATGCTGGAAAGTCTGTGGAGAGACAGGAAGACTTCTAAACTGTTGGTGGGAAAGTAAATTAGTGTCCACACTGTGGAAGACAGCGTGGTAATTTGTTCAAGGATCTAGAAACAACATTGACCGAGCAATGTCATTACTGGCTATCTACCCCCAAAATACAAATGTTTCATATTTGAAAGATACCTGCACGTGTATGTTTATTGCAGTACAATTAACAGCAGCAAACACATAGAATCAACTCAAATGCCGACTTTACTCAGAGAACATTATCAACTAGATACATAAAATGTAGTACATATACACAATGAAATACTTTGCAGCTT
This sequence comes from Homo sapiens, assembly GCF_000001405.40. NCBI lineage: Eukaryota > Metazoa > Chordata > Mammalia > Primates > Hominidae > Homo > Homo sapiens. The sequence continues at coordinate 22,598,828 of NC_000024.10, forward strand.
CAAAAAGCAATTAGATCATGTCTCTTGCAAGGACATGGATAAAGATGGAACCATCATCCTCAGCAAAGTAACACAGGAACAGAAAACCAAACACTACATTTCCTCACTCATGAGTCAGAGCTGAACACTGAGAACACCTGACACAGAAAAAGAAACCACACTGGGGGTGGAGCCAAGATTGTGAATAGGAACAGCTCCAGCCTGCAGCTCCCAGTGTGAGTGAAGCAGAAGATGGGTGATTTCTACATTTCCAACCGAGGTACTGGGTTCATCTCACTGGGGAGTGTCGGAAAGTGGGTGAAGCAAGAGTAAACACATTCAGAAGCTAGCGGAAGGCAATAAATAACTAAGATCAGAGCAGAACTGAAGGAAATAGAGACACAAAAACCCTTCAAAAAATCAATGAATCCAGGAGCTGGTTTTTTGAAAACATCAACAAAATTGATAGACATCTTGCAAGACTAATAAAGAAGAAAAGAGAAAAGAATCAAACAGATGCAATAAAAAATGAAAAAGGGGATATCACTACGATCCAACAGAAATACAAACTACCATCAGAGAATACTGTAAACACCTCTATGCAAATCAACTAGAAAATCTAGAAGAAATAGATAAATTCCTTGACACATACCCCCTCCCAAGACTAAACCAGGAAGAAGTTGAATCTCTGAAGAGACCAATAAGAGGCTCTGAAATTCAGGCAATAATTAATAGCTTACCAAACAAAAAAAGTCCAGAACAAGATGGATTCACAGCCAAATTCTACCAGAGGTACAAGGAAGAGATGGTACCTTTCCTTCCGAAAGTATTCCAATCAATGGAAAAAGAGGGAATCCTCCCTAACTCATTTTATGAGGCCAGCATCATCCTGATACCAAAGCCTGGCAGAGACACAACAAAAAAAGAGAATTTTAGACCAATAACCCTGATGAACATCGATGCAAAAATCCTCAATAAAATATTGGCAAACCAAATCCAGCAGCACATCAAAAAGTGTATCCACCATGATCAAGTGGGCTTCATCTCTGGAATGCAAGGCTGGTTCAACATACACAAATCAATAAACATAATCCAGCATATAAAGAGAACCAATAACAAAAACCATATGATTATCTCAATAGATGCAAAAAAGGCCTTTCACAAAATTCAACAATGCTTCATGCTAAAAATTCTCAATAAATTAGGTATTGATGGGAATATCTCAAAATAATAAGAGCTATCTATGACAAACCCACAGCCAATATCATACTAAATGGGCAAAAACTGGAAGCATTCCCTTTGAAAACTGGCACAAGACAGGGATACCCCCTCTCACCACTCCTATTCAATATAGTGTTGGAAGTTCTGGCCAGGGCAATCAGGCAGAAGGAAAAAATGGTATTTAATTAGGAAAAGTGGAAGTCAAATTGTCCCTGTTTGCAAATGACATGATTGCATATCTAGAAAACCCCATTGTCTCAGCCCAAAATCTCCTTAAGCTGATAGACTTCAGCAGAGTCTCAGGATTCAAAATCAATGTGCAAAAATCACAAGCATTCTTAGACACCAATAACAGACAAATAGAGAGCCAAATCATGAGTGAACTCCCATTCACAATGGCTTCCAAGAGAATAAAATACCTAGGAATCCAACTTACAAGGGACGTGAAGGACCTCTTCAAGGAGAACCACAAACCACTGCTTAATGAATTAAAAGAGGATACAAACAAATGGAAGAACATTCCATGCTCATAGGTAGGAAGAATCAATATCGTGAAAATGGCCATACTGCCCAAGGTAATTTATAGATTCAATGCCATCCCCATCAAGCTACCAATGACTTTCTTCACAGAATTGGAAAAAACTACTTTAAAGTTCATATGGGACCCAAAAAGAGCCCGCATTTCCAAGTCAATCCTAAGCCAAAAGAACAAAGCTGGAGGCATCACGCTACCTGACTTCAAACTATACTACAAGGCTACAGTAACCAAAACAACATGGTACTGGTACCAAAACAGAGATATAGACCAATGGAACAGAACAGAGCCCTCAGAAATAATGCCACATATCTACAACCATCTGATATTTGACAAACCTGACAAAAACAAGAAATGGGGAAAGGATTCCCTATTTAATAAATGGTGCTGGGAAAACTGGCTAGCCATATGCAGAAAGCTGAAACTGGATCTCTTCCTTACACCTTATACAAAAATTAATTCTAGATGGATTAAAGACTTAAATGTTAGACCTAAAACCATAAAAACCCTAGAAGAAAATGTAGGCAATACCATTCAGGACATAGGCATGGGCAAGAACTTCATGTCTAAAACACCAAAAGCAATGGCAACAAAAGCCAAAATTGACAAATGGGATCTAATTTAACTAGAGAGCATCTGCACAGCAAAAGAAACTACCGTCAGAGAGAACAGGCAACCTACAGAATGGGAGAAAATTTTTGCAATCTACTTATCTGACAAAGGGCTAATATCCAGAAGCCACAATGAAATCCAACATATTTACAAGAAAAAAAGAAACAACCTCATCAAAACGTGGACGAAGGATACGAACAGACACTTCTTAAAAGAAGACATTTATGCAGCCAAAAGACACATGAAAAAATACTCATCATCACTGGCCATCAGAGAAATGTAAATCAAAACCACAATGAGATACCATCTCACACCTGCTAGAATGGCAATCATTAAAAGTCAGGAAACAACAGGTGCTGGAGAGGATATGGAGAAATAGGAACACTTTTACACTGTTGGTGGGACTGTGAACTAGTTCAACCATTGTGAATGTCAGTGTGGCAAGTCCTCAGGGATCTAGAACTAGAAATACCATTTGACCCAGCCATCCCTATTACTGGGTATACACACAAAAGATTACAAAACATGCTGCTATAAAGACACATGTACACGTATGTTTATTGCGGCACTATTCACAATAGCAAAGACTTGGAACCAACCCAAATGTCCAACAATGATAGACTGGATCAAGAAAATGTGGCACATATACACCATGGAATACTATGCAGCCATACAACATGTTGAATTCATGTCCTTTGTAGGGCCATGCATGAAGCTGGAAACCATCATTCTCAGCAAACTATCGCAAGGACAAAAACCCAAACACCGCATGTTCTCACTCACAGGTGGGAATTGACCAATGAGAATACACAGACACAGGAAGAGGAACATCACACACTGGGGCCTGTTGTTGGGTGGGGAGAGAGGGGAGGGATAACATTAGGAGATATACCTAATGTTAAATGATGAGTTAATGAGTGCAGCACACCAACATGGCACATGTATACATATGTAACTAACCTGCACATTTTGCACATGTACCCTAAACCTTCAAGTATAATAAAAAAAGAAAAAATAAATAAATAAAAATACAAAAATTAGTCAAGCATGGTGGTGTGTGTGTAGTCCCAGCTATTCAGGAGGCTGAGGCAGGAGAATTCCTTCATCCCAGGAGGCACTGGCTGCGGTAAGGTGAGACTGCACCCCAGCCTGGGTGACAGAGCAAGACTCTGTCTCAAAAAAAGATAAAAACTTTGGAAATATGACTGGTGTTGATGGAAACAGAGTATGAGTGAGGCTGATATGGGGAAACAGGAGGATTTATTTAGGTGCACCAGCTCAGTGAGCTTATATCCAAAAAGGCTGAGTATTGAATAAAGACTGAGCAGGGTTTTTATGAGCAAACTTACAGAAGCAGACCTAAAGCAACTAATTATACAATGAACAGTTATGTAATTTACAGCATAATTGTTGACTTGCATAACTTCTTGCCTTGCATAGCTGGGTTTTGCAGCTAGGTTGAAAGAGAAACAGGAACATACAGATTTTACGAAATACAAGCATTGGTAAACATAGTCATAATTAATGCTTCAGAGAAGGAGAGACAGTAAAGTAATTTGCTTTCCTTTTGAACTTTGCTTCAGTGTAGGGTATTTGTGACCCATTCCCTTGGCCTCAACTTTTTAGACAGTGTTATTTTATAACTGTCTTGGAGTGAGATAGCTACACAGAGAAAAACATGTTTTCTTTTCATTTGAACCCTTGTCTTGCCAAATTTTTCTGTTTTTTTAAAAAATCATTTTATAGGATAAATTTAATCGAAGGCATTAGTATCATTTTATTCTTTATGGGAAAGCATGTTTTCTTCTTTTGGCACAGGTTGACATTTAGTTAGAGCTATTAACTGAGTAGCAGTGGGCCTGGCTATGTTGTTTTGGGGCTATGTAGTATGAGTAGAGGGTGGGCATCATTTTTTGGGTGCTTTTTTATATCAAGGTTATGTGGGGAAAGTGTTAGCTTTCCTGTTTCTTTTGGCTTTTGACTTCCCTGCCTTTTGGTGTTCCAGATAATGCACTATTGCCACTTTTTCTGGAGCATATACAGCTGCTAAGAGCTGTAGGATTTTTTCTGTCCACTTTATTTATTTGCCTCCAGTTGTTAAGAAATTTTCTTTTTATATATAGTTCTATGAACATGTAGTGTGGTAAAAGCATATTTAGAATGTGTTTAAATATTGACCTTTTTTTCTTTTGCAGCAAAAGGGCTCTTGTTCGGTCTATTAATTTTGCCTTTTGGTCTCATGTTCCAGTAGGCAAAGATTGAGCTTCTATCATTGAGTTTAATGTTACCACTGCATACTCGGCTTGTTGGATTTTTTTCTAGCTCAAAACTCTTTCAGTTATGAAGTATTCAACATCTGGGTTTTTGAGGGATTGATCTGTAAGATCTCCTGGTTCAGCAAATACGTGATCCACTGTTTAGACACAGTTATGGAGGGGAGCATCAAATTTGACTGGGAGCAGGGTGGTTGGGCTTAAGTTGTTTGCTGTATTTTAAGTAATGTAAGGGTTTTCATATAGAAGTCCTTGGTACTGCGTTATTCTCAGATTTGACAACTAATGATGGCTTATTTGTTCATCAAAGTTTTGACTGAGTGTGGCACATGGACTGTTAGCTGCTGTCTCAAAGTAAGTGTGTTATCCTCTTGCATTAGCAAGGCAGTGGTGGCTAATGCCTTAAGGCAAGGAGGCCATCCTAGTGCCACAGAGTCTAATTGTTTAGATTAGTATTTGACTGGACAATGCTATAATTTTATAATTTCAGTTAAGAACCACATAGCCATTTCTTTTCATTTATGCAGGTACAGAAAGAAAGGCTAAGTTACATTTGGCAGACCAAAGGCTGGGACTTGAGTTAAGGGTTTTTTTGATTTTTTTAAATGATATTTGCTGTTTAGTTTGCCAGAGGAGGGTTTCGTTTTTACCCCTTTTGTAATATTATATAATGGCTTAGCCATCAGTGAAAAATTTATGATTTAGATATGGTGGAATTTTTCTTCTTTTAAGAATTTTTTAATGTAATGCCTAGTGGTTTGTGTCAGGAGTGTACAAACGGCCTGTTTCTGCTTATGGCCAAGCTGGCATTCCACATGGCTTACTATGAAACCTACATATTTGACATTTTTAAGAATAATTGGTCCTTTTTTAAAAGATAATTTTAGCCTGTTTTTCATAGGAGATGGAGGAGGTCTTGAGTTTTTTGATAACAGTCCTCCTGGGTTGGGGCTGCTAGAGGAAGGTCATCCACATACTGCAACAAGGCACAGTTAACATTTGGCAGGTTGTAGGCTTCAAGGTCAGTGCTTCCCTAAAGACTGTAGGAGAGTCTTTGAACTTGCGGGAGCCTGGCCCAGGTGAGTTGAACAACTTATTTGTTTTATTGAAATGCAAATATAGGGTGACTAACTGGGGCTAAGCAGATATAAAAGAATACATTCTTTAAATTTAGGACTGCAAATCAGGTAGCACTTGCTGGAATGAGATTTATTAAAATACACATGTTCCAAAAGTGGAGTGTTTTAGAGCAATTGACATCGAACTAAGACTTCATGTTGGTAAGGCCAGTTTAAATATTTACAGATACCTGGAATAGCTTCTCAGGGGACTGGGTACTGATGAACCCAAGTCGGAGTTTCTTTTGGTTTTAACATGACTACCACCTGTGCATGATGTACAGCTAATCCAAGTGGGTTGCCTTTAACCCATACTCCAGAAATGTTATTAACTAAGTGAAATAATTTTTTTTTATCCCACCTGCAATTCTAATTTGCTGCTTGCACTTTCTTTGTATAAAGTTTCCATTCCTTAGCCTGCAGGATGATAAGGGTTAGCACCATGCTTTTTTGGAGAGTCAGAAAAAAAGTTGTTGTTTTTTTTTTTTTTTGCAGCTGAAATGTAATTGGTGCTTTCAGTTTTTGGAGTAATTTTTTTTTTTCTTAACAAGGGAACTGGACAATTCAGGAGGTATAGGAATTTATGTTGAACTTCCCATCCTTTGATGACACACCTCCTTACCAGAACAGCTTTTTTCTCTGAGATTCCTGTGGCTTTTATAATAGTTTTATAGCTTCAGATAGTGGCCCTATGGGTTGAGTCAGTACTGAATGTGTAGCCCTGGTGTTTACATAAAGTCCATCAGCTGGCCTTCAACTTTTAATGTGACCATGGGCCAATGGAGTTGTAATAAGAAAAAGCCTGGTCTGTCCTAGTACCCATATCCTTTAGTGCCAGCCAGCCTGTTTAGATTCGTATTTGGTTTTCCCACAGTGAGGCAGCCCTTAGCTGGACTCTTTTATACCACAGTCTTGATTATACTTTTTATTACCTTCTGGACATTTATTCTTTCAGTATTTTTCTTTTCCATCACACACATTGTTTTCTCTCTAGCCTCGGCTGGCTTTTAAATTTTTGACTAAATTGACATCTTTCACATGCACGTGCACATCCACATTCTTGTATATTGCTAGTCATTTTTTTAATGAGAGCTGCTGCTAAGAGATTGGCCTTTTTTAAACCTCTGATTTGCTTTTTTTTTTTTTCTTTGCTTCCTGGTGATGGTTAACCTACATTTTGGTGGCCATTTCTGTAAGCTGGGTTGTATTCGTGCCTGCAAAACCATGTACTTTTTGCAGCTGGTGCATTGGCTTCTAGCCCTTGATGGGATGCCTGAGTTATCCTCTGGCACTCCTCCATGTTAAACAATGTTAAGATAAGTTATCTTCAATTTAGCCAGGTTGGATTGTGTGTTAGAAAGGTGGACTGTGTTAGATTTATGAGAGCTTGGGGCTTTTCCTTGTAGGAGTTAGTGTGTTGATTTACATTTAGGAGATTAGTGGTTGAAAAGGGCTGATAGAGGAAGGTTTGCTGCCCCCCACACCAGGATGTGGCACTGGTCATTATAACAGATGAGTCCTTGCATTTCCCTGAGAGGTATTTACATAGCTTGACCATGATCAGATTTGAGGCAGCCTGGTTCACTATCCTGAATTCCATCACTGGCCTCTCAAGGCTCCAATTCTTCCCTCTGGGGTGAAACCTGGGGTGTACTGGCAATGGAACCTAGCTCCTGGGGGGCTGTTTGCCTCAGCAAAGGGAGGTAGGCTATGAAAAATGGAGGAGAATTTTTTTTTCCTTTTGTAGTTTTTTAAAACTGGGTTTCCTTTCTGTCCTTGGGACTTTCCTTTTAACTCAGTGTTTGCTGGTGAAGCTGCTTCTATTTTCACTTTTGGCTCGGCCTGCGCTACAAGTGTTTTGCAATAAGCTGTGAAGCAGGGCTGGATTCATGTTGTTCTTGTTTGTATTATATTTAATTATGAGTTAATATAAGAAAATTGGTCTGGGTACCCTGGCTATACTCAGACCCCTGTCATTACCTCAAACTCATGACCAATTCTTTCTATGTGTATAGTTTTTTGGGTCACCTATTTAATACCAAAAGGGGGCCATTTTAGTTTACAGAGAGCTTTTTACCTTTGCAGGGTTAGCTTAATTTTATAGTTTCCTGTAAACCCTTTCTTAAAGTTTTTTTTAGCATATATTTGAATGATGTATGTTGTGACAACTCTCTTCCCATTTCTTTTCAGTTATGATGCAGTGTACTCGTGCTCACTTTTTACCTTTGTTTCCAGCCAGTTAGACCATCTCCTATTATGGGGGTTTTTAGATACTACTTAGCTTTGGAGAGTTTCTTAAGCCCAACACAATTGCTGAAGTTGTGGGGTAGCTTCTTTTAGCCATATGTGGATCACCACTAGTCTTGATCAGCCCCACACTTGGCTTGGAACACATTCTTCACTAAGAGACTTGTGGTTCCTCACTTTATGGCCGATTAGCCTAGTTAGGCCTCACCACTCACACATCATCCTTCTACCAGTTCTCATGTTCCTGGTTGGGGTGGCGAGTCACTTTCACCACCTCCAGTTTCCTTCTGAGCTGATTTAGTGAGCCACTGTCACATGCTGTGTTGGTTGAGGTGTAAGTTTCTTCTGAATTGGTGAACCACTCTTGCGGCCTGCAGCACCTCTGGGTTGGATTACCGGTTATAACCTAGGAGGTGATTAGGCTCCCTTTTGGTCCTTGTGGGATGTGTCCTGCCTTGGGTCCCAATACCTTACTGTGGTTTCTGAAGTGAGCTGTTCCTGGAATCGTCCTATAACCCATTAGGTACCATTGCACTGCTTGGTAGGGGCACGAGGTCACAAAATGGCTGATCTCCCCTCCAGGCTGAAGTTCTCCCAGTGGTGCTCCTTGGGTCACAGGACTCCTGAGACCCAGGGCTTAAGCCCCAGGGGCAAAGGAGACAGGAAACCTGTCATCTCCACTCCTGGCTGACTGGCCAATAATGCTGTGGGAAGCAGAGGACCACAGAGATTCATATGGGGAAATAGGAGGATGTATTTAGGTGCCCTGGCTCAGCAGACTTATATCCAAAAATGCTGAGCATTGAACAAAGACTGAGGGGGATATTTGTAAGCCAAATTACAAAAGCAGAACTACAGAAGCTAATTTGACAATGACAGGTTACATAATTTATAGCATAACTGTTGAGTTAGCATAACTTTAGCCTTGCATAGCTTGTAGCCTTGTAGCTGCATTGAAAAGACAAAAAAAAAACAGTAAGCTTCAAATCTTACTAAATACAAGCATTGGGAAACATAGTCATAATTAATGTTTCAGAGAAGAAGAGACGTTATAGATATTTATTTTTCTTTTCTTTTCAGTGCAGACACTGAAGCTTGAGCCTGGAATTGTGGAGCCAGTTCTCTCTGCTGTGGGGCCCATGTATGGGTAGAAGTCTCCTCATGACTCAAATCACAGCCTTGGTAACCCACTAGTCCAGTTCCTAAAAACACCCACTCCTTAGTGTTTCAAGAATCATGCTCTAGAGTCCACTGCCACATTTGAATTTATTGCAATGTTATGGAAATGAGAATTTTATCTAGGCCTGGCACTGTGGCTTACACCTGTCATCTCAGCACTTTTGGAGGCAGAGCTGGGCAGATTAACTGAGGTCAGGAGCTTGAGACTAGCCTGGCCAACATAGTGTAGTACCATTTCTACTAAATATACAAAAATTAGCCGAGTGTTGTGGCCTACTCCAGTCATCCAGGCTACCTGGGAGGCTGAGGCAGGAGAAACACTTGAACTCAGGAGGCAGAGGTTGCAATGAGTGGAGATCATGTCTCTGCACTCCAGTCTGGGTGACAGAGTAAGACTCTGCCCTCACTCACCAAAAAACAAAAACATAAACAAAAACAAAAAACAAAAATGTATCTGTTTATATTTCAATGCCAAAATATTTTAAATGACTTTTTAATGATGTGTATAATTTTTCCAAGTTTAGAAATAACCTCCATTTGTTTGCTTTCACATATTTTGTACATTTGTTTTTATCTTAATAAACTGAGTCTATTGACAGAACTATGAAGATGCTTATTTATACCATATCTCATGTTCTACATGTCCAGTTTAGCAAATATGCATTATCCACTTATTTGCTAAAAGCCATCCTTTTTTCTCTTCATAATTTAGATGATTCTCAAATATCACACATCATTTTGCAATCTGATTCTAACTTCTATACTGCCAAATGGTCTGCAAAATTAACCTAAAAAAAAAAAAAAACGAACAAAATAAGTGAAGGCTGACAGAGTAAGTAACGTGATTCAGCTGAAGCTAATCAATCAGAAAGTTGTACTTACCGAAACTTTTGGTCTGGAGGGTTGGAGAGGCTGTGCCTTGACTCAGTGGGTGACTGCTGGGGCATTCTGTCAGAACAAGGACTGGGGAACCCACATGTAATCTGTCCAGACCTAAGGTTCAGAAGGAACCAAGGCAAGAATATTACCAGGTGCATGAAGATACCAAGCGGTTTCTAAAGAGCTCTATTAGTTCAAAAATAAATTGTTATCCTTGCAAATAGCAAATTATGATGCATAAGATCCACAAAACTAATGATTCAAACACCTAAGTTAATTGCACTGGCAATAATAAAATGCATGAAAGTAACAGGCAGCAAAGGAAAGACAGCTCTTAGTATCTAAACACCTCTGTGTGTAAAGGAGACACTAGACCTTGCCAGTCTGTCCTGCTGACTCTCACAGCAACCCTCTATCATGGGTGGAGAGATGGAGGGTAGCTACCCAACTCCAGAGCAGCACACAACGCTTTGTCCAGGTGGCTAACCTTCCAGATACATTTCACTTTAAGGTTCCTTTTTGCTTTCGGAAAAGGGGTAGAGAAGACTTGTCTGGAGGAAATGCCACTGTGTAGCCTCAACACTGCACTGCCCATGAGTGCTTCCAGGTGCCATTCCTTTAATCTTTAAGTTTTTTCACTTGAGGCTGCTCAGAGACAACTCTGTCCTCTGCAAATATATGGCTTTCTAGAGAACTGGAAGTAATGTTTTTGAAAGCTTTCAGCAAGTGCAGAGATGGTGAGCTCTTTGCTGGTAGTGGGCTTTTGGTATGATGTTAACGACTCTCAGATAGCAACTTCTGAAAGCCTTTTCCAAGGGTCTGTCCTCTTACTTAAGCTCTTTGCCTCTTGCTTAAGCTCTTTGACCCTTGCTTAGTATTAACTACAAACTCAAGGTCAGAATTGGAAGGACTACCCTCCACAGCTCCATTTGGAAAATTTGGGATCCTTGATGTTACCATACCTCTTTTCTGTTTAAGAGAATCGTTCAAGAAATCCTGATGTATAGCACCATTGCAAGGCACCATATTGCCACTTATTAATCCACTGACAGAATGATGGATCAGATGCTGCTTTGGATTACAGTACACTTTATTCTCTAGGGCTGCAGAGTACAAAATGCTAATTTCAAAAGTGAGTGGACACAGAAGAGAAGAAAATTCATGTAATTGAGAATATTACTGTTTTGAAAAGTTGAAGAGAGCAATAATAAGGACAAACTTCCACATTAAACAGTTTCTGATGCCATGGTAGTGATAACCACTAATATTTATTGAGGGCTTATTGTACCAGCTACAGCTTCATGTGTCTTTTGTAACACGGTACAACTTCAGAATCCATTATGCACAATTTCCACATCCCCACAGCTCTGAAAATTGAAAATTTATTCATAACTTAGGGGCATAGCCTAGCCAGACATGAACTCATTTGGTTAAATACTATGACCTGAAATGACGTGAACCCATTTATTATCTTTATTTGCCCCGGCATGAATATTCATACAGTTGACTGGAAAATAACTAATGCATTTCACTACAGCAGGTCCTACAGAATTCACATGCTGTGGATTTCGTGTGCTGTGAAATCCACAGCATACGGCATGAGTTTCAGACAAAAAGTAAGAACCTGCATTCACAAAAACACTGTGGTCAAGGAATTCTCACAGCTTCCGTTTTATAGATGGGAGACTAAAGCTTATTGACCCTGGGTCACACCGTTAGCAGGTTCAAGAGCTACTGCACTTTCCTAAGGCAAAGCCAGTGCCTGTGTCTCACTGTCCTGAAATGCCTTCCAATGAAGCTGTGAGAAAGAAGCTTGCCCTCCTCATTGCATGCAAGTGCAAAAGTTCTATTCCCATTCAACTATTTTTATTAACATGAGACTATGGTTTCAGCTGTGAGAAGTTTCACAAACAGAACTGAAAGGAAAATGAGACCAGAAAGGAGAAGAAATGTGTAAAGAGTTAAAAATAAGTCAAGTGCTGGTAGAAGAGAGCAAGGAACTTATGAGGAAAAAGTGCAAAGGGGAACGAGGAAGGCTCAGAACAAGTTTGAGAAACCAGTTAACTGGTAACACAAACACACTTTCTTTGAGCTTGAAAGCAACTGAAGAAGAAAGCATCTAAGCTTCAATATCCTTATTATGAAGTAGGAAGGGGCACAGATGTATCCACAGTGAACACACAATAATAAAATCATACCAATCATACCAATCACCACTTATTGAGTGTTTTCTTATGTCCCAGGCACTGCGTTGTAACCCATCTCCTTTCATCACTTTCATCATGGCTCAATAGGCATTATTTTCCCCATTAAAAATGAGGAAACTGAGGCCCAATGAAGTTAAGGTAACATGTCCAAGATTAAACAACTAACTTCAAAACAGGGATCCAAAAGAACAGTTGTCTGATTCTGAGAGCAATGTTCTCTTTGCTAAACCGCCTTGCTCCTCCCGTGTGTGCATATATCTATCAAGGAATCCATAAAATTACTGAACTGCTGTTAACATTGAGGTAACAAATAGAAAAGAAATTTCTAAGATAAACCTGGAGACTTCTATGTCACCACCACGCCTTTCCCATTTGAGACACAAGGCTCTCCCAAGCCATGAGGCACCTATGAAACAAGTGACTTTTGCTGATGATCCAGATGGTATTACCAAAGTGGATAGGGAGTTTTACTTCTAAGATGACACATGTTTCTGTGGCTTTTCCTCTAACATAACAATTACTTAATATTCAATAAATTAGGGTCATTACATTTTCACAAGCATCAGAAGCTTTACACACAGAAAAATATTCATAGATTTAAAATGTCTCTAACCTGTCTGAGTTTGCTTCAGTTGCAATACAAAATCGGTCACCTGAATACTTAACTTTTTACGGAAGTTTGTAATCTAGTATCTGGGCCTTCAGCCACCCAGAATGCTCATTCTGAAAAGATTCAGAATCAGAAAAGAAATTATTGCAAAACAAATCACGGCTTGCTTCACAAGGAGACGTTTTCTTATCCTGTTTGTACTCTTTTAATTGAGAATATTTATGCCAGTAAACAACAGGGTCCCTATTTTAAAAATGACAAACAGAACACAAACTAGGTGGGTTTAACAGATTTCACCATCTTTTTCAGTCATATCAAAACATTCTAGGGCATGTGGGCAGAAGACACGGTGAATGTTTGTAATCCTTAGGGTGAGAATCCAGAGATAACAGTGGAAAAAATCTGGCACTCTGAAAATTTTACATTTAGGTGTGTTTGCTTTCTTCTCCATGTTATTGCTATTATGAATATAAGATCATATTATCACTAGAGAATTTTCTCAGATGACAAAGAGAAACTTTACTATATGGGGGAGTAATGTTTGATATTAAAATAAATCTGATTTGCACAGGTGTGACTTGGGCCAAGTTTACATACTGAAGAAGTGTATTTGTATCAAAGTGGAACTGGCAAGGAGCAAGACTCACTGCATCTTGCAGTTGTACTGCAGAGCTGGCCTGTGATTTTTGAACTCCTCATGCTCAGCTATGATAGCATTTCCTGCTTTCTGCAGTTCTTTCTGAAATACCACAATTTCATGAGCCAGTGGAGCCAGATATAAGAAGGCCAAAAGAAATCCTAGTCATTATCTACCTTAAGTTTTCTTATTTCATTTAACAGAAACATTTAAACAGCTTTTACATTGTTGTTTCTTTTCTTGGTACTCATGCAATAAATATAATATTAATTCTATTTAATGATCTCAGAGTAGTCCTAACACTCAAATTTCAGAACAAAAGTATTTAGTGCATTTTATTGCAAACGTTATTACTCTTGGAGTCCTACTCCAAGTAAAAGAACTCTTTCAAATCCTCAGATTAACCTAAATAGCTGTTTCTCTCCTATACCATGAACAGAAGGAGCTCTCTGTCTGGTCTACCTGTTGATGACATCCCCAACATCCAAAATAATCTGTGCATCTGTCAGCAGCAGTTGGGATCCAGGCAGAAAGCAGATGGCTCCTACAGACAAAGTCATCTAAGAGTCCTTTAATAAAGGGTGACTTATGCAGCATGCCCACAAATGTTGGGGAAGTTCCCTTACATAGTAACAGGGCCACTCTATTAGCACTGACTACTCTAAGGAAAGTTAAAGGCTCTAGGTATTACCTCCCTCTGCTGGCAATCTGGAAGGCCATAGAGAGGTAAAAACTACATTTATTTTGTATGTATCCTGAGAAAGAGGAAATAGCAGTAGAGGAAATTGAGGTAGGGAAGTGATAAACTCTCTGCCAAAATGTTGCTCCTTATTTTTTTTTCTGTCTCTCTTGATTAACTTACTTTTTCATTATTGCCAAAAGAAGAGTAAGGTAGGCAGAGGTTAGAATCAAACAATTCAAATCTAAAGAAGGGAGAAAACAATATTAAAGAATATGGAGGCACATTTTTTAATGAACGAAGATTCCTGGCATATCTATTTTTGTCAATTAACAAAACATTCCCAGTTGAAAATAAGGCTTATTGCACAAACTACAGACAGATGAGCTTTCAGTCAATCCCAGGTAAGATCTGAAGAATGAAATATTTGTGAGCACTTAAAAAAGGTGAATAACACAAAAGAAATAATTTCACCCAATGCAAATAAAGTCAGACTACCATACTTTCTTTGTTGAGCATAGAGCTGGTAAAAGCTGCAGGTGTAGAACTCAGTTCTGGACATATGGAACTCAGTTACTGGACATAAACAAACAAAACTATCAGAACTGAAGGATTGAAATTAACTGCAAAATGTATGATCTGTTCAAGTATTGGTGGCCTCTCAAAATTTTCTGTCTGGTCTTACTGTAAGCTGGTGATAGCATCTCAGTCTCTTTTTCATCTTAATATTTAATATGTCAAAAGCAAAACCCTAGTGTTTTTTCCTCTTAATTTGTATTTTCTAATTATAGGTGATATCACCTTTATAAAGAAGAACTCTACTTGGCAATAAACATTAGAATATTGTGATTATATATATATATATATATATATCACGGTTACTGTGTATACATATATACTATATATGCATATATATAGTAATTTTTTTACTCTCATAATTCTGAGTTTCAAAAATAAACATGCATACTTAAAATTCAAAAGCTTCAACCCAGTGCTTCAGCACTACTTCTCTTCCTCTTAGCAAATCCATGGCTTTTACTTAAAGTTGCCTTTGGCCATAAATTTCTTTTATGTCAATCTACATAGAAAATTATTAATTTTTCGCAAGAAAACTGATGAAAGCCAAACTGATGTAAATGAATATACTGTTTTCTAAATTCCACAAAGCAACAATTTCACCTTCAAGAGACTCCAACTTGGCTGGTTACTGTGGCTCACAACTGTTATCTTAGCACTTTGGGAGGCCAATGTGGTAGGATCACCTGAGGTCAGGAGTTCAAGGCCAGCCTGTGTAGCATTGTAAAACCACATCTCTAACAAAATGCAAAAATTAGCCAGGCATCATGGCGGGAACCTGTAGTTTCTGCTACTCAGGAGGCTGAGGCAAGGGAATCACCTGAACCTGGGAGACAAAGGTGGTTGTGGTGACCTGATAATTACCATGGAACTCCAGCCATGGTGACAGAGTGAGACTCCATCTAAAAAAAAAAAAAAATTCCAGACTTGAGTTTGAATTTTTTCAACCTATTGGAAAGCAAAGTTTCAAACTTATACAACTAGATATTCTAGCTGCATACAAATTGACTCTCCTAATTACTATTTACCTGTATTTTCATATGTTCCTAACATCCCTTATGTAATATATGCTACTTAGTGCTTTAAAATCCCCAGTCCTTTATCTAAAAAAGATTTTTTGACAGGTTCCTGCCCTATTGCCTAGGCTGTAGTGCACTGGCGTGGTCTTGACCCACTACAACCTCTGCCTCCTGGCCTCAAGGGATCCTCCTACCTCAGCCCCCCGAGTAGCTGGGACTACAAGCACACACCACCAAGTCCGGCTAATTTTTTGTGTTTTTTATAGAGATGGGCTTTGTCAAGCTGCGCAGACTGCTCTTGAACCTCTGGGTTCAAATGACATGCCCACCTCAGCCTCTCAAAATGCTGGGACTGCAGGCATAAGCCACCACACCTGGTCCCGTTAACTAAAAATTGATGAGTTCTTCAGGAAGAACCATTGAACAAAATGTGCATTCAGCAATAAAACTGCAAAAGAATATAATCCCACAGTTTTTAGTGATGGTGCTCTCTGTATGTTTCAGTTCATGGGTCATTCTGACTCAGAGTTAGCAAGCTCTTATGAACTCCTAAATGAATGGGCCATCCTTCCATTTATGTTTTCACAGAGCAAGAATTTACTACTTAACACATATCAAGCAGCATACTGGGAACAAGTTATACAAATGTAGACAGATATAGTCACTGTCTCTAAAGACCTCACAATTTAATCAGGGAGAAATAATCACAATAAGGTATAACTTCATAACTGAGGTAAATAAAGACTGCATGCAGGAACGAGACCTAAATCATTTGCTCAGTGGGAGTCAGGGAAGATATCACCAGGGTGACAGTCCAGCTGTGTCTTGAAAGACAGTATGGTTTTATCAGGAAGAGAAAAGGATTGACATTCCAGGTGAGGAAATACAGCCATGGCGGTTTGTGTGAGGATGACAATCTTCCTCAAAGCCTTCAGAAACTCACAGTTAAATAAACAGGAATCTAGCCAGTCCCGTATCTTGCAGATGAAGTTATTAGTCTAAACACAATCCAAACATCTCAAAAAACTGTGCTTCCAACACTCATTTTTATAGCTGGAGCAAGCCCAATTCCTATCAATGCTATATAAAATTGTAAAGGGTGTGCACTTAACATTAAACAAGTAGGTCTCATTGAGAAGCCCCAAGCAAGACTTAATGCTAGGGTAAAGCCTTGCTACTTTTAACATCTGGCAGCAGCAGTTCACGATGTAGGCCAAAAATACTGCTGTAAATCCAGTGTGGTCTAAGACATACACTTAGAAACAGAATATGATTTCTTAAAAAATAGATTCAATCCCACTTGCTGAAATAGACTCCCTGCCACTCCTCATCCTCACTTTCTCTTGTCCAGTTACTTCCCAGATGACCAGATCAAATGGCCACATGGATGACCTTTGCAGCCCTGGTGACTCCTTCACCCCAGGGACCTTGAACTTTGTTCATTTCCATGACTCCATCCAATGGCAGCACAGTGCATTTGCTTTCCAGTATCCACCTGAAACCTAATCCTGCAATTCTGTACTCTTGGACAATTGTTATAATTCCACCTGCCAGTCTCTCCAGATCTAGTCCTTGATCCCTGAGACCGCTAATCCACCCTCCCTTTCCCCCTGGGTTAGCTGCCACTTGCCCCTCCTCTGCTTCCCTTCACTATGCAAGATAAGCCCAGAATCTTCAGTTAAATAGGCTGCCATTCTCACATCAAATAAGGTAGGCTCTGCAAACCTCCAATCCTTAAACATCTTCATCTTTCCACCCTCACTGAAAGGTGAAGAAGAGATGGATGCTTAGAATTCCTCCACGGACCTACCAAAAGTAAAAATAAAAATAAAAAATAAACTCCCCTCCAAGCACATGGTTTGGGCTTACTTAATTTCAGGCTCCCCCAACTACAGCTGGGCCCTCAATACAGGTGATCAGTCCTCTGTGCCTTAAAGAGCTGTTCTTCCGTTACACACTTGAGCTGCTCTGTACCTCTGAGCTGCTCCTAAAACCCATGATCTAACCCTCTAATCTGCCTGAGAAGATGGAGCTTATTTAGAGTGTGCTTCTCATTATCCCAACTTGACTGTTTACCTCTGACATTCTTCCTTTTCTACTTGTCCCAGAGGAAGCAAATGTGTTTACGTTTCAAGGCCCATTCTCCTTTTTCTTTGCAATGTTGACCCCAGTTCCTATTGCTCTTCTGGGGCCTTGTTACCTCAATTGTATCATCTCATTCCTGGATCTTGAGCCAACCTACTAATAGCTGCAGGAAATAGGTACACAGTAAAATATTTGTAAATACCACCTGTTGGGAACAGTCCCCCAAAATCTGGCCATAAACTGGCCCCAAACTGGCCATAAATAAAATCTCTGCAGCACTGTGACATGTTCATGATGGCCATAACACCCACACTGGAAGGTTGTGGGTTTACCAGAATGAGGGCAAAAAACACCTGGCCCGCCCTTGGTGGAAAACTGCTTAATGGCATTCTTAAACCACAAACAATAGCATGAGCAATCTGTGCCTTAAGGACATGCCCCTGCTGCAGATAAATAGCCAAACCCATCCCTTTATTTTGGCTCATCCCTTCATTTCCCATAAGGGATACTTTCAATTAATCGAATATCTATAGAAACAATTCTAATGACTGGCTTGCTGTTAGTAAATAAGTGGGCAAATCTCTGTTCAGGGCCGTCAGCTCTGAAGGCTGTGAGACCCCTGATTTCCCACTTTACACTTCTATATTTGTGTGTGTGTGTGTGTGTGTGTGTGTGTGTGTGTGTGGTTTAATTCCTCTAGCACTGCTGGGTTAGGGTTTCCCCAGCTGAGCTGGTCTCGGCAAGGGGCACCCATACGCAAGGGGTTGAATCCAGGTCAAAGGATCACTGGAGTGATGGTTGGAGAATGTGGAACCAGCTGGAGGACACCCAAGTACTCTTAAAGCAATCCCCTTGGTGAGTAAGAAGGGGAGTTCAGAAGCATCAGGGTAACAATGGGACAAGTGCGGGCTGTGGTTAGTTCCACCTTGGAACTTTTTCACACTGATGATGGGGAGGAAGGAGAGTATAACGAAGTAACACAGGAGGTTTCAGAGCAGGTTTATTTGCCAACTAAAGCTAAAGCGGCAAAGGAGGGAGAGGTTCATCCCTACCCTTCTGCACCCCCTCATTATTATACTGAAGAAAAAGGCCCTCCAGATCTTTCTTTTCCAGAGGACCCTGGGTGAAAACTTTTTGCCCCAGTGAGTGTTCAAGCAGTGCCTTGAGTGCTCTCAGTTCTATACAGGCAGTAATTCAGCAAGCTAGAAGAGAGGGTGATTTAGAGGCTTGGCAGTACTCTGTTAGAATACAACCCCCAGATCAGCAGGGAAATATTTGAGGCTTTTCCTTTTAAATTACTCAAGAATTTAAACAAGCTATTCATACTAAAAAAGAATGTAGAAAAAATCAGTGAGTCAGGCTGCCAGATAGCAGGAAAAAGTAACTGCTGAGTCTGAAATGTGTCCAAAATGTAAAAAAGGAAAACATTGAGCTAGTCAGTGTCACTCTAAGTTTGATAAAGATGGGAACCCAATTTCAGGAAATGCCATGAGGTGCCAGCCCATCCCGGCCCCCACTCCAGACTGGGGCATTTCCAGCTCAGGCCATTCCTTCACCTCTGTACAATATCTGTCCCCTGCCACAGCCAGTAGTGTGGCAGTAGATTTATGCTGCACAAAAGCTGTGAGCCTTCCGCCTGGGGAACACCCACATAAGGTCCCAACAGGAGTCTGTGGACCCTTGCCAGTGGGAACAATAGGATCACTTTTAGGAAGGTCTAGTTTAAGTTTAAAAGAGGTACAAATACATACAGGAGTCATTGATTCAGACTACAATGGGGAAATTCAAATTGTTATATCTACTTCTGTTCGCTGGAAAGCAGAGCCAGGAGAGTGTATAGCACAGCTCCTGATTGTGCTGTATTTGGGAATGGGAAAAAGTGAAATTAAATGAAGAGGAGGATTTGGAAGCACAAATAAACAAGGCAAAGCAGCTTATTGGGTAAATCAAATTACTGATAATTGTTCTACCTGTGAAATAAGTATTCAGGAAAATAAATTTAAAGGTTTGGTAGTTACAGGAGCAGATATTTCAAACATTTCTCTTCAGCACTGGCCGTCTGCATGGCCAATTCATTGTACATGAAACTGACTAATGAATGGACTCTTTTTAAAAGAACACAATAAGCATGTATTTTCTATTTCTCCGTTACTTTTTTTAAAATTGGAAATTAATGTGGGATTTTATTCATATCCTTCTATTTTTCTTTTCCTTTAGCTAATATTAATTTTTTGTCTCCTAGATGACAGGCAGTCATATATTGTAGGTATCACAATGAACAAAAGACAGTGAGACAATTTGTAAGCTTTAATGAAGCTTATAGTCTTTATCAGTCAGGGTCTTAGCAAATAACAGATGGCATACTGAAAAGTTACTACTACTCCTAGGCCTAAAGGGTCAAGGGGAGGAAATCCTTTCTGGAACCCACAGTGAAAGTTCTATCTGTATGAAAGTTTTGACCACAGGAGCTATTAACAGATAGACAAATCAGCCCAGACAACTTGCAGCCTATAAGGGAAGGAAACAAAGGAATTAGTACTTCATTCTCTCCTTCCACCCTCAGATATCTTGCCAGTAGTTTCCTTTGGCCAAATCTAGTTGGAATCCAGAGGGTAAAGAAACCCAAGCAGGCCAGCTTCATGGAAAACACTACAATATGGAACGAGATAGAGAATCAATCTATAGCAGATATCTAGCCAGTATTTTCCTTTGGCCAAATCTAGTTGGAAGCCAGAGGGTAAAGAAGCCCAAGCAAGCCAGATTTATGGAAAATAGTACAACATGGAAACAGATAGAGAATCAATCTGTAGCAAAAACTAAAGAATAAGCAGCACACAATATATGGAAACTGGCATTTAAGTAGGTAAGTATTATACAGAGTGATAAGTGCTATGTTAGAGGAAGTTCTGCATAGCATTACAACTTTTAGAAGGGGCATCCCTGATTTGCTACTCTGCAGTACCTCTTGGACAGGTGTTGTCCACCAATTCTGCTCTAGTCAGATCAATTCATATTCAGTAATTTTAAAAAGCATTTTATTATGCAAATTTTTGAATTCCATATGAAAGTAAAGAGAACAGTAATTAGTTGCGATGTATCCATCACGTACAGTCAACAACCATCATTACTTTGGAATATTGAGGCTTCTATCGCCCAACTACTCTTTTTAATTTTGTTTGAGAGGGGTTTATAAAATATTACAGCATTATGTTATTTTACCAGAAAATACTTAAATACACATCTCTGACAATAATATTTTAAATAGATTTTACATATCACCATGTCACTGGCATACTTAATAACATTAATCTATTATGCTAAGAAAATTAATTAAATTCTTTAACACCATCTAATATCATCTATACTCAAAAATCCCTCAGATCATGCAATTGATTGAGAGAGAAACCGGACTGTTTGTCCTATAGACCATCCCACATTCTGAATATCACAGATTGGTTCCTTATGACTTCATTTAATATACTCCTCTTTTTCTGGTATTTCCCTTAAAATTGTGTGTAGCCCCAGAGCCTTAATTGTATTTTGTTCCAATTTTAGGCAATAATATTTAGTGAGTGGTGGTGTATACTTTCCATTACACTGCCTTGGAGGCATATAATGTCTGATTGTCCTACTTCCAGTAATGGAAACTGTCACTGTGGGTTCAGATGATGTCAACCTGACCCTTCCATCATCAAATTTCTCACCAACACTTCAACTAAGGTTTTTAGAATTAATTGATTATTGTTGTCAAGGTACATTATGCTTTTAGGGGATGCAAAATGGAGATTTTCTTCTTCTATCATTCCTTTTGAATCTATCAATTCAACAAAGAATAACTTTCTCTCCATAATTATTAGCTTATCTTAAAATGCCCTTCATCTGGAAAGTGACGATGAATGCTTTAAAATTTCCCCTTCATCTGTTTTCAGAAAAATGGGTTGATGTCTTAGCAACTTCCAATGATATCTAATAAGTTTTTATCATTCTGAATTTATTTACTTTTATACTTGTGATGTGTTTTTGACGATTGAAGTTATTATTGCTCAAATTATGTCTTTTTCTGTCCAGTGGGAGTTCACTAAGTTAACATGTATGTTAATATTTTGCTTAACTTGAAATTGAGATGCCTCTTTGAATTATACTCACTCCCAACATCTCTCCCTTTTAAAATACTATATGTTGCTACAAGACTTTGTTGGAATATCACATGAATACACTTGAATCCTCTAATCACTAGCCACATATTGGATAGTGTTCAATATTCATTCTAACTTTTCAAGATATCACCAATTAACTCCAATTCAATTCTATGTCAGACATGTCACTTAACTGAAATTTGAGGTTCTATCACTCTTCATACCTATGAATTCTGTTTATACTCATTGTTATGGAATTTGGAGTTCTCCACGATTTGTCCTTAAACTTATTTCTCATTACTACTTTACCCTACCTCATTGCTGCCCTATTTGTCTTTTTCAGCTTCTGAAAGGCAGATCCTTATTGCATACTTCCTGCAAGTCTAGGTTCGTGGAAGTTTCTGAGTGAATTTGGGAAAGGGTAAAGGGAGTTGAAATCAAAACAGTAAGAGATGTATTCAAATTTTTTTGCTAATTCCCCTAACTCCCTTTGCTATGGCTCTAGGCTCACCAAAAGAATACTGTCGGTTATGGGTCTTTCTAGGTAGATCTTACTTTCAAAAAGAGACTGCTCTCACCAAAGTAATATATTGCCTATTTCTCTTTCAGTTATGTTTTTTTTTTCATTATAAATAAGTTCCTGGCCTTTTCATTACAGGTAGCTTTCCATGCTGTATCTTTTACATAAAGTCCATAGAAAAAAAGATGCCTCATCTACAGTGCCTACAGTTATTATCATAGTCCTGTTTTTCACTGCAAACTAATTATTTGTATTTCTGATCAGTCTTGTGAGCCAGCACAATGTGAATCTACCCACTCTCTGAGTGCTGATAACTTAGATAACTGAGTCAAAAAGGCTGCAGAGATCTGAGGCCTTGGCATCATGATAATGAATATACCCGTGTGAGATAGTCAACAGCCTTTCCCCTGGTGGCACAAGTCTTTGTGTTAGCCTTATCCTCATCTATCTTATTTGAACTTCTGCAGGCACAACTCACAAGGCATCACAGATTAGATTATGCTTTGATCCAATTATTTTATTTTATACATGAGAAAACTGAAGCCCTAAGAGGAAAGGACTTTTCTGAGATTACAAAGTCATGAAAAAGCCACGATTTATTCCAAGTCTCCTGATACTCAGTTGAGCATTCTTTGCCTTGCCTGATGCGTCTAGATGGATGAAAAAGCATTTTCTTATTATCATTTGGATTTCATAAATATTCATGGATTATAAAAGTCTAGTGATGCCTGAGACCTTAGAGACCGTATAACCTATTGTATCTCAACAGGGATCAATGGACTAGATATATTAGAACGATCCCTGGAAATTTTCATTCTATAGGACTGGGATGAGGATAAAAAACTGTGCTTTTTATACAAATAAAAACTTCCCAGGTGATTCTGCACAGTAAGACTTGGAAAACCCTCCTATTTTATAATTGCTTACTTTTGCTGATGAATTAACAGGCCTAGGAAAGAGAAGAAATCTTTTCTTTACACATAATTTCTTGCTTAGGGTCTCGATCATACCACAGTTGACTTTTGAGCAGTTATTTACAACTCCAGCACTATGTACTAAAAAAGATTGAAGCGGTTCAGTTTGGAAGATCTACATTAGGGAAACAACACCTAGAGTAAATCCTGGAGCAGATTGTGAAGTCAGTCCCAAATGTCATTTGGGCACAAGTGTTTTTTGCTTCTATTGCTGAAATGCACATAACTTATGCCATGGGACATATTCAAAGAGGCAGAAAGCTACAATTAGAAGGTGGCAATAACACACATTGCCATCAATGAATTTAGAGAAAAAATAATTGAACTTGTCATTAAAGTCAAAGCTGGATGCATTTTGGAAGGGTAATCAATTTCTGAAGGGCCCCAGTGCAAACTATTCACATCGTTGGAGGTTGTTCTCAGCTACATGCTACAATTAGGCAAGTAGGTTGTACTTTAATACAAATGGGTAGTTCTTGTTCTGTGATATAAACCCATTTTCGAGACTTCTATGCCTATATCAATTGTATATGCCAATACCTCCTCAGATGTGTATCTGTACATTATTTTTCTTAATGATATTGAACACTTTCATATGTGAGGCAAAACCATAAAGCATTTTATTGTCAGATAAGGGAGTAAGACAACTTGTATAGGTTTGAATTAAAAGATAAGTTTACTTAGTAGTATTGGTTCAGAGGCAAGAATTATCACATTCAATTTGTGGAAGATAATGAGAAAGATTGATGGCATACGAGGTGGGCCTTGGAGAATGGGGTGGGTGGAGACAGATGAGAGAGATGAGGGGAGAGGGAAGGAGGGAGGGAGAGAGAGAGAGGGAGAGAGAAAAGCAAGAAAGGAGAGAGAAAGAATGAACAAAAGCATTCATTCCAGGCTTCCAGGCTCAGAGAATTGTATGAATAACGCTACAGGTGAATGAGAGTACAAAATAGATCAGGCTAACCCAGAGACTTATCCTTAGCAGACATTATTTGAAAGGACAGTTCACCCTCTAAGTTTCCTTAAGAAGTTTTCACTGGAAAGCTCCTGTCTTCCGCTTTCATAGTTTGGTGGTAAACAGAGAGGTGTAGTTGAACATCACCTGTAGACCAAATAGGGTGTTAACAGAAAACTAGAACTCTGACAATGATGCTATAATTATGCGGAAGGAGGGTCAGTAGTGTTAAGGAAAAGGGAGTAAAGGATTTAGAAACCGAAGGGTAAATTTTCAGCCTCTTCCTTGCTACAAATTAAGCATATCACCTTGGGTTTTTACTCAATGTCTTTTGCACCTTGCTTTCTTTCTTTATAAAAATAGGATGAAAACGCCTCTTCTTTCTAGGTCTGTGGATTGCTGTGAGGATCAAATAAGATAAATGCAAATTTTGGTGTTATTATTAGAAGTAATAATGGTAAAATGGAGTATTTCATATCATTTAAAGATTTTTTATATATGCTAAGATATTTTTTCATACTTTTTCAAAATATCAATTCTGTAGTGCCATAAATAATTGTATTAAATGAATCGCTGGTACAAAGATCACATTCTGGTTCATAAGTCCTGTCTGGATGACTTAGAAATATTTAACTGTTAATATGAATATGGAAATCCAGCAGACTGAATCATTAAGGAGGAAAAAGGACCCGTTTTATGCA
Organism: Homo sapiens; assembly: GCF_000001405.40. Lineage (NCBI taxonomy): Eukaryota > Metazoa > Chordata > Mammalia > Primates > Hominidae > Homo > Homo sapiens. Next base: position 22,623,970 of record NC_000024.10, read on the forward strand.
TCAGACAGATTTCAGTAGCTTATATTGTCTACCTACAGGAGCTGGACACAATGATTCTTGCATATTTTGGATTCAAATGCATTTTTATTATTATTTTACCCCTGAAGCTAGGTTTGGAAAGACAACATTTGTTACTTAAGACAACTTAGAAAAAAAAAAAAACTATTTCTAAGTTATCACATTGAAAGGGTTGTTATGAGACCATCACATTATTTTATTTGCCAAATATGAATATGTTTCCTCAGTAATGTACTTTTGATTGTTATTGTTTTTAGAGAAATAAGATACTGTTCTCAATAAAATAAAGAACATGCTCAAATAACGAACTAATAAAGGGATAAAAATAGTCAATTAACATTGAGACGCTTGTTCACTGTCACTAGTAATCAAATAAATACAATGCAAATAAATCATTGAGTTATTATTTCAAACTATCGAATTTGCAAACATTTAAAAGAAAAAGAGCTGGCAAATTCATAACCTCCTTTAAAAAGGGAATACTTAAATGAATTATAGTAGAGTGATTCAAGTACATTATAAAGAATAGATGGCAGTGAGGAAATAATCATAATAAATACATAAAAATCTGATGTATAATTGGTGATCTGCAAGAAAATGTGGGGAAAAGGTAGTAGCATTTACTTCTGAATGGTTGTACAATTTTTAGAGTTTTAAAAACTCCATTTCTGAATTTTCTGCAATAATTATTACTGTTATTATCAGTAAAAATGAGAAAACAAAAATATGTGTGTGTGCACTCATACATGAATGCACACCTACTTCTTCTAGAGTTGTTTGGTTCTTAGTTACAGTAAAACTATAATCTACCACAAAATGACAGCAGCATGCTTTACTGAGCTGCAGTTGTGCATATGGCCTGTTTATTCTTTTTTTTTTTTTTTTTGGTCAACCTGTACTTCTTGTTTGGCTTTCTGTATTATAGATATTTGATATTATAAATATAAATATTATAGATGTTTGCAAGTTACATGTTTCTAATTGCCCAGCTACAAATATCAGTGGTGGTATATGCACTATCTACTACACTCATTCGGGACATAAATTTATATAACAGAAAGGCTACTGTTTTTGTAATTTAAATACACAGGGCTATTTTATTCTATGGGAGCAAGCAGAATTTAATTTAAACTGGCGTTTTTTCTGTAGACCTGGGAGTAGAATTTTTTTTTTTTCTTGAGATGGAGTCTTGCTCTTAATTTTACCCAGGGATGCACTATTTTATTATTTTATAGTGAATAATATCTGACAAGCATGCATTATATTGCTACCTGCTGAGTCATGAATACATGAATACTACCAAGTAAATAGCTCAAATTTATAAATTTTAAAGCAATTTTTATTTTTGAATTGATCTTGTGTTTTTGATAGAATATACCTAAAAGGCTTAAAGTGCATGTAACTGAGCAATTTTCTTTTATGTAATGATGCAAAGTATATGAATAGTAAGTAATCTGACTCAGCAAAGAGACAAGAGTTCATACCCAAGAGATTCGTGCTTTGAGGTTTGGAAATAGCTCTTGTTATGTATTTTTGATCTTGGGTGGGCTATTAGCTATAAGTCTTGGTGTCTTCATCCATAAAATGGTATTAATAGCACCTGCCTTTTCTGCTTTTCAGGTGTAGAGACTTGAAAAGTAAATAATAATACGTGGAAGTTCTCTACCACCTTCTGTGCCCAGCTTGACCACATATTCAGGTTTTTGATAATTAGCACAATTAAAGTGAACCAAGGGGGAACAAGTTGCTGATTTAATTTGGGGTTACATTGCCTTCACCCTGTGTCATAGGCTTACTTAGTCCAAGCATTCCTTAAGTATGCGTGTCTATTTAAGAGATTAGCTGAGGGTGGCTGATATTCAATCTCAATTTATCTCAGCTTTGGGAAAACCATCCCTGCGTGTACCCTATCTGTGCTTGTGAGTCCACAGTGGGATTTTGTATAAAGAACAGCATGTTTATATTTACAAGATTGAAACTGTAGGTGAAGTTCATAAACATCTGAAATAATTCTTTTTTCCTGAAATATTTCCTGCTCTTCTGGCATTCTTCTTTGTAATATTCAGTTTCACATATACTTTCCTAGTTACATTGCAAACTCCATGGGGTCAAAGTGTGTGCTAGTTTTGCATACTACTGAGTCTGTTGTGTCCATTACAGTGCTTGACACATAGCAGATGCTCAATAATTAAAACAGCAATTATACACACACACATATATAAATATATATATATTTATATAAAATATATAAAAACAATGGACTGACAGACTCATTAAGTCCCACCACCCACCTCCTATTTCCTAGCATAGTGTCAGGTACTTATTAGGTGAACAACAGATAGTGACTGTATCTTATTTATATTATTTAGGATGGGCCTCTAGGAGTTCAGTAACTTATTGTTTTAGAGTAAATCAAAATATTAATCCTTACATGACACTTAAATGCATGAATACAGTATTGTGCTTAAGTAGGATACTGTCCTCAATAATTTAAAAATACATGCACCCATTTTTTTTCCATGCATTGAAAATGACTAGTCCAGAGATGAATATGAAGGCAGTGATAAAAGTCTGGGAGCAATATCGTCTAACTTAGGGCTTGAGGCTCATTTGGATTCCCACTTAGGGCTTGAGGCTCATTTGGATTCCCTAATTATGCTGATCTAGATCTTCAGGCTTGTAGTTCTCCCTGAGGGTCTTGGTTATTTTTCCTAATAGACTCACCAGTCTCGTTAATCAAACAAGTCCTCAACACTAAATATAAATCTCATCATAAAATCAAAGTTGCATTTATCCTAGTAAAAGTCTAAAGCTACTTCTACTAATTAGTAAGTTTGGGGAATAATTTGCCTAGACACCAGCAATGTGCTGGGCCTACATTTGGGCTACAGTGTATTTACTTACCATAATTAGTGATTTTTTAAAAAAGGTAATTTTACCACTTGGAGTAAAAGAACATCAAAAATAAATGCTATAATTCAGTGAAGTTTGTAAAAAAAAAAGGGTCTATGTCTATATATCCATCCATACATATGTATGGTATTCATGACACCTTCTAAATTAGTGCAGCAATACATTATATTTTATCTCTGATTTAACTGTTCTTATAAAACAGCAAGATTATAAAAATTCCCACTTAACCAACATTAAAAGCAGCATTAAAATCTACAGTACTTAAAGAACATATTATCAATAACTTCCATGATATGTGCTTACAAATTTTTTCCAAATATTAGATGATTGATACTTCATTTTCTAATAGCTTTCAGACCTGACAATCTGGATGGTAAACTGTAATTCAATATCTCCAAACTTACATTTGGCCAGATTATCATCTTGTGTATGTGTGTGTATGAAGGGGTGTGTGTATGAAGGGGTGTGTGTGTGTGTGTTTGTAGCAGAGAGAAAGATAGAGAAATAAAAAATAAATAAATAAAACAAACCTGGTAAAAGAAAAATTATGCTTTGGAAGATACGGCTTATTTCCCTCTTGGTATAGTCTCTTCATAATATTATTTTTTTTAATTTTTTTTTGTGGGGACATAGTAAGTGTGTATATTTATGGGGTACATGCGATGTTTTGATGCAGGCATACAATCTGGAATAAGCCAATCATGAAGAATGGGGTATCCATTCCTTCAACACCCATCACTTGAACTACAAACAATACAATTACACTCTGTAATTATTTTAAAATGTATAATTAAGTTATTATTGATTACAGTCATCTTGGTGTGCTATCAAATTGTAGGTCACAATCATTGTTTCTATGTTTTTTTAAAACCATTAACTATCCCCATCTCCCTACCAGGCCCCCATTACCCTTCCCAGCTTCTGGTAACCATCCTTCTACTTTTTATGTCCATGAGTTCAATTATTTTTATTTCTTGTCCCACAAATAAGTGAGAACGTGCAATGTTTGTCTTTCTGTGCCTGGCTTATTTCACTTAACATAATGATCTCCGTTCCACCATGCTGTTGGAAATCACTGGATCTCATTCTTTTTGTACGGCTGAATAATACTCCATTGTGTATGTGTACCACATTTTCTTTTGTTTTTATTTTATTATACTTTAAGTTTTAGGGTACATGTGCACATTGTGCACATTAGTTACATATGTATACATGTGCCATGCTGGTGCGCTGCACCCACTAACTCGTCATCTAGCATTAGGTATATCTCCCAATGCTATCCCTCCCCCATTTTCTTTATCGCTTTATCTGCTGATGGACATTTAGGTTGCTTCCAAATCTTTTATTTTTTCCAAAAATCTGAAATTTGAGCTACCATATGATCCAGCAATCTCACTGCTGGCTATATACCAATATCAGAGTAAGCCACAAAAGTCATGTCCTCTACATCATTAATATAATTTAGAGGTGGACAATAAAAAAGAAAATTAATGGAGAAATAAAAGCAGAAATTTATAAAACATGTATAAACAAATGAGTCCATATTACTCAACTTTATATGGGTAAAAATGGAAGTAAAGTCACAATATCAGGCATTGAAATTATTCTGTATTCTGTTACTTGGTGTAAGGTGATTTGCCACAATCCAAGAGTCTATGAAGTAAGTTTGTATGAGATAGGATGGAAGGAAAGGAGAATTTGAACTATCTCAGGGATATTTTTTAATGATTGAAAGCTATGCTATAAAATCTCTTAGGAAAAACATGCTATCAATTGCCTGATGGAGTAATGCATATCTCATATCCTTCTCATCTCTATTCCTTCAGATCACAGTAGCTTTGGCAGCAATATCGAGATGTTGTCAGTTAAGCTTCTAGATCCCTCCATCTGCCACCATCAACATAGTCACATGACTAGAAATAATAATTTATGTATCTAGAATCAGCCACAAGTAGACTGCTGAGTACTTACTACATAAAGGCAAAGCTAGCATTTTTGGGTTGGGGGGGCAGGTGTAGAAACACGTTAACAGTTCTGTAAATACACATAAAGATATGCATTTTCCTTAATCACAAATAAATAAACCAGAAGAATTTTCAGTGATTTAAAAAAATTAAGAAATAGGGAACTTATTTAAAAAGCCTTTGAAGCCACAGTGGCTCTTGCCTGTTATCTCAGTATTTTGGGAAACTGAGACAGGGCCTCACTTGAGGCCAGGAATTCCAGAGGAGGCTGGCAAATAGAGTGAGATGCTGTCTCTAGAAAAAATAAATAAAATTTAAAAATTAGCTGCTTGTTTTGCAGTGTGCCTACAGCCCTAGCTACTTGGGAGGCTGAGGTGAAAGAATTGTTTGAACCAGGGAGTTTGATGTTGCTGTAACTTATGATCTTGTCACTTCACCCCAGCCTGTCCAGAGGATTATCTAATCATACTGTGGACTATTGCCAAATCTGCAGCAGTGAAACTCTGGACACATTCTGTGTCTGGTAAAGTCACACTTTGGAACCAAGAAGAATTTCCAGCCTTACTTCCCTTGACAGAGCCTATCGCTAAGACAGTCACAACATAGATCCAGGATAGAATTCCAACAATAAATCCCTGAGCAAAAACTATAGCTGAAACTGCCATACCATGGATCCTCGATGAAATGCCACCAACAAATCCCTGGAAAAAATACAGCCTGAATATTTAGCAGTAAATACCTGGCACTATCTGAATTTAACCCAGTCTCATTGTGGATCTTGGCTTATTTGTCAGTAGGAAACTACTCTACACAGTTCCATACTGAAACAATAACACTGTGAACCCACGTTGAGTCTCCAGCAATACTTTCCTGGAAACAGTTGGGAACTGATATAATCACATTAGGGACCCATGCTGAATCACTAGTGATGAATTCATGGATATATTCTTCTATATGTGATACGGTCACAACACCTATCCAGGCTGAATCAGTTATTAAATCACTGGACATACTCTGAAACTGATATACTCACAACATGGATTCTGGCTGAAACTCTAGGATTAAGTCCCTGGGCACGTGATATGTTCCTACCATGGACCCAGGCTGAAAGTCCAGCAGTATCTTGGATTCAACCATGGATTCTGGGTAGAATGCCAGCAATGAATCCCTGGAGAGAGGCTACAGCTGACATTGTCCTACCCTGGAACCAGGCTGAATTTATGTAGAAGGAAATGCCTGGACACCGTCTGAAACTTATACAATCACAAAGAGGATCCTGAGTGATTCTCCAGCACTAAATTCATGGACATGGGCAATAGCTGATGCAGACCAGCTGTGGACCAAACCTGAATTTCCAGCAGTAAATCCCTGGACAAAGTCTGTAGTTGATAGTACTATACCATGGATACAGGATGAGTCTCCAGCAATAAATCCATGGACACAGTACGTATCTTATATGATCAAACCATGAGCCCAAAATGACTCTTCAGCAGTAAATCTCTGTACACTACCTGAATCTGATACCATTATCCTGTGGACACAAGCTGAGTCTCCAACAGTAAATCCGTTCACAGAGGCTGGAACTTCCACAGTCACACCATGGGCCCAGGCTGTATCTCCAGCAGTAATTCCACGGACACAGCCTATACTTTCCACAGTCGTACCTTGGACCCAGGTTGAATGTCCATCAGTAAATACCTGGAGAACGTCCATAGCTGATGCCATCACACTGTGGATAGGGGCTGAATTAACCGCAGGATATCAATGGATACTGCCTTGGGCTGCTACTGTCACACTGTGGTCACAGTCTGAATCTCCAGCAGGAAATCTTTGGACACAGTCTGTGTATGACACAGACACACCATGGCCTCAGGCTGAATCTCCAGCAGTAGTTTGCTGGACAGAACATGTAGCTGATACACACCGTGGACTCAGTTTGAATTTTTAACAGTAAAGCCTTGGATCCAATCTGTATCTGATACGCTCATACCATGGACCCAGGCTGAGTCTTCAGCACTAAAGCATTTGACACAGGCAATAGCTTATACAATCAAGCTGTGGAACCAAGTCAAATCACCTGCCATAAATCTCTGGAAACAATATGAAACGAATATGTTCACATGGTGTACTGAGGTTGAATCTCCAAAAGTAAAGGAGGGGACACATCCTATACCTGCTACAGTTATACCACTGAACCAAGCTGAATCTGTAGGAGTAAATCCCTCCACAAAGCTTGAAACAGAAATACTCATACTGTGGACCCAGGCTCATTCTAAAATCAACAATCTCTGTACATATACTCTACTTGATAGAGTGAAACCATTGGCTAAGGATGTTTGTGTAGCAGTAAACCCATGGAGACAGTCTAAAACTGAAATAGTCACATCATGGGCCCAGGATCTGTTGCCAGCAATAAATCCCTTAACAGTGGCTGTACCTGGTATAGTCACACTGCAGTACATGGCTGTATCTCTAGTAATAATTCCCAGGAGAGAGGCTCTAGCTGATACAGTCATAATATGGACACAGACAAAATCACCAGCAATCAGTTTCTGGTTGTAACCTCTGCCTGGCACAGTCAAACTATGGACCCAAGCAAAATATACACCCGTTATCACTTGGAACCAGGCTGAATTTCCAGCTAGAAATCCCATGATACAATCTTAGCCTCCAATTGTAAAGATCTGAACAGAGTCTGAATCTCTAGCCCCAAGTCCTCTGTTATAGGTGGAGACTGATACAGTCATACCATGGACCCAGACTGAATCTTTGGCAGTAAATCCCTGGACAAAGCCTGTTGCTGATACACTCACACTGTGTACACAGCCTGTAACTCCATCATTAATCGTTTTTTCACAAACTTTTCATGATACACTGAAAGCATGGGCTCAAACTGAATGCTTACCAGTAAATACCTGGACAGAGGCTGTAGCTTCCAAAATTATACCCTGGACCCAGGCTGAATTTCCAGCAGTAAATCCTTAGACAGAGCCTTTTGCTCATACGGTAACAATTTTGGCACAGGCTGTATCTTCAACAGTAAAGATCTGGCCACAGCCTTCATTTAATACAACCAACTTATGTATTTAATACAACCAATCTGAATCTGCAGCATTAATTACATGGATACAGCCTGCATCTGATACATACATAGGATTGATCCAATCTGAATCTTCACCAGTGAATTCCTGGAGACTGCCTATATCTAATATATTATCATTGTGGACCAAGCCTGTATCTCTAGCAGTCAATCTGTGAATAGAGGCAATAGCTTCCATAGTCATACCTTGGACCAAAGCTTTACTTTTAGAAACAAAACCCTGGACACATCCTGTATCTGATATACTTATGCTGTGGACCCAGGTTGAATCTTCTGCAGCGATTACCTCCACACAGGCAGTATCTGACACAATTATACTGTGGCTGCATGCTGCAGGCCTCCAGTAGGAATTACCTGGATACAGACTGATCTGATCTTCTTATATCTTCTTATATCATGAAACAATGATGAATCTCAACAGAAAATTCAGGGGCATGGGCTGTAGTTTCCACCGTGTTACCATGCAACCAGTTATCCCTTCAGCAGGAAAAACCTGGACATCTACCTGTGTCAGAATCAATCACCCCGCAGACCCAGTCTGAGTCTCCAGTAATGAACACATGGACAGAGGCTGCAGCTTCCACACTCTCAAAGTGGACTCATGATGATTTTCCAGATGCAAATGCTTATACACAGAGCGAAATGGGCACATACTGGACAATGGGTAAAACTGAAGCTAAGAGGCTGGGCGCAGTGGCTCACACCTGTAATCCCAGCACTTTGGGAGGCAGAGGCGGGCGGATCACGAGGTCAGGAGATCGAGACCATCCTGGCTAACCCAGTGAAACCCCATCTCTACTAAAAATACAAAAAATTAGCTGGGCGTGGTGGCAGGCACCTGTAGTCCCAGCTACTCGGGAGGCTGAGGCAGGAGTATGGCCTGAACCCAGAAGGCGGAGCTTGCAGTGAACCGAGATTGTGCCACTGCACTCCAGCCTGGGTGACAGAGCGAGACTCAATCTCAAAAAAAAAAAAAAAAAAAAAACAATGAAGCTAAGAAACTCTGAACAATGCCTGAAGCTAAAATATTTAGAGTTTCATTACCACCTCAACCTGATACTCATGACCTGTGATTCATGAAGAAAATCAAGCATCTATTTTATGGACACATCATGAAATTGAAAATATCAATGAATGGACGTTGTCTGAATTTGGAACACTTATATCTTGGACAGTGCTTGTACCACAAGCAGCAGAACCATGGCCCCAGCCTGAAGCTCTGCTTAGCACACCTTTGTTTAAAACTGGATCAGAAGAAAATGAAACCTTGGGCTCAACCAGAATTTCAAACACTGAGCACATTTACTCCATTTGGACCTGGTAAACTAGAATCCTGGGCCAAACATAATACTACTACATTGAAAACAAGGATCTAATCCGAAACTGATGTCTTCTACCCGTGCACCCAATCTGAAGTAGGTACAATGAGATCCCAGACCATTTCTGAAGAAGATACAGTAAAACTATGGAACTGGACTGAAGCAGGCACAATCCACCCCTGGACTCAACCTAAAACTAATACAATCAGACTTTTGACTCATGTGAATTTCAAGCAGTCAGACCCTGGACCCTGTCCTTGTCTGATACACTGTTGTATCAGGCTGAAATGCAAGCTGCAAAATGCTTGACCATGCCTGACATTAATACTGTGAGTTCTTGGTTTCAGACTCAAAACAATGTAAGAATAAATGTTACTCAACCTCATTCTCGAGCAGGTACTACCTGGATGCAGCCAGAATGGCAAATAATCCACCCATGGAACCAATCTGAAAAGAATGCAGTCAGACCCTGGACCCAGTCTGAAGGTGATGTTCTGCAACCTTGGATCTATGCTGAAAGCAATACAGTCAGACTCTGGGCCCATTCTGAAACTGATAAAATAAAACAATATACTGAGCCTGAATCTCAAGCAATTAGGATGTGGCCTGAAGAGGATATGTTCGCACTTTGGTCCCCAACACAAAACGATGCAGTTTGGCCATGGACCCAAGTGGAATCACAAATGACCCACTCCTGGACCCAGAATCAACTTAGTATAAATTACCCTTGGACTCAGCATGTACCTGCTGCAATCAGACCATGGACTTACTCTGAAATTCAACCCTGCACCCACCCTGAAGCCAATACAGTGATAAGATACTGGTTCCAGACTCAAATGAGTTCATTAAATCCTGGGACCAACCTGAAACTGAAGTATTCCAAATTTGGACTGTAAGCCAAGTAATAAAACCCCAAAACTTCATTGAAATTGATACAGTCACATCTTGCTTACAGACTCAGTGTGATACAATTAGACCCTAGGTTCATCCTGAAAGTCAGCCACTCTCTCCTTGGCCCCACACTGAAGCTGGTGTCAGGCCTCTGAGCCCAAGCTAAGCCATCATATCCCTTGTGACCTGCACGTGTACATCCAGATGGCCTGTAGCAACTGAAGATCTACAAAAGAAGTGAAAATAGCCTTAACTGATGACATTCCACCATTGTGAGTTGTTTCTGCCCTACTCTAACTGATCAATGTAATTTGTAATCTCCCCCACCCTTAAGAAGGTTCTTTATAATCTCCCTCACCCTTAAGAAGGTTCTTTGTTATTCTCCCCACCCTTGAGAATGTACTTTGTGAGATCCACCCCCTGTCCCCAAAACATTGCTCTTAATTCCACTGCCTATCCCAAAACATATAAGAACCAATGATAATCCCACCACCCTTTGCTGACTCTCTTTTTGGACTCAGCCTGCCTGCCACCAGCTGAAATAAACAGCCATGTTGCTCACACAAAGCCTGTTTGGGGGTCTCTTCACACGGACACGTGAGACAGTTTGTATATTTCAGCCCTGGACTCAGCAAAGAGTTACTACAAATCGTTCGTGGACCCACCCTGAAACCCAAGCAGAGAGACTCTGGATCAAGCAGGAAACTGAAGATAGAGACAGATCTTCGTTTTACATTCAAATGAATAAAGGCAGACCATGGGTTTATTTGAAATATCAAATAGTCGGCGCCTGGATCCAGCCTGAACTTGATGTAATTCACTCTTTTATCCAGTCTGAAACCTTCCTATTAAGATTCTGGCCCAAGGTTCTATCTCCAGTAGTCAAACCATGGATCTTGCTTAAAGGAAGAACACTCATATCTTGGATACTGCCTGTAACCCGAGCAGACACTGGATCCAGTCTGAAGTTCATCTTATTGAATCCTTCGGTGTTTTTAAAGCCGGCAAAGTGAGAACCTGGATCCAGCCTGAAACAGAAATACTAAGACCCAGAACCCTATAAAGCTGTTATAATTGATCATTTTCTCCTCCTGAAATTGAGCCGAACAGAGAAACACTATTAACGAGTCATTTTGGCTGCTTGTCCAAACGTGTACCCTTTTTGCCAGTAAAAACTGTTTATTCCCCAGATCGGTATTTTATAGCTTTGTCAACTGAGATAACTGCCACACAAAGCCAATATAAAATCAATTCTATCCAACCAAGCCAGTTTACAAGCATTTGGCTTCCTGGAAGAGTTGTTTACCAGCTCTATGGCAGGAAATTAAAAATTATCAAGACAAAAGAAAGCCCTCATGTCCCAAGTACCTCTCTTATCTCTCTTTATGCTTTTTCTTTATTCATTCTTGTTCTCTTCCATCTGTATGTACACTGACCCCTTCTTGTTCAGTCTTTTCTTCTTGTACTTTCCTTTCATTCTGTATTTTCCCATCTTGCTCAGGTATTTCTCCTCTGGTCTCCTCTCCTATTCTGCTATCCATAGGCTCTTTTGCTAATCCTCCTCAGAATATATTTCCCTCAGCATTTACTAAAGAGTCAATTCTTTCTCATTCTTTTTCATCCTTGCATACTGCTCCAGCCGCATTTTTAACAAAACAACCTCTCCTGATGCCTGGATCTCAGTCTGGACCCAAGCCTGAACAACAACCTCTTAGGTATTCAGAACTCAGTGTTTCCCTGGGTGAGTGTCAACTAGCTGTGATTTGGAAAGAAAGTTTCCAGGCTTTCTGGCTCTTCAGGACAGCTGTTATTTCCCATGAAACCACAGGCAGCTTTAGTCGAGTCAGATATTTGAGTTAATGTACTTGGTATGAAGACTCCTGTTGAACCCTAAAACCAGAGTTTGTAGCAACAGAGGTTATGTTCTCAGACCGTTGCAAAACCAAAATTTAGGTTATTGTGTGAATCAGCAGAGATGTGTAAATATTGAGAGAATATTTTTTTTTTTTTTTTGCCAAACAGGATGTTTGAGCTATGTGTTATGAACACAATTCTATTCAGACAGCAGTATTTTAAAGATAGCCTTACTCCTTAGAAAGGTTTTATTATTTTCACTTGAGGTATATACATATATACACACACTATTGGATAATAGTATAACATCTTGGATACTAGTATCAGATATAAATAATAATATACTACATATATAAACTATATATACATATATTTATATATAGCATCTATATAGTATATATGTGTATATATATAGTATATATGTAATAGTGTGTGTGTATATATATATACGCTTTATTGTTAGAAGGGGAAGTATGAAGATAACCTCTGTACTATATCTAAAATTGTGGGATGAATAATGTATATTTCTATGTATTTTCTCAGAATTGAAGATAATGAATTTCCAAGCATTTTTCTAAAAGTCTAAATTTAGATTTTAGAAAAGGAAGGGTAGTAACACTAATCACTCTATACCATGTGTGGGTTCCTCTGCAGAGTGTGGATTATGCCCTGGCATTATCCCTGTCTGTCCCAACTGCTGAGAGGCAGAAATTGGTGAATTCTGTTGGGTGATTTCTGCACAAATGTTTTTCTCCCATTTTTGTGCTGGCTCCATACTACATGAACAGTGGATCATTAGCACAGCTAGATGTGTCAATTTTATGTAAGTCTGAGCAATTCATTTCAAGATTATGATATCATTATAAAGCAAGTAAAACATTGAGACTGTTACTGAATATGTTTCTTTTCTATTTATTTATTTATTTTTGTTTGTGTGTGTGAGACAGAGATAGGGAAAGAGAGAGAGATAGAGACAGAGACAGAGAGAGAGAGAGAGAGAGAGAGAGAGAGAGAGTGAGAGAGAGAGAGACTCTCCCTCTATTGTCCAGGCTAAAATGCAGTGGTGTGACTCACATTAGCCTCAAACTCCCAATATTAAGGGATGCTCCCACCTCAGCCATCTGAGTACCTGGGACCGCAGGCACACGCTACTGCATCTGGATAATTTTGTTGTTGTTGTTCTTGCTGTTGGTAAGGAAAAATTCTCATCATGTTGACCAATTGGTCTCAAATGATCCTTGAAAATAGTTTCTAAAGTACTATTTGCAACTGAGTGCTTACCTGGACTTCATGTGATTCACGTGAACTCCAGGGTTTTTTCACACTGAAATGTGGAAATAATAAGATTTTTTCCTTGATTTTTTTTTCCCCCAAAAAAATGCAGAAGCCCTGGCTGTGGTCCGAGTGGGGCTTATTGACCTCCAGGATCCTGCCCAAGCTGAGATTGTAACCTTTGAGCATGCCATGCCCTATTTAGGTCCCAAGGGACCTCTAGGACCTGGGTTGATCTTCCTGAAGCAACCACTACATTTTCAACCCAGGTTCCTTCCTATACGCCTGGAGCAATGTCTGGAACAAGAGAAAATATACAACTATATGACTGTTGGCTACGTAGTTGGTCCCTTATGAGGGGGTGACTAAAGAAGAAGACACTGGAATGAAAGAGAAGCATGTTTAGGAAGAGAATAGTATCCTCTCATGAATAATAAAAGATTTGTCTTTCCCTTCACCATACTTCTCCCTCTAATGTGGGCTAAAATTTGAAGACAAACACAAACACCTCTTCTCTGTTTTCTATCAGAAAGTCCTGGAATTGTGCAAAAACGGCACCTGAGCATCCTACAAGTCAGCACTTGTGCCCAATTTTGGCTCAAGCTGAATGAACTCACTTTCTGGGTGGAGGCCAAGAAAGCCATGTGGATGGCTGACTATCAGGTGACAAATTCATGGGGTATAAATATCAGGGAGAAAGAGGAATATCTTGAAAACCAAAAGTTACTTCTGGCCCTCCTTTAAAATATTGTTTGATATCTTGCCTCTTGTTTCTTGCAAGGTGACTTGGGAGCACCTTTCGTATGCCATCTACAGCAAGAGGACACTTGGGTGCAAGTGGGAATCTTGAGTCACTTTGAGGACCATTGCACAAAGCCCTAGGTCTTCAGCCAAGTGCACCCTTTCCTTTTCTGACTCCAGGGAGTGACACAGTCTAGCTATGCTCCCTGGTACAAGCAAGGGCCCATGACTACCTCTGCTTCTATGTCCCATTCAGTCTCTACCTCTACAAATGCTTCAGCTTTTACCTCCACCCCTGCTTCTCTTTGGCCACACTTCTCTCTGCCACAGCCTCAGAGTAAGGCTCAAAAACTTGGTAGAGGTAATAAAGGAAGAAGAGAATGGAATTAGAAAAGAAGAGAGGGAAGCAGAGAGGAAAGAAAGCTCTTCCTGTAAAATATATGAGTTTTTTATCTACCAAATCACAGAAATTATTTTTATTGTGGTTTACAAAGGTATTTCACACTTGATCTATGATTCAATTTCCATTGTATCCCTGTATGATATAGATTACTGTATAATATAGGTCATGAAACATGATTACTATAGTTATGTTAATTGCTTACTCTTATACTAGATAAGTAGAATGGATTGTTCAAGTTCTTATGGCAAAAGATGAATAGGACTAACATTAAGACACACTCTCCTAACACAAAGTCATTTCTACCACACAGTATCTTACATGTGTAATAGAATTATTTTGAATTGAATATATTTTAAGTTAAAGACATTATGATGTTTGGAAACAGCATAGCAGTTGGTAAGTAATGTGTTTTAGGTGCTGGTGTACTAGACTGTATTACATTGTGATTATCAGTTTCCTCCTTCCCTTGGCTATCAGAAAACCTATCACAATATTAGCAATGGCTATTTCACATTACTGTACTTCCACTTATTTCCTTAGAAACTGAGGGATCTCTTTTGGTGTCATGTACTAAATGTGCACTTAACCACAGCTATATTATAGCTAACACCTATTGTCATAGCTACAGTGAATAACACATTAAAACACAAAGGAGGCCACAATTATTTGCTCACATTCTGCAAAGTCTGATTCAAAGACAACTACACTTAAGATCATAGTTATGCTTCTAATTTCATCTATATTTCCTCACCTCTTCTAGAGAGAGCCTATCTTCATCGTTTTTATATCTGTAATATGTGCATTAACTGGCATTGCTTCAACTCAGTTTTCTGAGAAACTCTCAAATGTTTTTTAAAATATGAGCTATTTCCTTAACCCCAAACTTGAATGTTCTATTTAAACTGTCATTCTGATATCACACTAAGATTGTAAGTTCAGGAAGATAAGCTCCCTCCAATTTAGAGACAGGAGCCTTATCTCCAAATTTTTCCTTGTTTATCTAATATCTCCAAATCAAATAATTTTTTGTTGCCCATCTACTTTGATAACTTTTAAGTAGCTAAAATCATAGCTATGTAAAGGTTGCAATGGGGAGAAAGCTGGAATGACTCCCAGTACTTTGACTGAAGAAATTTAAGTTAGGACATAAAGAAACTGTGAACTTAGAAAAATAGTAAAAGGAAAACTTTTTTTTTTTTTTCAGAAAAATGTAAAAACAAAAACAAAGGAAAAACAGAAAAGAGGTAGAAGTTTGTGTTTGCTAGTCATATTTAACAATGCTGACCTGGTTAGCAGAAATAGGAGGGATCTAAATTTTTTTTTAAATGGTCTACATGTGGCAATTCTATTCAAATTAATTGTGTGAATTTTCCCCTTGGCTTTGGCAGATCAGATTTATCTGCGATATGCCATGCCTTGGAAGGCTGTCATCATCATCTGTGGGAGTCAGATCTGCAGTGGTTCCATAGTTGGCAGCTCTTGGATTCTCACAGCTGCCCACTGTGTCAGGAACATGTAAGTTTGTGCCTGCCTCTTCCCATGTCCTATAATTCATTATCCCATAATTACATTGCTGGAAGTTTATCTGTCCAAATTCACTTCTATAATGCATGACCATCTCACTTATACAATAACTTTTTTGTTTTAGGCTAAAAAGAAATTGCCTCACTGTGTTTGGCTTATTAGTACCTCTGTTAGTTATCTCCTCTGCAACCCCATTGTCTGTGGACTCTTTATTCATAGATTTCTGATTTCAATGAAGATGAGCTAGGAACCTTGTGTATCATGACAAAAGCGATATTCCGGAAAGCCTGATGTAGGTTTAAGGTTCAGGTTTTCTAATGATTGTACTGTAATAAATCTTTGCCTATGCACTCAGGGATCCTGAAGACACTGCTGTGATACTGGGCCTGAGGCACCCTGAGGCACCACTGAGAGTTGTGAAGGTGTCTACCATTCTACTGCATGACAGATTCTGGTTGGTGACTGAGGCAGCAAGAAATATTCTGGAATTGCTACTCCTCCACGATGTCCAGACTCCCATTTGGCTCTTATCACTCTTGGGCTATCTGAGGAACCTGAATAGTTCAGAATGCTGGCTCTCTAGGCCACATATTGTTACACCAGGTCAGTGGTTATTTTTCTTATTAGCGTAGTTGTTCTAAAAAAATGAGGTTCATATTTTTAATATTATGATTCAAGGCATAAGTGTAATCACATTTGTATACATTATTAATTATAAGATATTTAATCCACATCAGAGACCCACTAGGAGATTTGTTTTTGTTTTATAAGATGATGGTTCTGATGATGACTTCACAGGATTTTAGATCTAACAAAAATTATATGAGGAACTTTCTCTGTACAGTCCAGATTTGTAAAGCAAGGTAGAGATGACTTCCTTCCCAACTCTTTTCTCACTTCGGTACAAAGGAAAAAGAAGGGTTTTGTATTGTTTTGTTCATTTTTACTTCTTTATGAAAATGTAGCTTAACTTGACTTGGAATTTTGAATTTCAAAGGTAAAAATTGACTTGTTAATTTTGCAGAGTAGAATTTAAAATGTTATTAAAAAGTGACAAGTCTGTCTTCATTGACTCACCCCGGTAATTCCAGCAATGTGGGAGCTTAAACTAAGAGGACACTTTGAGTCCAGGAATTTGATACCAGCTTCAGCAATATAGCAGGACTTCATCACTAAACACGTAAACAAAAACAAAGCCTGGTTGATGTTGCACACAGGTAGTCCCAGCTATGTGGGAGGCTGAGGCAGGACGATGGCTTGAGCCCGGAGGTCGAGGCTGCAGTAAGTGAAGATTGTGCCAATGCACTCCAGCCTGGGTGACCAAAGAAGAACTTGTCTCAAACAAACAAACAAACAAAAAAAGGCCAGACATGGTGGCTCACGCATGTAATCCCAGCACTTTGAGAGGCTGAGGTGGTGGATCACCTGAGGTCAGGTGTTCAAGACCAATCTGACCATCATGGGGAAACACCATCTCTATTAAAAATACAAAATTAGCCAGGAGTTGTGGTGTGTGCCTGTAATCCCAGCTACTCAAGAGACTGATGCAGGAGAACTGCTTGAATCCTGGAGGCAGAGGTTGCAGTGAGCTGAGATCAGGCCGCTGTACTCCAGCCTGGGTGACAGAGTGAAACTCTACCTTAAAAAAGAAAAGAAAAGTGACCAAAAAGATAATGAAATAGAAAAATTGTGTGATGTAAAATGTTAATGGTGATGAAATGAACTGAATTTCTGTGTAAAAGTTATAGATACAAGTTTAAAGTAATGACGAGACAGAAGTGATGAGACAAATCGTAGTCTTATCTTAATACTTAGGGTTTAAATTTAACATATATTCTTAAGGATATAGTCCATTTGTCTTTCTAGGAGGGACCAATGACAATCCAGAAATGTTAGGCACAAGTGATGAAAGCTTCCAGCTGTGCCCACCTGTACCCTGACATAGGCAGTTCCATTGTTTGCTTCATTACTCAGGACAAAAACTCTGATGAAATTGTGGTACATCATCAATTTTTTTCTTACTACATGATAGAAACTATAACTTTGTTCCTATACAAAGGGGTGTATACTGCATATGCCTAAATGATAAATATAAGTGAATTATTGATCAGTAGGAAACCATTTTAAAATTCTTTAATTACAGAACAAAGTCTCTAAAAAAAATCTGTTTTTAATCTCTGAGTTTTCTTACATACGATTTCAATCTCTAGCCATACTGTATAGCTATTATGCTGCTGTACACACAAATCAGACATTCTATATTATTCTCTTATTCTAATAATAGTATCTTTACACCTCAGAGTTTAAAACGAGTCTCACCTTTTTCTATTTCCCCAATTAAAATAACTTTTTAACATTTAATCTTCAGTGATTTTTTGTAGTAATATTTTTGAAGGTATTTCATCAGGATGATTTATTATGCACTTATCTGATGTCTCCTTTTCTTCTGAATACATGTTTTAATATCTACTTATTAAATCTATGATTAATAATTTGGAATAGGGATTTAAATCCAAATTCTATGTTGGAATTTACAGGAGTCAGTGAGCCTACGAAAAGCATTTATGTGCAGACCAGTATCTGACAATGGCAGTTGGAGACAAATAGGCTTCACCAGTCTCAAAGCCCTAGCTACTACAGTGAGTCCACATTTTTCCTGGATATTATCTACTTCAGCAAAAGAAGGTCACTCAATAAACCAGGCCCTTGTGCCTTGGGTAGAAACTCCGAACTCCTCTAGTCTCCTTAAACAACCAACCACACTGCCACTTTCCTCAATAATAATTACGGCAGCCCAGGGACTTTGGTAGCCTAGTGACTATAACTACTGATGCCACAGTCTGGTCACAGTATGATAAAACGCCAGAGCATCAACAAGGAAAATTTTGACTTAGCCTTCCAAAATCTATCTAAATATACCTTCAATAAATATGGCTTTTCTTCGTAATAACTGCTTTCTACTACTTCCTGAACTAATGCATGGCCTTGGATTGTTTTCATTCTTGAAAATGATTCAAAAGTTCATATTTAACATGAACGTGAATGCAGGATTTTATTTATCAGCAAAAAAAATTTTCAAAATGATGCGAAATACAAATGTGGAATTGTATTTGTGAATATTAGTCTTTCAAATTATATTTTTATCCCAACTAACTCACACAATGTTTTGTAACTATCTGCATATTCTCCTCAGGTGGGGGAAAAACAGTATCAGAGTTCTTGAAGAATTTATGAAAAAGAAAATGACAATACTATACAAGGTTTAACCTATTCACAATACTGTATTTAGTGAATGAAAACATTACTTTTAAAATCCTACTTAAGTATTGAGTAAATAAATAAAGCATATTATTTCAATAACTCTAAAATACGTGTTCACGAAGACAATACAACAAGGGTTAAAATACATAAACAAACAAATGAGGCCGGGCATCATGGCTTGCACCTGTAAGCCCAGCATTTTAAGAGGCCAAGGCGGGCAGATCGCTTGAGGTCAGGAGTTTGAGACCAGCATGGCAAATATGGTGAAACCTCATGTCAACTAAAAATACAAAAATCAGCTGGACATGGTGGCATGCGCCTGTAATCACACCTCCTTGGGAAGGCTGAGGCAGCGGAATCGCTTGAAGCTGGGAGGCTAAAGTTGAGGTGAGCTGAGATCATGACACTTCCCTCCTGCCTGGGTTACAGAGCCAGACTCTGTCTCAACACACACACACACACATACACACACACACAAATCTAAAAAAATGGAAAAAAAAATCTGTACTAGAAAAAGAGCTCACAGGCAAACTCACATATCTAACAGGAAAAAAATGTCCTTTAAACAAAGGTGGCACAAGAGGCAAATTTAAAAAAAACAAATGTATCAGCTTGCATATAAAGTACAAATAATATACTGAAGAGAACCACAAGGGGAAAAAAATCAAAATTTATAAGTATGTACTCTAAAAGAAGCTGAAAGTCACTTAAAAATTTTCTGGATTCTATGTCTCTATATTGCAAAAATGATCATAAAATTTGCAGGAGCAGAACAATCAAAATCTATCTTAAAACTCAGTAAGCACTTCAAGTCTCACATAAGAATTGTAACAGAAAATGGATGTGTCTGCAGTATTTCCACACAAATCTGAACAAACACTATTTCTTCATACTCTTTGTTTCACTATTCTAAGAAAATAACCTCCATATTAATATTAGGTGATGCGACAAAGCAGGTCTTCATCATGATAAGCAACACTGGGTGTCCACACCAGTACCCAAGTGGGTCTTAATTCCCGGCCAGTTTCCCTCCCTGGGCACATACCAGAGGAGTCAGCCATTTTGCAGTCTCTTCACATTTCCTCCTCTGAGCCCAATGTGGTCCTCCAGATTCTCTGTGTAGTGGCCTCTTTTGTCTGGGTAGCAGGGAAGTGTGAGTGAAGACGGCAGAAAGGAGAAATCACGTCAGGGGAGCCTGGGTTCATCGTAACCGAAAATGATGGGCCTGGGAGAGCCATTCTGGGAGGACGCAGACCTAGACAGGCCTTGGGGGGACATCTGCATGGAGGGTGAGAGGGCCCTGGTTGAGCCCAAACTGAGCCCCAAGTGTTAGTCAGCCTCAGGGTGGGGAAGGGAGCCAACTAGAGATGTTGAGCAAGTTATCCCTTAAGACTTGCTTCTCACCCACTGACCTTAGACACTTATGCCTCTCAGGTGACTTAAGGTGCCCTAATCCTGAAATGTGAGTGTTACAGTTCCCTGAAGTCCGTTTCTCCTTCAGCCCATGGATGGCCTGGGATTGCTCACTGCAGTCTCTTCCCTGAAGCTTGGGTTCTCCTAACCTGACCTCCTCTCTGTTCCCTCTCTAATGGCCTCCCTCCCTCGGGAAGTACTGAAGGGGATTGAGCCACAGGCCCTGGCTGATGATCTGGGGGACTGAAGAAGGGGGTACAGGACAGGTCAGGTCATGGCTCAAAGCCAGTTCCCCAGAGGCCAAGGAATGACCAGCAAGGTTTTTCCCATGATGCCCCACCGTGGCACCCATCTCAGCAATCCTGCCGGGACCTGGGTAGCCAGGGGCAACCAACCAGCTGAAGAAGGTCAGATGTAGGTGTACTGCCTGCAGCTGGAGGCTTGACCTTCATGATCCCACAACCACTGGACTGCAGTGGAATGAGACACCCTGTTTCTTGGAGGGATAGGAATCAGGAAGGTTCATGCCAGACATACCCTCCCACACACAACCTCCCCTACCTTGCTGGGAGGCACTCCTTACCAAGGATGCCAACGCAGTACTCCTGAATGATCACTTCATTGTGGAAGTAAAGGCTGTTACAAAAGGAAACCTTCATCCTGATGCCAGTACCTGGGGTGGCTGAGTTCCTCCATCTACCTGGTCAAGAAGGAGAAACAGGATGGACTCAAAGGACCATTTCATGTAGCTGGACTGAAGTGGCCTGCTAGCTGGAGTGAAGCATGTGTTTCCCCTTCTCAGCTGTCCTGCTTAGACACCCCTGGGCCCCAGGGGGACCGCAACCTCACCCAGGCACTGGACCACTCCCACAGATTCAGGCTCAGCAGCCTAACCTGCAAATCCATCATGTAGCTCAGCAGGACTTCATCATTTGTGACCCTGGTCCATATCTGGGCCCAAGTCTTGAGCACCATGTGTTTCTGGGGTAAGCCTGCTGGTCACAGGCACAGGGAATAGGGGTAGTTCCATGGCTGGCATGGGCATAGAGACTCCCCTTCCTCCAGGGACTTTCCCAGGGAAATGTGCCCTTCGACTTTCTGCAGTGCATAAAGGGTCCTTTGCGCTCCTATTCTCTCTTGTGAGTGCTGTGCTTTGCTTCCTGTCCCTACTCTACGTGCTCTCAGGGCAACTGCAAGCAAGCTGCCCTCCTATCTGCAGAAGTCTGGCCTCTGCTCCCTTCATTGTTCCTCATCCCCTGACTCCTGGATGACCTCCAGTGCCTACCAGCTGGCTCCCCGCAACCCTGCTCCTGGGACCTAGGCGCCCACCCCCTGCTGCCAGCCATCCCGAATTAGCAGCTGCGAAGACATGGCTCTGGCCCGGAAACCGGGGATGCCCTGTGGCTTGAGGCATTTACAAAGCCCAGCTGCAAATGATGGACCTCCAGCGAGTCCGTTGCGGGCCGGGGCATACTGGGGCCAGGGCCCGGCTCTGCCCAGTGGTCCTCCTGCTGCTGCTCCACGTCGGCCTCTTCCTTGGCCACCACTTCCACTTCTGTCGTGATGTCATTTACCAGGAGCACGCCTCTTCCCCCCAGGCCGCCCTCTCCCGCAGAGCCTCCAGACTTAACACGGTGCCCTCCTAGGGCTCCCACAGACCAAGGTCTGAGCCGCCCACCCCACGCCCCTGGCACCCCTAGACTCTGGGGGCCGCTCCTCGAGAGGCCCGGGGGCCTCGCCTAGCTGAGAATCACGGTCTCACACCTACGTGGACCCAGGATTCCTGGGGAGTCCCGCAGGGCCCACAGTCCGCCGCAGTCACCATGAGGTCCAGATTCCCTGCATGGTTAGCTGCATACAGGAGCCATAGGCAGAGGCCCTGGACTTCCAGAGCCCCGCTAGCAGGCACCGCGGCCGGTGGGTGCTGCACTCACAGCAGCCTCTGCGCCACCAAGGCAGTGAACACAGGTCATTGGATGGGCGACCACGGCAGCTTGTCTCTGGTGTGCCCAGGGCATAGGACAAGAGATCCTTTGGAATACCCCTGGGAGTGCAACATCCTAGGGAGGATGCATGGAACTTGGAGTCTGTATTTCCCTAGATCTGAAAGAGTCCTTGCGGGGTTTTGAATTCCGGTGCTGACGAATTCCACCCCAGGAAGGTGCCAGATGACTTTCCTCCCAGATGCCCCCTCGGCCCCACTCCCCGAAAACCACCGCCGCTGCCCTTGCCCCAGCAGGCAGGACTAGACCCTCTCTCTTGCCTCTGGATCTCCAATATTCAGTACCATCAGCCTAGCCTGCCTAATGAAGTGAGATGTTTCATGTGTTCCCTGTGAGTCAATGGCTTGCGGCACTCAGGATGCCAGTTAGGGTATAGGTCTTCCATGTCACAATTCCAAAGGGCTCACAGTCTGCGTGTGCCTGAACCCACCACCACCTTGCACAAGCATCTTCTCAGAGGAGGACTACCGCGGGAGGATGGAGCTGCAGGCCACCCAGGGGAGGGGCTCCTCAGGAGACGCCTACCGCTCTTGCAATAATTGGCAGATGCCCACTGCCTTCCCAATGATTGGCTGGAGGTAGGCGTGATTTCCGGGCATGGCTTCCCACTCAGGCCAGCTGCAGCGGTCTTTCCTGCAGTTGGCCCTGTGGTGTCCCGAAGCCGGATGCATACGACCTGAGTGACGGGAGACCCTGAGGCTGTTTGTCCTCCTGAAAAGCACCTGTATTTTCTGTTTCTCTGGACAGGTTGGTCTCTCGGCAAGACTAGAAAGCAAAGGTTTGGGATTTTGTCTATAAAAGCGAATGGGCTTTCTATATGTGGGCTTGAATTAAGGGAGGAGACAGTGGGGAGAGAACTCCTTAGTGCTCTAAAGAAACTCATTTTTGTTAAACTCTTTGATTTTTCTTGAAGATTCTACCTTTAACTGTCGGACATATCTGACATGTGGGCAAGTTCTGGGAGATGGTGCTAAGGCGCCATTGTTTTCATGGGCACTTTTTATTAAAGCAGTTTTTCTCTGTGAATGTCGTCATAATTCAAAATACAGGCAACATACTTAACCACTGCGATTAAAAACCCGTACTTTAGTCAGCACATGTCACATATGTGATTTGCTTGGCGGGAATTATCAAATTTTGACGTATTTTAGTGTATGTAGAAGTCTGGGGCCATAAATAACCTCGGTTTAAATTTGCCTCTGTAAAGCCTGTAATTGTCTCCTTCCTTGTATGACAGTATTTGAAACATGTTTCATGTATCTGTGGCACCTAAGTAATTTAAACCGAATAAGTGGGTGTAATGGAGTTAAATGGAGTTGGATAGACTTAAACGAAAACAAAATAAATCTGCTTGTTATTCTACTATCTTCACACACTGACTTACTTTTGTAATCCTAGCATTTTGGGAAGTGCAGGTAGGAGGATGGCTTGAGGTCAGGAGTTGGAGACCAGCCTGAATAACATAATGGGCTCCTTTACTCTATTGCCATTTTCGCACCAGGGACCGGTTGGTGGAAGACAATGTTTCCTCAGACAAGTGTTGCCCAGCGGAAGAAGGCAGTGAGATGGACACGTTTAGGGGTACGGGCTGGCGGCAGGGCCCCGAGGGGCACGTGGTGGGGCGGGGCTTCTGGTGGAAGAGGTGTGAGAGGGGGCAGGTGGGGCAGTGGGGCTGTCACCGGGACAGGGTGGGGCAGGAGGGGTGGGAGGCGGCTAGGGAGGTTTCCGGATGAAACTGTGCCACCTCAGGTCATCCTCAGGCGTTACATTCTCCACAGACAGGTATTACAGGTTATCCTCAGGCATTACATTCAGGCCACAGACAGGTATGGCGTGAAGGCCAGTGTTTGGGGATCCTTGATCTATTATATATTTCAAATCACTAAAAGATGCTAAAATACTTAAAATGATCTCCCCCTAGAACATTTTAATTAGCTTGATTTAATCTTTCATACAAATATCACGCTGGGTGTGGCGGTTCACACTTGAAATCCCATCACTTTGGTAGTCCCAGGCCAGTGGACTGCTTGAGCCCAGGAGTTGGAGACCAGTTTGGGCAATATAAGGAAAACCATGTCTATTTAAAAACAAACAAACAAACAAAAAAAACACACACACACAAAAATTGCCCAGCCAGCTACTTGGGAAGCTGAAGCGTGGGAGGATCAGTTGAGTCTGGGTGGAGGAGGCTGTAGTGAGCAGTGCACTTTAGCAACAGGAGATATACATCTCAAGAAAAAAAAATACACAAAACATCACACCATACCTCATAAATATATAGTTTTCAAATAAAATTATTTAACTGGGAGCATCCTTCATATTGCAACTTAGGAAAATTACAGTAGCTTTTCTTATCTAATTTTTATAAATTAGATTTTGTCACCTACATAATAAAATGCAGCATTTGTCCATGAAGTCAGTGCCCCTTTTGCTCTGTATGTTATGAATTTTACATATTTAAACTAAGAAATACTAAAAAGATGTTAGCCTCTGGAAGGGACTTTTACTTGAATTTCCAACACAGTATGTAATAAAATTTTATCTTTTTAGTTTGTCTATTTTTATCTAATATAGATTTTTTTTAACCATTTACAGCACAATGGTAGAAGCAGATTGTCATGGCAAGCTTTTCATTGGTGGCCTCAATAGAGAAGCCAATGAAAAGGTGCTTAAAGAAGTATTTGCAAAACATGGTCCCCTTTTGGAAGGTAACTCTTAAAGCCATGTGTTTTGTGTGTGTGCGTGTCTCTGTTTGTGTGTATTTTCGTATGTATATTTCAATATGTTATTTAAAATATGTAGGTTATGTATGTATTTTAAAGTATGTATTTTTCAAAGTTCATTGTATACATACATTAAAACGCCTTGTGATTTGTAAACTCTTATTTTGAAGTATCTATCTGATATTTGGAAAATTCTCATAGCAGCAGGTGAAGGGTAAGAATCACTTACTGCTTAGAAAGGAAAATGAGGAAAAGTAAATGTGTTATGGAGTTAGGGAACAAACTGGAATAAAATAGGCTGACTATAGGGGTGACTTAGTATTAAGAATCATAGTAGTGATGTGAAATGCAGTTATTTTTTGGTTTGATGTAACTTTCAGATGGTTAGTACCTTGGTGAGTCCATTCTATAAATATAAAATGTTTTTATGTATCTTAGTTCTTTTGATAAAAGGTCGAACCAGTAAGTCCAGAGATTTTGTGGTCATTATTTTTGAGAATGCTGCAGATGCTAAGAATGCTGCCAGAGATATGAATGGAAAGGTAAGAGTCCCTTATTAATAATACACTAATTCTGGTTTTCAGTTAACAGTATTTCTAGGTCTTTTTAGTATAACTAAAGTGTTGAAGATAGTAGAATGCCATATGGACTGAAATGCTTTAGCCATCGTCTTCTTTGTGCCATACACATGCAAGTGTATTTGGAAGGGTACTGCAATTAACATTACATAAATTAATATATGGTAACTTTTTTTCTATTTTTGTATTTCAATATGGGTGTAAATAGATTTTCAAAGGTTTCCAAGAGCATTAAAACCTAGAAGGAACCCTCCTCTAAATGAAAGGACTAAGTTAACATTTTTTAAATGCTATCAGTGGAATTACTTCCAATTCATGGAAATACTTCTATAGCATATACAAACTGTGGATAGACATCTAGACAGACTCACAGGAAGGAAAGATTCTCTCCCATTTTCTGCAAATATATTCTTGAGAAAGTACATTTAAATAAGACCTTCACATTTAAGGATGTGTTAAGTACTTGAAAATAGAAAACAATATCAGAACATTGAAGTTGGACAACAGAAGAAGTAACTGGCATTTTTTGCCCCATCCTTGCTCTTTTCTCCTAAGGATGTTTTTTTTCCTGTCACCAGAGTGATTTATGTAACATGAATACCTAATTGCTCATTTTCCCAATGTGTTTGAGAACGTGTTTTGATCAAACCAATGGTCTCTTGTCCAATTGAGTCTTAAATCTAGGGATTGTGTGTTTACTAAAGCTTTAAAATTTTATGTAATTCTATTAACTATTGAATTCCTTTACATTCTAGTCAAGATCATTCCATTCTGGGCCCTTTAGAGCTTTTCTGCTTTCTAACATTATCCAAATCTGTTTTTCTGCTTTATAACATTATCCAAATCTGTTTTTAGCTCCTGTCACTCTTTATGGTACCCCTAAAATGATTTTTTGGACTTTTTGACAATTATTCTTTCCTATGTATGTCTCAGAAATAACAATTCATCCTTCAAAAACAACTTCAATTTTCTATTTTCTTCCTCGTTGCAAATCGTAGATATTTTATACTCACTGTACCATGTATTAATCTATTGATGGTTAAATTGTCTACAGTGCATATTTAAGGCTTCCTAGTTGCTTTTATTTTTGTTGCATCTAGTAGAGTTGCTGACACATAGCAGAAAGTACATTTTTATTCACTCTTATAAATTAGTATTTTAAGCTGTGGTAGAAACCCAGAGTAAATTTGTGGTAGTTGTGGAGATAATTTTTACTTACGTATAGTAATCTATGATAATTTCCTTTTCCCCCCTAGTTTTCAAGCACAAGAGCAGGCAATTTGCATAGATTTTTTGCTTGTTTGGTTTTTTTGTTTTTTAAGACGGAGTCTCACAGTGTTGCCAGGCTGGATTGCAGTGGGACGATCTCGGCTCACTGCTACCTCCCCCTCCCGGGTTCAAGCAATTCTCTGCCTCAGCCTCCCAAGTAGCAGGGACTACAGGCACATGCCACCACGCCCAGCTAATTTTTGCAGTTTTAGTAGAGACTGGGTTTCACCCAGTTGGCCAGGATGATCCCTATCTCTTCACCTCATGATCCACCCGCCTTGGCCTCCCAAAGTGTTAGGATTACAGGCATGAGCCTCTGCGCCCAGCCAATGTTATTTCTGAATTACTTCATCTCACATATTTTATTGTGTAAACATAAATATGAAGTTATATGCACATAAATGTTAAGACGGCCAACAAAGGAGGTTCTTAGAGTTATCAGGGGCAATTAACAGTTTAAGGAATTTTGACTGACTTTGAAACACTGGGAAGGAAGCAGCCATGCGCAAATCTGGGGAAAATATTTTGGGCCCAGAAATAACAGCAGAAGTTTCAAGGTAGGAACAACTGGCAATTTGGCTGCAAGAGGTCTTGTAAGGGATTTAAGATCTTCCCCCAAATAACAAAAAACATGTAATTTTAAAATAGAGTTATTTATTATCTGAACTGTTTTCAAAAATTACTTTGGCCTATAGAAAAGATCATACTGAAAAATGTTACTGTGAAATTAATTAGCACATTTAAGCATTTCTGAGAAACAACATGAAGTACTATATTAAGAGTCATTTTTTAGGGGCACGTCTAAGGCAAAATAAGAAATGAATAAGGCAAGAAACCTTAATGAGATCAAACAAGGATCACATTTACAGAAACGTTTCTAGAGTAAATATAAAATTATAAATCATATGGGGATATTTTACGTAAGTGTTAGCAGATCAAACAAGAAACAACTCATATGACTAATGTGACTAATCATTTTGAATAAGTAACCTCATTTTTTTAAATGACACAAGTTTCCTTGGGACACTGAAACTTTTAAATCAGTGATGCGAATACAAAGATGAAGTGGATGATATATTGTAAAAAAAAGACATGCCACATTCTTCCATAGAATGTGTGATGGGTTAATCTTTTTTGTTTGAGGTGTTTTTTTTTTTTTAATAATTGAGGAGTTTTCAAGGAATTTGAATAATAGAATTTGTGTTTGATCCCTTAATGGAAGGCGTGTGTTCAGTAAATGTCTCAAATTTGGTATTGTGAAAGACGTGTTCATTTTAGGAGGAAAAAAATTTGCTTTGGGAGAAAATATCTAGAATTGAACTATAGTTGATGTAGAAATGTTTGTAAAATGTGCTTAGGTTTAATCTTGCCAACGTTATTGATAGTACTCTTAATACTTTTAGTCTTTGGATGGAAAAGAAATAAAAGTAGAACAAGCAAAGAAACCATCTTTTCCAAGTGGTGGTAGGCGGAGACCACCACCTTCTTCAAGAAACAGAAGCCCTTCAGGAAGTCTGAGATCTGCAAGAGGAAGTAGTGGAGGAACAAGACCGTGGCTGCCCTCACATGAAGGACACTTGGGTAATGTTCTAAAATATAAAGATGGAACCATAGGACTGAAAGAAAATAAGTTTGAAGATATCAAAATTTCCCAATTTTATTTATTTTGGGAAATTTACTTATTGGTAAGAAGTAATTTTCTTATTGATAAGAAAATTAACTTATTGATAAGAAGCAAAATTATTTCTAAGTACTAAAGGTGTATTATAAGAATGATTGCACTAATATCTAAAATTTGTTTTAAAATTGTAATAAGTTTGCATTGAAATAACACAAATTTCAAACTGAATTGAGTTTATGAATGCTGATTGCCTGTACTCAACAGGTTTTCTGAAGAACTCATTTATATTAATTATACTTCATAGAGTTTTCTACTTTGGGGCCCAGAACTTCATATCGGTTGTATTATCAAAATACAATGGAATATTTAAAACTTTCCAACAGGAAAAAAAGTAATTCAGTACTTAGGATTGATTTTCCAATATTTGTTTTTTTTTGTGTATACATGTGCAAACATGTATGCAAATCTATTGCTTTGTAATTTTCATATGGAGAGTTTGTACATTGGCCTGCCATAAAGCATTTTCAATTTAAGAAACGTAGAACTTTAATTTCTAAAAAAAGTCTATGACTCTGGAAAGGACAAAACACCACTGCTTCACAGATATGTATGTATCTTTCTTGCTGGAAGGTGAGTCACTGAAAATGGTATTTATGAGTGATTTACACAGTAGAAATGAGGGGTCAATTTCTACATAAAAAAGAAAAACAAACTATGTATTTAAAAATATATATATATATTGGATGGGGGTGGGCGAGGTGGGTCACGCCTGTCATCTCAGCACTTGGGGAGTATGGGGTGGGTGGACCACGAGGTCAGGAGTTCCAGACCAGCCTGGCAACCATGGTGCAAACTGTCTGTCCTAAAAATACAAAAAATTAGCTTGGCATGGTGGCACATACTTCTAATCTTAGCTACTCGGGAGGCTGAGGCAGGAGAATCACTGGAACCTGGGAGGGAGAAGCTGCAGTGAGCTGACATAATGCCATTGTACTCCCACCTGGGCAATAGGGCAAGAGTCCATCTCAATCAATCAATCAATCAATCAACCTATTGGTTAACATATTATCTATTAACCAACCTTCAAAAATCGATCTTTAATTTTGTGTTTTAATGACCAGATGTGTAATTAATTGGAGATGTGTTTTTAAAGTTGAAATTGCAGTGTTTGCTGCATTTTACGATGCATAGCTTCATGGTAATTTTGTCTCCACTGATCTTGAGGGTGAGATTCAATAATACTCTGCCATGTATGAGAATGTGCGTACTCTAACCTGTAACACCACCTAGTAATTGGCATATATCTACAGATTTGTAGATATATAAATATTTTTATATTATTTAATAAGCAATTCTTAAAGATTATTAAAATTTAGCATAGTCTAATCTGAAAATTAGTGTTTCACAAGGAAATTGTAAGAATTCTATACTATGTTAACAAATTTTAGAGATAATATATTTTCCTGATGTGTCACCTTTTGATATTGCAAATATTTGAGTTTCTTTGAATGGAATTTAGTTTATCTTTTTGATATGCTTTGAAAATTTTTCCTCATAATAGAATGATATAAACAGTCATTTATCATTTTTTAATATTTTTTCTTTATGTATATTATACTTAGATATTTTACTGATAGATTTCTGCTCCCTGTTCACTCCCCATTTTTCCCACATCTCTCTCTCACACCAATATATTATAATTCTTGAGTTTCCTTCTAGATTTTCTAAACAGACTTTTATTGCTTGAATTGTACTAATTTCATATAGAAATGTTAATTTTATTAGTTTAGACAAATGTGAATTTGTAACATTATAATATGTAGAAAAACAACAAAACTTAGCCATTCAAGAAACAGTGATGCTAGTTAACTAAAATGATTTTGTTTGAAATACAGATGATGGTGGATACGCTCTTGATCTCAACACGAGTTCTTCTAGGGGAGCCATTCCAATTAAAAGAGGTCCATCTTCACGAAGTGGAGGTCCTCCTCCTAAAACATCTGCTCCTTCTGCTATGGCAAGAAGCAATAGTTGGATGGGAGGCCAAGGTAAATGCTACCTGATAAAAGACCATATTTTTTGTATGACTAAAAATGAGCTATTTTAACTGGATTCTTAAATTTAAGTTCATTGAACAAAACAGAAGTGACACATCATTGGGCATAATTACTGATCAATAGCTTTTATTATACTTTCTATCTCACTAGGTACACTCAGATTTATGTTGAAGAAATACTCGAGCTTCTCACTGCAGTTGAAAGAAGTGATTAGAGTGAGGCCAACATTCCTCTTAATCCTGTGTTTGCTAGATAATTCCCCTTAATTTTTCTAAAAGTCCCTAGCAGTATTCTTTGATGATAGGCTTCTTCTTCTAATGAATTCTTCCATTTCCTAGGTCCCCTGGTAGTGGTCCCCTGGCAAGCCAATTGAAAAATTGCTTGTTCAGTTTCTTTATTGGGTTGGAGTCTTGCTCTTACCAGGTCAGAGTGCATTGGTGAAATGATGGCTTACTACAGCCTCAAAATCCTGGGCTCAAACAATTATCCTGTTTCAGCCTCCTGAGTTGCTGCAACTACAGGCATGCACCACCACACCTAGCTAATTTTTTTTTCCTGTATTTTTGTAGACAGAGGATGTCACTACATTGTCAAAACTGACATAAAAGCCAGCGGCTCAAGCAGTCCAGCTGTCTCTGCCTTCCACACTGACTCGCACTGTGAGCTGCTGAGCCTGACCATCCAGCTTCTGAGACCTCAATAATGTTTATGTGCAAGGCATTCTTACTGCTTCTATGAAGATTCAAAAGAACTACAAGAGCATTTAGCAGAAAAGGAGTCACTGGGCTTACCTATTATTTAAAAATAAAATCAAGTCTTGAAAGGTAGACATGAAGGAGTCCAATATTCTTAAATTAAGTGGATATCATAGAAGTGCAGAGATGTGAAATATAAGGTCATGTAAATCAATAATTAAGATTTTACCGGGATGTTTAAACATTAACACAAGATCCTTAGCGTAAGACTGGAAATTATTTGAGGAGAGAATTTAGAACTAAGCAACCTGAGGTGAGCGGTAGGATTGAATAGAAGTAATATTTTTGAGAAGGAGAATTGTTAAGATTGCAGACAGAACAGAAGAAAGCAAGACAGTAAATAAAAGTTCTTAGCAAAGAAGTTTAGGCAGAACAAATTAAAATTCTTACTTAGTCCTCCACCCCAATATGGAGGAAATTGAAAACTGCTGTTTTCAATTTTACATTTCATATGTAGAGTATCGGTGAAATTAGATATTTATTGACTTCAGCATACATAAGCCAACACATTTCCATTGGAAAATTAGCCAGTGAACATATCATAGGTGAAAGACTGACCTCTAAGGAATAGCACATAAAGAGTATATTAAAGGAGAACATTTTCTATTTTGAAATAGCAACAATGTCGTAATGACCCCTTTAACAGGATTGCTTATTGCAGTAAAAGTAAATCTTGGCCATCATTAGAAAGTTTTCACTAGTATATTTCAATTTGTCAACATTTAAGGTAGAGCCAACCACTTAGAGATAAAGAAGACCTTTTATGTAAAAATTTAGCATCCAATCATTCAAAGGTAGCATCATTTGTGTGTGTGAGGTGGATTGAACAACATAGGAAAATTTACCTTCTTCAGCTGAGAAGGGACAATGGATGTAAACTTAAAAATCTGTGAAGAGTTTGGTGCTTTTACATGTCTTCCCTGTATCATTGGTAGTCATCAGTAATTCATATGAAAGGAAAAACAATAACTAACTAGTTATTTACCATTACAGATGAACTTTTACCTAAGAATTAATGTCTGTCTTCAGCTCTGTTAGAAGAACTGGCCTTGCAGTAGCCATGGGATTATCCAAAGCCATAAGAAATATTCACAGTGTCATGACTTTCTAGTAATTTAGGGAATGAAAAATGGAGTCATAGTGGAGTCATAGAAGAAATAATTTTAAAAAGTTGTTTGAGAGAAGAGAAAATAGTATTTCGGATTTGCTGTTCTTTCCCTGTTTCATCATTTTAATATTAAAGGTCCCATATCACGTGGAAGAGAGAATTATGGAGGTCCTCCATGCAGAGAGCCAATCTCTTCCTGGAGAAATGACCGTATGTCACCAAGAGATGATGGTTATGCAATTAAGGAAAGGTAAAGAAAATATTTTTTAGAAGTTGATTTTTTTTGTTATGGTGATGAAATTCACATAATAAAATTAAATATTATAAGGTAAACAGGTGGCATTAAATACATCCTGTGTTGTGCAGCAGCTAACTCCATCAAGTTCCAAAACATTTTCATGACTACAAACTAAAACTCCAGCTACCAGTTAAGCAGTCCCTTTCATTTTCTTCCTTCCCTCAGCTACTGGCAAACATCAGTCTTTGCTCTGCCTCTGAACTTACATGTTGTGGGCATTTAATGTTAATGGGCTTATACACTACATGACTTTTTGTATCTGTCTCCTTTCCTTTTGTATCATGTCCCGAAGTTTCATTTACATCATAGCACTTAAATCCTTCCACAAGCGGTTAACCCATTATTTTATTTGGGTTGTTTCTACCACAGTATTTCTATGCTCCAGTATTTGTTTGAGTACACTTATTCAATTCTGGGTGTATATATAAATGGAATTGCTTGGTTCTGTAATAATTATGTTTGTTTTCTTGAGGAAACACCACATGTCTCCATAGCAGCTGCATCATTTTCCCTTCCAACTAGCATTGTATCAAGGTTCCAATTTATCTTCACCCTCTCAAACACTTGCTATTTCCTGCTTTTTATTGCCATTCTAGTGTGTGTGGGAAGTATGGTATCTCACTTTGGATTTGAAATGCTTTTTCTGAATCACCGATTATGAGTATCTGTTCCATGTGCTTTTTGGGCATTTGCCTATTTTATTTGGAGAAATATCTGTTTAGATGTTTGGCCTTTTAATTTTGTTTAAGTTGTAAGTTAGTTATGTTTTGGATACTAGAAGTTGAAAATTTAATATTTGTTGTTTAAACTTATGCCCACAGAAATCATCCACTTTCCCGAGAATCTAGGGATTATGCTCCACTGTCTAGAGACTATGCATACCATGATTATGGTCATTCTAGTTGGGATGAACATTTCTCTAGAGGATATAGGTATTACAACATTTCCTGGACTTGTCAAATAGAATTCTTAAATGGTTCATTCTGACATTAAGAATTTTTTTTTTCAATTTAGTGATTGTGATGGCTGTGGTGAGGTGATGTTAGAGATCATTCTGAACGTCCAAGTGGAAGTTCTTATAGAGATGCATTTCAGAGATAGGGTAAGGGTCCGGGATGGATTTGTAAATTATAGAATTGTGTTTAATAGACCAGATCGTTATTTTAATGAAATTCTAAGGAAAATTACGAGGGACAAATATAACATGTCTAAATATTGAGTATTCTTAACAGAAGAAAGCATAGGGAATGATATGAAGGTGAGAACTTCAGTTCACGTTCAGAAAATGTGACTCAACTTTTACTTTAGAATTAAATTTGTTAAGCTTCAAAATAACTTCTCTTACACTTCTTATTAATAAAACCTTCTGATTATTGCAGGCATAATTAATATCCTGTCGACAAAGACAGAGGAAAGTAGATATTTCCAAATAGTACTTTAACTTAATCATGCTTTAGTGATAGCAGTAATAATGTTTAAATATAGTCCAACATATTATTTTATCAACCCTGCAGGGTCCCCTGCAGGGACCTCTCATGGTGCACCATCTGCAGGAGTGCCTCTGTTGTCTTATGGTGGAAGCAGCCACCATGATTATAGCAATAAATGAGATAGATATGGCATAAGTCGGGAGAGTTACTCAAGGAGCTGTGGTGATTTTTATTCCCGTGATTGTGGGCACGTTGACAGAAAAGACCAAAGCAATCTACCTTCTCTGGATAGGGTACACCCTGCTCCTTGTGAAACATGTGGTAGCTCAAGATATTTGTCATCTACAGGAGATGGTGGGGAAGGTGGATCTGACAAAAGAGGCTGAAGCAGATATGAAAGCAAGTATTCAAATAATAGTTATTGCATACTAAACCTTGTTTGCAAATCGAAAATTGACCTGTTATTTCTGCATTGTTACCTGCGTCTTACTAAAAGAAACATGTATGTTTTGTGGAGAGAGGTAGATACTAACTTCCTCCATGAATTTTTTGAGGTATTCAAAGGAATTTTATTTCCAATAAATAAAGGGAATTTTATTTCCAAGTAATTTCATACTAGCTAATGCTATTTGAAAACTATCTGTTTAGATGTAATATCTACATTAAAATTTTCAGAATAAAATTTTACATGTAATGCAAAATGCCTAATGTTTTTGCTCAGCTGCACATGCTTAAAAGCAAATTCAATAAGAGAGTAAATTGCATTGTTTGTTGAACATTTTCCTTTATTTCTTTGAACATAAATAGATACAAAATTAGGCATATGTTATGTCTCCCTTGCAAGCTGCACAAGTTTTCTAAATAGGCTGTTTCTCTTTAAAAACTTACAAGCTTACAATGTTTGAGTAGTCTTCAGAAAGACTACAAGACTCTCTGCCTCACCATATGTTTATCCTTTAGAGGAATAGTACAGGTCAAAGGAAATAATTAGATGTGGTTGATATTAAAATTTAAGACATCCAGAACATTCTACTTGAAGCATTCTGTGACTGAAGAGGGATAATGCTAATGAAAACTTTTTTTTACCTAAATGAAAAGTGAACCAGCTAAGTTTCTCAAGTGCATAGCATAATGAAATTAAATTTTCCTAGTTTAAATGGTGGAAAGTAAGTGTTTGGTCTTGGGAGGTAGTCATGTTATTTTTTTCTTAAAAGTTTTGACAATGGTTGTTGTAAGTCATGGTGTAGTAATAAGTTGTTACAAATAGGAATAATCTAGAGTGGTTGGAATTTTATCAGTTTTTTGTTTGTTTGTTTGTTTGTTTGTTTTGAGATGGGATGTAGCTTTGTCACCCAAGCAGGGGTGCAGTGGCTCCATCTTGGCTTACTACAACCTCCACCTTCTGGGTCCAATCTATTGTCCTGCCTCAGCATCTTGAGTAACTGGTATTAGATAAGTGTGCACTACAGCTGGCTAATTTTTTGTATTTTTAGTATAGACAGCGTTCCACCACACTTGCCAGCCTGTTCTTAAAATCCTGATCCACCCTCCTCAGACTGCCAAAGTTCTAGGATTACAGGCATGAGCCACCACTCTCAGCCTATCAGACTTAATTGGTTATATGAATGGAAGCACTTTCAACCTCATACTTTTGGGAAGTGAAGTGTATAAAACAAAACAGCAGCATAACATTTCAGACAGGGGATTGCTTAAAGGTTTAATAAATCATCAAATGGTAAAAATAAAAAGATTTGGACTTAAATAACTAAACCAATTAATTTTTCTGATTATACATTGTACAACCTAAAGAAATGAAATACATGAAGTTCCAGAAGTTTTACAATCCATAATTCTTACAATTAACAGACTAATCTGCAATGAGGAAATATTTTCTTGATAAAATTTTGACAACATCTTCAATTTCTATAGGTAAGGGTGCAAATAATTTTAAAGGGAGAAGTTACCAACTTGGATTTTCAAGTGAGTTATTTGTGTTATGAAGTTGTGTTTTCATTCACCTACAATGTAGGATTGTGAGGATGAAGTGAAAAAATAAAACTCCCTAGTCTTATGTATCTTACTGCCCATGTGTGACGGCTCAGGTTTTGAATTCCAGCACTTTGAGGCAAAGGCTTGCTGATCACTTTAGGTCAGGAGTTCCAGACCAGCCTGGCCAATACCATGAAACCCCATCTCTAGCAAAAATATGAAAATTTGCTGGGCATGGTGGTGCACACCTGTAGTATGTTACAGTTAATTGGGGGGCTCAGGCAGGAGAATTATTTGAACCTGGGAGCCTGAGGCTGCAGTGAGCCAATATTGCACCATGTACTCTAGCCTGGGTGACAGAGCGAGACTCCAAATCAAAAATAATTATATAAATCTACAAATATGTAAATAATAAATAAGGTATCCTTCATTTCAAGCATTTATTCTTTGTTTTTTCTTTTTTAGACACAGGGTCTCCCTCTGTTGTCCAGCCTGGACTGCAGTGGCACCGTCAAGGCTCACTGCAGCCTCGAACTCCTTGGGTTCAAATGCACAAGACTTCCATTTCAGCCTCCCAAGTAGCTGGAATTACAGACACACACCAACCACCGTGCCCAGCTTTTGTGTTTGTGTGTGTGTGGTAGGGACAATGCTTTGGATATATTGTTCAGGCTGGTCTCAAACTCCCAGACCGAAATAATCCTCCTTCCCTGGCTTCCCAAAGTGTTGTGATTATAGCCGTGAGCCACTGAGTCTGGCATATCTTTTCTCATTATGAGCGACATTCCACCTCACTGAGTCTGGCGTATCTTTTCTTGGTATCAGCGACATTCCACCTTCGCTCTATTAATTATTTTGAGATGTACAATAAATCATTATTAAGTGTAGTCATCCTGTGCCACTGAACACTAGATATTATTCCTTCTAAGCAAGTATAATTTAACCCACCCCCATCCCCTCTTTGATCCCTCGCTTACCAGTTCACATTACTTGTATCAAAATATCACATGTATGCCAAAAATACCTACAACTTTTACGTACAAATTTTTTAAATAAGTAAAAATTAATAAAAAAGGGTATCTCCAACAAAGTGATAAAATAGGAGGCTCTAATTTGTTCCTCCATCCACAAATGCAACAAATAAAGAGCCACACCCACATCAATTCCCTATGAGATAAACTTACAAACAAGTTGGGATACTCTTGCATGTAGGGTTATGAAAATACTTACTTAAAAAAAGGTAAGAAAAACTGAATCATGATCTTTTTCTAGCGTTTATCTCTGACACATTGCCCTAGAATCAATAGGGAACTGTTATTTCACAGCTTCTCTCAGAGAACTGAAGTATTAATCCACATATGTAAAGCCCCAGCTGTTAACAGCTGCTTCTCAATGAAATGATTCCTCACTTGCCTATCTCTGGATTCTAACACAGACTGGCATTCATAACTCTCCTAGGACCTCCAAGATAAAAGAGGGATTTAAATAGACATTCAAGCACTTCTGAAACTGTTTCCTCCTGGCTTACTGGATGTCAAGCAGTCAAGAAAGCTCAGCTCCCACTTTGTACCTCAAAGAACTTCTATTGTACATCTAACGTCTTGACTTTTTTTTTTCTTTTGAGATGGAGTCTTGCTCTATTGCCCAGGCTGGAGTGCAATGGCACGATCTCGCCTCACTGCAACCTCTGCCTCCCAAGTAGCTGGGATTACAGGTGGCTGCCACCATGCCAGGCTAACTTTTGTATTTCTTAGTAGAGACAAGTTTTTGCCATGTTGGTCAGGCTGGTCTCAAACTCCTGACCTCAGGTGATCCACCCACCTTGGCCTCCCAAAATGCTGGGATTACAGGCGTGACCCACCACATCCAGCCATGTCTTGACTTTTATAGCTTCTGCCCAGGTATCTTGCTTCTAACCCTCCTGACTTTTGTATCTGTCAGGGTCCTCTGAGAGCAGGCACGTAGGCATTTCTCATCAGTCTTCATCATCACTCACTCTAGCAATATACTGAGCTTCTAAATTTTCCTTCCAAGAAGTCAAACTACCCAACTATTGCCCTGACTTCTCAGGGTGATGACTAAGATTTTGAATACCATCTTGCCAATCTCGGGAAGCTAATGAATCCCAGCTTTTTGTAATCTCGAGATTCTAAAGAGGAAAAAGGATTGTTTTGTGAAAACTCAGCATGATTTTTAAACTTCCCTATTCATATAGTTTGAACATTTGTCCCTCCAAGCCTCAGGTTGAAATGTGGTCCTCCACACTGTAAATGGCACCTAGTGTGAGCTGTTTGTTTGTGTCATGGGGATGGATGCCTCATAAATGGCTTGGTGCCCTCGCCATGGTTAATAAGTGAGTTTTCCGCTCTATTAGTTCCCACAATGCAGCTTACATCCAAATAGGTTGTTGAGAAGTGCCTGATTACCTTCTCCCCTTCTCTCTCTTGCTCTCTCCACATGTGACATGGCTTATTTCCTTTTACCTTCTGTCATGAGTGGAAGCCTCCTGAGGTTCTCGTCAGATGCAGATGCTGGCACCACAGATCTTTTACAGCCTGCAGAACCAGGAGCCAATGAAAGATCTTTTCTTTATAAATTTTCCAGTCTCATATTCTTTTATAGGAACACAAAGAGACTAAGACGTGTATCTCTGGCTGGTAACTTGCCTATATCAGTAAGCAGTGGAGATCAGCATTCACTATTTCTTGTGTTCCATACGGGACAAAGAGGTGGTTTTCAGAGGTCCCATGAGCTCTTCCTTATACCCAACCCTTGGATTGCTCTACCTTTCAGCTTCTCCATGGAAGCACCCAACCTTTTAAACTCCTCCCTTAGGAACAGTATTTTGTTGTTGTTTTCATTTTTATTTATTTGTTTGTTTATTGAGATTGAGTCTCACTGTGTCACCTAGGTCGGAGTGTAGTGACATGATCTCAGCTCACTTCAACCTCCACCTCCTGGGTTCAAGAGATACTCCTGCCTCAACCTTCTGAGTAGTAGCTGGGACAACAGGCACATGGCACCAGGCCTGGCTAATTTTTGTTTTGTTTTGTATGTTTAGTAGAGAGGGGATTTCACCTTGTTAGCCAGGATGGTCTTGACCTCCTGACCTCATGATATGCCTGCTTCGGCCTCCCAAAATGCTGGGGTTACAGGTCTGCGCTACTGTGCTCAGCCTGGACCAGACTTTTAACTTGCCTGTTTCTAGGGTCTGATGCGACAGAACAGGCATTCTGTGACTCTACTAATTCCCACCCTCTCTGCAAAAAACCTCAACTCACAACTATCCTTAGATACGGACACCTGAGTGAATGATTCTATAGCTTGGGATTGGATCTCTGACACATTTTTTTGACTGTAGAACTGAGAATAGCCACACAGATAGGATAAAAGAACAGTTTTAATTTGATGCTTTTTCTCCTCCCCAAGCCAGCACAATGTTGCATACAAAAAATTCCCCTGAACTCAAGTTTCTTCACAGAGGAGAGCGTTGAAGATGTACATTCTGTCCTTTCTTTTCCATTTTGCAATTCGTCACATGAAGTTCTCTCTAGTCTTACCCTGTGGGAAACAGTGGGGGTATCGGACAATGGCGGTCAATTAGAAACAAAGTACATGGATGGGGCTCACAGTGACCATAACAGTAATCTTACTCATGGCTTTGCATTCCAGCCAGCAGAGTTGCACCATCAGAAAAACTAGGCAACAGCATCATTCTGCAGCAACCAAACATGGTTAATGGGTCTGCCAGGCTCAAATCACTGGCCAACTGCCAAATCCCACCCTGGTTTTCTCTGCAAAACTTCCAAGGCTGTGACAAAGAGGCAGCTTGGTGATTATCCACGGAAGGGTCATGTGACCCCACCCATTCCCAGCTGCCATACTTTTGACCATCCTAGCCCTGTGTGCTCCACCCATCCCCAGGCTGAAAAGCAGAGGCAATTTAGTGGTTAAGGATGAAGTTTCTGGCCCTACCTGGACCCAGTGGGCAAGTAGCTTATATGATAAGTCTTGGTACCCCTGGAAGGAAGTTCACTTCTGATGTATCTAGTGGAAATCACCAGGGTGTTAGAATCCCTAGAGCACATGACTTTATTGAGAAACAGAATTCCAGTCTCGGCTCCAGCCCCTCCCACTGCTGTTGGGAAGCAACTACCCTGCTGGGGAAAGGGCCTGTCTGAGCTAATGAATGTAGGCTGTCCAGGCTCTGTCCAGCAGAAAATGGATCTAGACTCTCCAGCCTCTGTCCCCTATAGGGATGACCCACTCTCAGCTCTGGCCTTTCCACTTTAGTCAGGGAACTCTATAATCCTTGAGAAACTTTCTGGGCAATATGCAACTTTCTTAGGAGAGACCAGGCTCTAAATGATCTGTTCAACAGCGGGTGTCAAGGGACCTGATTGTCAGCCCCAGGCCCTTCTGCGGCAGGCAGAAAATTAGCTCAACCGTGCAGAGACCTTCCAGTAACCATCACAGCCAAAATTACAGGCATTCCATTCTGTGTTCTGCAACAGAATCTAAGTGGACACAGTCTCAGCTTCAGCTTGTCCAATTTCAATTTCTGAAATGGAATCATTAGTAATAAATAACCTACAAGCCAAAAAAAAAAAAAAAAAAGCCCAGGAACCGATAGATTCCGGATGAATTCTACCAGATCTACAAAGAACTGCATCATATTCCATTGTGTGGGTGATCCCAGTTTGTTCAACTGGTTGTGTATGTATGCTTACACACACACACACAGGCACACACCTGTGTTTCATGTTCCCTCAAAAAGCTGCAGTGGAAATGCCAGGCCAGCCTCTGGTATCATCCGAAGGATCAGTGGGGAAGGACCCACGCCTTTGCTTGCATTACATTGTTGCCAGCAACCCTGTCCACAATGGCATCTTTTCAGTGGTTTCTTACAGCTCTTTAGAGAATCTGCAATTATGTTTATTTGTATGGTTTACAATATATTCGTTAACCTTTATCTCTAAACTTGAGGCTGGGTACAATGGCTCAAGTCTGTAATATCAGTACTTTGAGAAGCTGATGTTGGAGGATGCTTTGAGCCCAAAAGTCTGAGACTACAGTGATGTATGATTCAGCCCGGTGACAGAGCAAGACCCTGCCTCTAAGTAAATAAATAAGAAAAATACAACTGATAGTAATATTTTTGTTTTACAGTTTGGAAACACAAATTTCCTTGATCAAATAAATGAATATTTGATAGTCACTAACACAGGACATTTGCTTGTGTATGGGAACCAACGCAGGAAAGCAGTAGGATTAGATGCTCTTTCCCCGTAATCCCTGAACATGTATATACTGTGATGATGATAAGGGGTGAATTTGGATCAGGAAGTCTTTCTGCCAGAGCCATCAAAACTGTGGAAATAAAACCCTCCACAAATCAGGAAACAAAACAGTTTTTACTGATAATAGTAACTATAAAATCTTTTGCAGATTTGGTTTCATTTTTAATTTAGTGTAGATTAGGCAGCGTAACACAGACTACCCTGCCCCTAATAGTATGCGATTTGATGACAAATGTCAATTAGACTTGGTTGTTGAAAACTACAAGAATCTTAGTTAACAGCGTAGTTACATGAATAATTTTGACAATATAAACCAGCTTATTTTAAACTTTCAGTTAGTCCACTAGACACCAAAATATTATTTTAAACATAGTTCAGAATTGATGTGGATAATGGGCAAAATGGCAAGCTTCTATTTTTATTCATTTCCTTTGGTTTTATGCCTTTCATTCTCTCCTTTCTCCCCTTCCTTCCTTCCTTCCTTCCTTTTTTCCTTCCTCCCTCTCTCCCTTCCTTCCTCCATCCCTCTGTCTCTGTTTCTTCCTCCCTCCCTCCCTCCCTCCCTTCCTTCCTTCCTTCTTATTTTTCTGTATCTCTGTTTCTCTCTTTGATTTTTTTTTTAGGTGAAACCATACTCTGTTGCCTAGGCTGGAGTGCAGTAGCATGATCTCATCTCACCGCAACCTCCCCATCCTGGGTTCAAGCAATTCTCCAGTCACACCCTCCTGAGTACTTGTGACTGCAGGTATATGACACCAATCCTGGCTTTTTTTTTTTTAATTGTATTTTTAGTAGAGGCCAGGTTTTACAATGTTTGCTCAGGCTGGCCTCAAACTACCATCCTCAAGTGATCCACCCACCTCAGCCCCTCAAAATGCTGGGATTCCCAGCATGAGCCACAATGCCCACCAAGTTTTATGCATTTCTTTCCTCAGTCATTTCTCCTATCTCTTTTATTATTTTTTATTTTATTTTATTTTTATTCCTGAGACAGAGTCTCGCTCTGGTGCCCAGGGTGGAGTGCAGTGGTGTGATCTCACTTCACTGCAAACTCCTTCCCCGGGGTTCAGTGGATTCTCCTGCATCAGCCTCCCAAGTAGCTGGGATTATATCCATGGGCCACCACACCCGGTTAGCTTTGGTATGATATTAGACATGGGATTTTACCGTGTTGGCCAAGCTTGTCTCAAACTCCTGACGTCAAGAAACCTTGGCCTGCCAAACTATTGGGAGTGCAGGTGTGAACCTCCGTGCCCTGCCTCATATCTGTTTTAAAGCTCAGTTGATTAGCAATATTATCTTCCTGGAATGCTTTATGTTTACAAAACAACTATAGCATTATTATTTAGCCCCTTCGGATAAAATATGGTAGTACTCAAAACATACATACAGTCAGTGATCAAAAGATCAGTGTAGGCCAGGACCTAAAATGAAAGACGAGTTGCTGCAGTTGACTAGCATTAAAGCAGACCAGAGTTGACCCATACCCAGCCAGGAGATGTGAACAGAGGCTTTCAAAAAACTCCATCAGATACATGTTAGATTATTCTCCAGCCATAGCAAGGGGACATTAAAGATCTGTTTGTGTTTAGAAGAGTCTCGATGGTTTGGCTTTTCCAGGGTATTAGCATTCGTGGCATTGGCCTTTAAAGCTCTCCGTAATTACTCAAATCAGTAGACAACTCAGTTTTTCTAGGAGTCTAAAGTGCTTTTCAAAATTATGTAAAACTTAATGGCTTAAAACAATAATTATAATTTACTAACTTCAGTCTCTGCAGTCTTCCACAGTCTCTCAGCCAAATGATTGTGGTTCAGGGGCACTCAGGAGGATGCAATCTAATGATGGCTCAGGACGGTGACATTGTCAGGTGTCTTCTCATCTCCCTGGTGCCACGGCTAGCATAACTCAAATAGTGGGGCTGGACTGCTGAGATTCTCGGGCATCTCATTCTATTTCTATGAGTCTCTCCATGGGATGTCCCTTCTGCATAGTGTTATCAGGGTGTTAGACTTCGTGATATACTCGTCAGGGGCTCCTGAGGAGTTTGGCCCCATGAGAGCAGGAGACTTAGGCAGAGCTGTGATACCTTTTCTAACCTAGGCCAGAAGTGGCCCAGTATCCAGAAAATGCTTGCACTGTTTTCTATTCATTAGAAGCAAGTGCTGTGTTCAGTCCCATCAGGAATATTTTCAAATGGGTTTGCAGAGAATTTCAGTGTTTTCGACCAGTACAATGGCGATGCCTAATAATTACTTATTTTTATAAGTGCTGGATGGGTTTTACCAAGCATAATAGCAGATACAGACTTTTAAGCTTAAAACCTAGATGTCATAGCTCTGA
Source organism: Homo sapiens (assembly GCF_000001405.40). Classification (NCBI taxonomy): domain Eukaryota; kingdom Metazoa; phylum Chordata; class Mammalia; order Primates; family Hominidae; genus Homo; species Homo sapiens. The sequence continues at coordinate 22,668,115 of NC_000024.10, forward strand.
ACATTTGGTTGTATGTTGAAATAATTCTTACGGAAAAATTGACTTTGAAATGAGAGCTATAAATAAATAAAATAAATGAGATAAACTCATAAATATCTGCATGAAATGCTTATAAAGAGGTCAGCCTTAAAAATGTCATGAGGTCTAATGTGCCACTATTTTACTATTTCTATGGATATGACTTGGACAGGAGGACAAGGACTCAGGGGTCTGCTGGTCAGTCTCTGCAACTTGAAACAGCGGCTGGGGCACCAGGAGTAACACTTCCAGCCAACACCATGTAGTGAGGACAAGGAGTCCATCTGGGTTAAGGAGGGTGTCAGCATAATGTGACCTGAAGGAGAGGTACACCTTCTACAACCAGGATCAAGTTCTCTGGCATTGAAATCCGCCATGCCCAGCTGTGGCAGAGTGAATTGCTCAGCTGGTGCTGGGTTTCTAGGTGTGTTCGGGAAGCAGCTCCCTGGGCTGGGAAGGATCCCCTCATTCCCTTGCCATGTGGGAGGGTGAGGTTTGTGGCCTCTGCTCTGTCTGTTCCAGCTCTTTCCCTTCCCATTATCCTGCTGCTGGGAAAGATGGCAGGACCCTGGAATGGAGAAGGGCCCTGGGTTGTTGACAGTGCCTGTGGGTGGTCATGTACTAGGAGGAGAGTCCTCACTGAGCCTCCTGTGAGCTTGGAGGCTGGGAAGGAACACTTATGGGGCACTGGCTGTTCCAGAGTCCAGGGGCCTGTCCCGGAGAAGCCTGGGGGGAAGTCGTTAAGCCTGTGGTTCTGCAATCTAGGTGGAAGAGCTGTATCTGCCATGGCTGACATCATCAGGGCAAGACACCCACTGGGTGGAGAGCTGGACTTATGCATTTTTATCCCTGTCCTGAAGGGACCCTGCATGCCTGCCTCTCCGGGGACCAGTCATCCTGGGGACCCCCTCTCTGGGACCACTCATGACCATAAGCTTAGGCTCTTGTGTGCCTTGCTTCCTGTCTGCCCAGGTGAGGCAACCTGGAGAGGATATGCGGGGCGAAGCTCATGTGCACACGTGCAGCACTGGAACGGGGTGTCACCAGCCAGTTAGGCCGCTGCTCACCAGGCCCTCTCCTGAGCTCCCACCTGGCTAAGTGGTAAGTGTCCCATCTACATGACCCTGCAGCCCAGGGTTTCTCCTCCACCTACCAACCCTCTTGGGGAGAATGCCATCTTCCCTGGAGACTCAGGACCTGCTGGACCCACATGCTGTCCTCCTCTCTCATGGGCTGGACACTGTCTAGTGCACAGGGATTCCTGGATAGCGAATCCCAAAACCCCACGGGTTCCATTGCTTCTTCCCTGAATGCCTGCCTTCCCCAACCGAACACACAGGAAGACCCAGCTGCTAGGTTTTATTTCCCGCCAGGTGTCATTTCAGGTCCATGACATCTCCTATAGGTAGCTCGCACCAGGCACCCATTTCCTCCTACTACCTCTGCCATTTGTGAAAACCATGAGGACTCTTCCTGTCTCCCAAAAGGGCAGGCTTCACAGGTCCTGAAGTTGGACTGCCAAACCCCGCAGTGCCCTGCTTGCCAGCTCAAGAGCTGAGTTTGAGGCACACATGTGGGCAGGAGTGTGGCCCCCCCCAAATCAAGGTACACAAAGGTACACAGGCACAAGTGTGCACATGCGTGCACAGCTCAGACACGGAGGCTAGAACATACCCACCCTCATACTGGTATGATTGAAACTGGGTGACTACACCAATACTAATGTGGACCTTAATGCTCAGCCACATTCCTTCGCTACACACACAGAGAAGGTTCCCTGCCATTTAACTGATCATCTACAATGGTATTTACTTTTACTTTCATACTTTTTTTTAACTTACCAAAGTATGTTGCATTCTTTCCCCCGTCATGAAAGACTTTGATACAAGTAAGGAGGAAGGGCACTTTTTATAATAAAATCCTGTATCTGCATCTGTATTATTAAGGCATTTAAAAAACTTTATGTCTATTTTTTAATGTCATAGGAAATGTCTCAGGGGCCGGGGAAACATGAGTGAGGATGGCAGAGGGGAGAAAGCATGTCAGGGGAGACTGGGGTCATTGAACCAAAACATGACACGACTGGGATAGCCATTCTAGAAGGACACAGACCTAGACACGCCTCAAGTGCACCTCTCTGTGGCAGGTAAGAGGGCCCTAGTGGAGGCCAAACTGAGCCCCAGGTGGTAGCAGGCCTCAAGGCGTGGAAGGGAGCCAGAGAAGGATGATGCGGCAGCTATCCATTGAGATTGCTTCTCACCCATTGACCTTTGCCACTTCTGTGTCTTAGGTGACTTTGGGTGCCCCAGTTCTGAAATATGAGTGTTACAGTTCCCTGATGGGCTTTTCTCCCTCAGCCCAGGGATGGCCTGGGATTTCTCAGTGCAGGCTCCTCCCCGAGCCTTGAGTTCTCCATGTGTGTCCCAGCTCCAGGACCCACAGGCCTCTGAGCCCCCAGCCCTGGGTTGCTTACCTGGTTTCCTCTCTGTTTCCTCTCTGAGGGCCTAACTCCTTCCGGTAGTGCTGCAGGGGGATTGAGACAGAGGCCCTGAATGATGATCTGGGGGACTGAGAAAAGGGATCCGTGACTGGTCAGGTCATGGTTCAAAGCCAGTTCCCCAGATGCCAAGGAAAGACCAGCAAGGTCCTTTCCCATGACACCCCTCAGCGGTGCCCACCTCAGCAATCCTGGCTGACCTTTAGTGGTCACGGTCAGCCAACCAGCGGAAGAAGCTCAGTTAGGCTGTGTCCTGCCTGAAGCTGGGGTCTTCTGCTGCATGACTCTAGAAACACTGGACTACAGTAGAGACAGATGCCATGTATCCTGGAGCAAGAAGATTTGGGTAGGCTCATGCCAGGCCTAGCCTCCCACACTCCACCCGCTCTATCATTCCGGGAGGCACTCCTTACCGAGGATGCCAACACGATATTCCTTAAAGATCACTTCATTGTGGAAATAAAGACTGTGACAAAAGGAACACTTCATCCTGCCACCAGTACCCTGGATGGCTGAGTTCCTCCACCTGCTACACCAAGAAGAAGAGGACAGACTCAAAGGATCCATTTCATCTAGTTGGGCTGAGGGCCTGCTGGCTAGGGTGAAGCATGCGTTTTCCCTTCCCAGCTCTCCCACTGAGACACCCCCAGACCCCAAGAGGACCTCAACCTGACCAGGACCCTCGATCCCTCCCCCAGACCCAGGCACCCTAGCCTGATTTGCAAATCCATCCTGTAGCTTACTTAGCAGGACTTCCTCATGGTTTCTGAAACCTGCCGACATCTGGGTGTGCGGCACAATCTGCCTCTGGTCAAGGAGCCTCCAGATGACTGGGTGGGTGTGCCAGGAAACACCCTGCAACTTTGCAAGAGCTGGGAGACTGTTGGGCAGGGCTATCCCCCAGACCTTTGGCCTGGCACTTTGCATTGGTGATCCTGTCTCTGTCCAGCATGAGGGGCACGGTAACGGATATGGTGGTCTTGTGGGCAAGTGGAGGGAGGCCCAGAAAGACTCTGCCAACAAGGAGTGGGGAGCACAAGTTGGCAGGGTTTGGGTGTGGGGTGCTGTGGTGTGAGGCAGTTGTTTCCTCAGAGTTCCTGAGCTGCACATGGCCCTTGTGCACTGGGTGCTAGATAGGCTCTGCTGAGGGTGTCAAGGTGTGTGGTACCCTCTTCTGTTCTCCCTGAGGGGTGGGTGTGTCCACTTGAGGGAACCGGTGTGGGTAGAAAGGACTGCAGGGCTGTACCTGGTGCTCCCCATGGGGCTCATGTGTGTGCAACGGAGGCATGTGTGCAAAGGAGGATATATATGCTCAGGGCCCGCAGCTCTTTGGGTGCAACACAGGCAGAGGGAAGAAAGACTGTCTGGGTACCTGGTGCCTGCCTTGCAGAGGACAGCAGCCCCGTGCACCATGAACCCGAGTCTTGAGTACCTTGTGTTTCTGGTGTGAGGCCTCTGGACACACACACATGGGGAGTGGGTGTGGTTCGATGGCTGGTATGAGCATGCAGACTCCCTTTCCTCCAAGGACTTTCCCAGGGAAACGTGCCCTTCAACTTTCTGCTGTGAGTGAAGGGTCCTTGACACCCCTATTTTCTCTTGTGAGTGCTGAGCTTGGCTCCCAGTCCCTATCACATGCTCTCAGGTCACCCTCAAGCAAGCTGCCCTACTATCTGCAGTATCCTTGCCTCAGCTCCCCTCGCTGTCTCCCATCCCCTGCCTCCTGGCTGACCCTGTGTGCCCCTGGCCTGGCTCCGTTGCTCCCCGCCCCCGGAAGCCCGACTCCCACCTCCTGCTGCCAGTCATCCCGAATGGGCAGTTACAAAGATATGGCTCTGGCCTAGAAGCCGGAGATGCCCTGGATGATGGCCCCTGTGCCCTCCAGGCCAGGCAGACACTTCTGACAAAGCTTCTGCCTCAGCCATGGGCAGGGCATGTGGCCTGGGGCATTCACGGAGCCCAGCTCCCTGTGAAGGACCTCCAGCGACTCTGTGGCCGGCTGGGGCATGCTGGGGCCAGGGCCAGGCTGTGTTCACTGGTCCTCCACCTGCCGCTCCATGTCGGCTTTCTCCTCAACCACCACCTAGACCACCGCCGTGACGTCGTCCACCACCAGCACCTTCTCCTCCTACAGGGGCACCTCCACACTCCGTGCCCTGGCTGCCCTCTCCTGCAGAGCCTCCAATTTCAACAGGGTGCCTCCTTTGGAGGTCCCATTGCCTACAGCCTGCACTGTCACCTTCACGTCTGGATAGGTATATCCTTAAAATATACGTAAAGAAAAATAACTTAAAAGTGTTCCTGTTTCTCCACATCCTCTCCAACATCTGTTGTTTCCTGACTTTTTAATGGTCGCCATTCTAACTGGCATGAGATGGTATCTCATTGCGGTTGCAGGGCCATGGATGAAGCTGGAAACCATCATACTAAGCAAACTATCACAAGGACAGAAAAACAAACACCACATCTTCTTACTCATAAGTGGGAGTTGAACAATGAGAACACATGGACACAGGTGGGGGAATATCACACATCTGCCCAGTTGGGGGGTGGGGGACTAGGGGAAGGATAGCATTAGGATAAATACCTAATGTCAATGACGAGTTGATCAGTGCAGCAAACCAACATGGCGCATGTATCCCTATGTAACAAACCTGCACGTTCTGCACATGTACCCTAGAACTTAAAGTATAATTTTAAAAAATGAAAAAAAACTGAAAAGGAAAAATGGCTCTCCAAACCCAAATACTAAACAGAAAATTAGTATCAAGTGGCCTAGAATGTAATTTACATGAAAATGTCACAAACATTCAGCAGATAGTTTCTAAATGCTACAATAAGCCTGACAGTCTGCAAGAAGCTCAGAAAAACATGGTCCTTGCTCTTCTCAGAGTGCAGTTGTTACAGGCACAGATAAATGAGGAATAATAAGTATGATAACTGCTGTAATAGGCAAATACAGGAACTATAACTGGAAATAAAGACAATGATTTTGATAAACAAAACTTTAATAAACAATGAAATATTTAAAAAAAAAGACTCATGATTTTAATAAACGTTGCCTCCTTCTTCCCTCCAGAAGAAAACTCATGCCTCTGCTTTATTGGCTGACATGTTCCTAAGGAGATGTAACAGGTCTGATTTGTATTAGTAAATCACATTTGCCTCATTTATGAAACATGTGTTTAAAAATCCTCTTAAAGGTCAAATGAGACTATTTGCTGTTGCTGGATAAATTGTCAAGTGCTACCCAAATATTATTTTCTCATGGTGATTTATACCGTGTGTATATTACATAGTTAGCGTAGCATTCTCATAAAGGAAACCTTGAAACACATCTGCTGCTCGGTTTTTATTTTTCAACTGTTTCAGTCATTATTATTTATCACATGCTTTCTAGGGGCTTTTGAATTTTAAAGAGATATGTATACACCAAAAAGAGAAGGACAATGAAATTGTGAGACTACAGTCATAATGATTTCATTGATTAATTCAATTGTTTACAGGGCTAGATTAGATTATATTTCTCCCAAAAGATTCTCGGAGAAATTCTAAGATGACGCACCCACTGTTTGAAATGGCCAAAAAGTTGTTGCTTAAGTTAGAGTTAACTCTTTTTAAAGCCTGAAGATAAAGTAATAGTTTCGTGAATTACAACAGGGAAAATAGGATTTTTAGTGCTACTTGCTCTCATCAGAAATAATCGTTAACTTTTAAATTGTTCTTTATGTCACATTAAATTTTTCATTTCCATCTCATGTTTTGGATGTGGTATGTATTTTTAAATGCATTTTCACCCTTATTGTGCTTCTGTGAGAAACTGCAGATTTAAGTTCATATCATAATTATCTTTTAGTTTTATTTGTTTGTTCCTAAAGGTTCACAGAAATAAAGAATTCCATTTATGCTTGTATCTTTCAGCAACCTCATTTCAGATAACGGTGCACATTATTGCAGGTATCACATGTACAGGTCCAAAGGGAGAAAAAGAAGAAAGTAAGCTTTTAAGTCTAAATATTTGTAACACTAGATCAGAAACTCAGTATTCATAGTGAAATCAAAAAATGATCACAGTCAATTCCATCTCATACCTAGACTGAAATAAGAACCTTCAAAAGCAAAGAAAGTTAAGAGCTTTGGGCTTGTCAAAATTTTCCTATACAGATAAAATTATTGGTGACTTTCTCTCACTAGAAAACATAAACAAAAATTCATCCTTCATATATGTGTAAATAAAATATTTTTATTTCTATCAGTTATAACATGCAAGCAAGTAATACAGTGAAAGTACAATAATAAAACGATATAAGGAAATTTCTCTGTGTCAACAAATTCCATCGAGGCCATTAATTTTACAAAACCCATAGAGAATACTTCATGAAACTACATTATACTCTACTCTTTAGTATTTTACTTACATTTTAAATAATCAACAAATTAAATAAAATTCTTAATCATTATTTATTACCAATAACATTATTCTACTCAAGTAATCCTTTTGAGATTAAATATTTTAAATAAAACATTAAAAACAAATTGTATTGACTGATATCAGCTTTTGATGAAATAATACTTCTGTATTTGTAGTCATGTGAAGTATAACTTTCTCCTCACAATGGATCTTTTATAACACCAGTGGTATTGCTTTCTCTGATACAAAGCCTTTTTGATCTCACAGCTTTACTGTATCTACATATTACATTCCTCCAGATAGTAGGCTTCAAACAGATGGAAAAAATTATATTTGTGACAAAATTCTAGGAAAGGGAATGGTAAAACGGGACAATAATTTCTAAATTTCTAACTGTTCATCCATGGATTTGGATATATTAAGATATAGACAAATATTTGCACACTGCAAGTTTGCACATGTGTTTATAAATTTAAATGAGGTATCCATAATGTATGGGTTGTGTAATCTTTTAATTAATCCTCAATTTTACATGTGGGAAATTTGAAAAGGGTTTATCCTTATCAAATACTCAATTCGAAGTACTATACTGAATGTATAGTACTTTGATGTAAAGCCAACAAAATCTCTGTCAACGTTCATTTCAATTAATCCATTGATGTTAACTGCTGATAGCTTCATTCTCCTTGATCCCTGTTGGCAGCCTGAAAGCTAATTCTCACTCTAATTCAGCACTCAGGGTGCCACCCACAAGTGACTAACACCTTGCTGTGGATTGTGACCTCTGACTCTACCACTTTTGTCCTATAACAGTCCTACCTTTGCATATTTAATGAACTTTGTACATGGTTAAAAAATAAAACTGTAGTGAAATGTCAGGCCATGCTGTGAGATGTTCCATTGCTTCTGTATCTCTAATTAGATGTTCCATTGCTTCTGTATCTCTAATTGACCTTTCATGTTATAGAGGACAAGAAAAACAATTCAATACATTACTTAGTAACCAATCCAATGCACCCTTTCTTATTAATATGCCAAACCCATCCCTTCAAGGCACTGACATCTAAACACAGCTAGATGTATCAAAATCTCTTCTCATTAATAACCATTATGTTAATCACTGTTGCCCAGATCTGGACTCTGACTGTGAAATCCTAGGGTGGAAATTGCTATAATGGCTCAAACTGCGGGAATGACTATGTTTCGGCATAATTACTGCTGTCATCTTACTGAAAAATATCACATTAGATGGCAGCTTCTAGTTACATAAATCCTGTTGATTAATGTCCAGCATTTATGATATTGCACAAGTAAAGATCTTTGATAACTTAAATGATTAGCTGAGCAATAATTAAAATAACTCACAGCAATTTAAATATTCATTTACTTACTAGAAGTGCCATACATCATTAACTCCTGATGAAAACAAAGTGGGGAAATTGCAAGTGCTGAACTGGTTACTGAAGTATGTATTTCGGGGTATTTTATAAAACTATCCATGCCATGTATGATGCCTCACCTGCAAGGATAAAGCTTTAACATATATGAAAAATAAGTGTCTTTGGTTCTTAATATCTTCCTACATTTGTCTTCATAACTTCAACACAAAAACACTCATATACTCGACTTTTGGCTGGGCTGACTACCAGTTATTAGGATTTAAGTAAATAGAATAAAGATTTCAAAATTCGATGACCAAATATGAGAAATCACACTCTCCCCGTAACATACAATTATTCTCAAGTGCCACTGCTAATGCAAAATTGAAAGAAGAAATTAAGTCTAATATATTGCAATATTCTAAAATCTAAAATTTTTTCTTTGAGGTCTGGTGGTTCATGCCTGGAATTGCAGCTCTTTGGGATGCTGAGAAGGGAGGATTGCTTCAAGCGCAGGGTTCAAGACCAGCCCAGGCAACATAGCAAGTCCTATCTCTACAAATGTAACTAATTAAATACTTAATTAAATTGGGCATGCTGGCACACATCTATCTTCTATTTACTCAGCAGTTCAAGGTCGTAGTGAGCTGTGATTGCACACTGCACTTCAGCCTGGGCCATGAGGTAAGACTTTGTCTCTACAAAATAATTCAATATAACAAAACAAAATAAAATAAAAACACTTTATTTGTTTTTTGGAAGTTTGCTTAATTGCTCCAAAGCATAGACATTGTTTAAAAAGTTAAGCAGTTCATGGGGAATCGGCAGTGAACATTGTTTATATTGTTTTCCAAAAATTAGGATAAATGTTAGAATATTATATATAAATATCTCATAACCTTTTGTACAATAAATATTGACAAATGTCAAGCCATCGTGTTTATAGACTTTTCCTTCAAAATATTCATAGTTTAATTGGAGGATGAAGAGAAGAGCAATAATTGCAATGTACTCTGACAAGTGTTACAATAGATACAATTTAGTAACTTAGCTGGAGAGGAAGGAAGTGCTTAACTGGGTTTACAGGGGTTGGGGGAACTTTCTCAGGTCAGGAACAACTGATGCATCTGTAAGGATACAAATTTGCAAGACGAATGTTTGGGAGAAAAACACTGTAGAAAAAAAGAAACATTATTTCTATCAATGATAGACATACTAACAGTGCATATGATGCCATCTGCCCAATTCTTAGACTATACTAGCTCAATAAATATTTCTTGAATGAATCCATGAATGGAAGATACTGGGAAAAGAATGCTGGAAGGGATTTTCAAAATCCAGTGAAACAAAGGTGAATACTCTGGACTTTACAATTTTGCCTGCCGTTCTTTAAGTTCTTGTTATGTTTACTACCTCATAAGCTCTGTTTTACTTTTTGTTGTTTTCACAAATATCACGCATGATATCGTTCCTGAGACTAATTCTCTCTTGATCCCTTGATACTATATTTGTCTCTGATACTCCTTTGTGTGAGGTCCTGGGTTTTTATGCCCACAGCTACGTCACTCACCTCTCCCTGGCACTATTCTGTAATAGAGAGGCCTGGCCCCTGGGAGGCAGGGTTCCTAGGCTCTCATAAAAATTACTTCCTGTTTCAGCTCAGTCAAGGGATGACACTGCAGAGATTAGAGAACAAAAAGATGAGAGAAGCCAGTTTGTGTCGCCTTCCTTCTCAGCAGGGTATGTTTCCACAGTGATTCCATGCCTGCAGGACATGCTCTCTGTGTTTCCATTTTCCATGTAGTGACCCGAATCCTAGACTGGCTCTTCTAATGCCGTTTTCTCCAATTGTCTTTTTGAAGGATTTGGGTACTATTGTACTATTTTGGAGTTTAAAATTTAAAAAAATATTGATATGGACAGGGGGGCAGGGAAGTGCCTGATAGAGGAGGGTGTGGTTCTTGGCTAGGGATTCACCCTCAGGCTTGTGCTCATTGACCTAGGTGAGGCCATGCACTTCTGTTTTCTTGCCCAAATTGGTGAGGACATGCGCTTCTGTTTTTTTGCCCAAGTGTTGCATTTTCCAAGAGCACCCTGGCCTGCCATACCCCCATCCTGTGCTATCAGAAACCCCGAGACCCTAGCGGGCAGAGACACAGTAGCTGACGTCGAGAAGAACCATCAGCAGAAGAAGACACAAGCAATTGGACCTGGAGAAGACACCGGAGGAAGGAGAGCGCAAGGACAGAGGCGGCAGGCCATCCACCGCAGAAGAACACAGAGTTGCGTGGGGCTGTGGAAGGAGAGCGCTCACCTGCCCCATTTCAAGGGAAAACCACCTTCCCGCTCCGTCTCCCTTCTGGCTCCCCATCCATCTGCTGACAGCTTCCACTCAATGAAACCTGCACTTACTCTCCAAGCCCACGTGTGAGCCAATTCTTCAGCTACACCAAGGCAGGAAACCCCAGGATCCAGAAAGCCTTCTGTCTTTGCAGAAAGGCAGAGTGTCTAATTGAGCTGACACAAGCCGTCTACAGATTGATAAACTAAAGTAACACCGTGTAACACATGCCCGCTGGGGATTTAGGAGCTGTAAACATTCACCCCTAGATGCTGCCTGGGGTCAGAGCCCCACAGCCTGTCCTCATTGCTAGCTCTGCAGCGGGGGATAAGGGACGTTTTCCCGTTGCACTATGAGTCTGTTTCCAATGCAGTGTGCTTTCTGCAATACTGCAGTGTTACCTCATTGCATATATTTGACAAAATAAGTTACAAACTATAATGTGAGAAGAAAATAAATGGTGGAGAATAAGGAAGAAAAATGAAACATTGTGTCAGTAAGGAATGTTTTTTACTTCATGTAACAGAAAAAGTAAACATGAATTAAATAAACAGGAATTTCCGGTTTTCACATGTTAACCAGCCACAGTTAGGCATTTGGCGCCTTTGATCAGTTGCATTGCTGCATGGAAGTAGCGTAGCTGCATGGTAGTAGCACTGACTTTTTTTTTTTTTTTGCTATTTTCTCCAAGGTGAAACCTAGCTCAAATCCAACACCATGTTGGGTCCAGTTGTTGCTAGCCAGCTTTGCCCACACTCTGGTTTTTCAGTCTTATCAGCTTCTAGTGTATGCAGCTACTTTAACAGTGTGTTTTTGCTAGTCATGTGAAACTGCTGCCTGAGATTTTCTATTCTCCTGCAATCATCTAGTATTTTTCCTGGCTCAAATTATGTGACTTGCTCATTTTTCTCCTCAGGACACTGCAGGATGTTCTTTACCTGGTTTTTTAAAAGAGCATTGGTAAACCAGTTTCATTTCCCTCAAATACTTCTGAGAATTCCTGAGAAACTTATACATGTCTCACTGGACTGCACCACTGCCCACTCAGCTGCCTGTTATTGACTTCTTTCTTTAGATAAGATCCCCCAGACAGCAACTGCATGGGCCCTCCCACCCCCACTCCCACTAAAGACCAACATCCAATGTTTAAAACATTTTAAGTCTTAGATATAGCATAAAGGGATTATGGAATACAAAACAACACATCAGACACATATATTAAGAAAACTTCAGCCAGTATCAGTCTTTGACAACAAAGGTAACCATTTTAACTACACGGTATAAATATATTTACACATAAAGTGTATGCATAGGGAAATGTTTCTCACATTGTATATACTTTCTCCAGTGATGTCTTAGGCACTCATTTAAAATAGGTCACTGATTGAATTACAACTGTAACCTATAATGAAAATAGCAGAGTAGAAAGGTGTAGAAAGGCTTTTTTTTTTTTTTAAACAGCTCATATGTACACATTGTTTGGTCTTCCAGTTGTGCTGTTTCTTTTGTATGAGTGTGTATATGTTTATGTAATTTTAGATAGTTACAGAGAATAGATTTAGTCGAAGTAATTAGAAATTAAGCAGACTTCTTTGTAATAAAAAAGGAAATGATTAACTTTAATTGAATTTTAGTGCAACAGTAAAACTGGATAAGAATTTATTCTTACTCAGGGAAAAGATGTACTGTGTTTTGCAGACTGAAAGAGTTCTTTCCTGAGTAAGCCAGTGTTGGCCTTTATTGCAGAAATAGATTGTTTTTGGTAGACCCCTACAGCCAGCTACCTGCAGAGAAAGAAATTCTACTAGAGAGGATTCTAAATTGAGTATTAAATACTCTTTCTTTAGGTGAAGCATTCACATACAATATTCTTTTACATTCAGCATAATTATAAAAGTTAATTTTAGAACACTTTCCAAAAAAATAAAGCAATTATAAAAATTAGGGAGATAATTGTATATTCCTCCTTTAAAAAGTTTTAGCCTATTCAAATCTAACAAGTCCACTCTGAAATACCTGTAAATAAGATACGAAATGAATAAGAAAATACAGCAGAATGTACCAGATGTTTTCTATGTGTTGGATATACATACATCTGTTAGTTTTTAATGGCAGACAGAGTGCAGTCTACATAATTTTATTCATAGGAGATGCCTATGCATCATATATTCACAGATAACTATTATTTCTCTGAAGATTGAAATAGAAAGCTAGGAAAACACAACACAGCACATACACTGGATTATATTTAAGCAAATGTGAATTGTATAGTTACATGATCTCTTCCAGGGGCTTCTTATCACTCTCTCACTGGGTAGTCTAAGGATTGATTAAAGTTCCTAGGCTCTTTCAAGCTAAGAAACACTATGTAAGTGCTATGCATTATCATGGTAACACGAGAGTGAGGCATAAGTGATTTGCAACATCATAGGCTCTTTGAAATGTGCGTCTAGTCTGATTGAAAGTTTTCTCTAACAGTGTTTTATGTATTGGAAAGTGCTTATCATATTTGAAGATGAAATGTGCTCTACTGAAATCATGCAAATCTGCAAAATCAATCTTTGTTCTATATATTAGTATAATGATGTTTCTCAAAATAGAAGAAAACTTGGGATATGATTTCAAAGGTAATTTATAATAAGGTAGAATTTTGACATCAATTATAACTTGTCTATTATCATTTGATTGACTCAGCTGTTGCTCTCTTAATTAGTGCAACTGAAGTCTAGTTAATTTGCATAAAGGTAGCTATCCCATCTTACAGACTTTTAAAGACAGTCAGGAGACTATTCACTGTTTCTATAAAGCTTACATAGATTTTATCAACATGTTTCAGTCATGTATGACTGACTGCAATAAGCATCAGTTCTAAAATGTAATTTATACATTAATAATTCCTTTAATATTTTTATTTTTATTTTTATTATGGATTCAGAGAGTACATGCACAGGCTTATTACAGAGGTATATTACATGATGCTGACATTTAGTCTTCTATCGATCCCGTCACCCAGATAGTGAACATAGTACCCAACAGGAAGGTTTTCAGCCCCTGCCCCTCTCCCTCTGTCCCTCCTTTGGAATCTCCAGTGTCTATAGTTCTCATCTTTATTTCTGTGCACCCAACCAAGTTTTAGCTCCTATTTATGAGAATATTCAATATTTGATTTTCTGTTTCTTCATTAATTTGCTTAGGTTAAGGCCTCCAGCTGCATCCACGCTGCTGCAAAGGACATGATTTTGTTCTTTTAATGGCTGTGTACTATTCCAGGGCTCATATGTACCACATTGTCATTGTCCCATCCTCCACGGATGTGCTCCTAGGTTTATTCTATGTCTTCGCTATGGTGGTGAATATGAGAATTCTTGTGTCTTTTTTGGTAGCTTTAATAATTTATTTTCATTTGAGCATATACATAGTAATAAGATTGCTGGGTGAAAGAGTAGTTCTATTGTGAGTTCTTTTAGAAATCCACAAACTGCTTTCCACAGTGGCTGAACATTCTCTCCACCAGTGTATAAGTATTCCTTTTCCTCTACAGCCTTGCCCACATATGTTTTTTTTTGGGGGGGGCTTTTTAATAATAATACTCATTCTGACTGGTATGAGATGGTATCTTGTTGTGATTTTGATTTCCCTTCTCTGATGATCAGTGATGTTGAGCACTTTTCTTATGTTTCTTATCCACTTGTATATCTTAAGAAGATATTTTAAATAAACATACAATTATTTCCTCTACTCATAGGTCAAATTCTGCCTATGTCCTTCTCTCTTTTTCTACTACATGATTTTACATGGATAATGAGTCAAAAAATGTGATGTGCTAGTAATACATTTTATTTCATACTTATAAATGTAAAATGTTTTTCTTTGAAAGATACCACATTCTCCAATTTTTAATTTTTTTAATTCCTTTAAAGCGGCAATGGGGACAGGGAAATTTTAAAGCAATTACTTCACAAGGTGATTCCAATTTATACAGAATATTGTTCATTGTAAAATTATTTTGTTTTTGAGTAAAATTAAAATATGTATACAAATACAAAATAACATAATAAATACTAATTTTACCCCACTTAAAAATAAAAGCTATTAATATTTTCCTTGTTCTATGTATATTACCTCTGGTTGTAATTGGAATACACCCCATCAGGTTCATTTGCTTTTCTCCATTTCCAGAGGTGCCATTATCATCAACCTGTTATTACCTTCATATTTTTATAAATTTATTAAAATATTTATTTCTAAATAATACTATTTTGTGAATTTTTAATGTTTCTGTGAATATATAAGGTGTGTATTATTTCACATTTTTTGTTAACATTCTTACTGAGAGCTGCCATTATTGATGGCATAGTTCTCAGTCTACAGAATTTCATCATGTTCCATGATGTGTTTGTCCAAATGCTACAAAGAGAAACCTTCCCTATGCATCTAGGTACACATGTGTGAGAGTGTCTAATGAATATACTAGAAGAATGGCTGGACTGCAGTGTGCATACAGTTTTAATTTTGAGGGGATGAAATATATTCTCATTAGGTCCCAGGGCTACCACTTTATTACTATTGTTTATCCAAGCTAATTGGCTTAGCATATGTCTTAGATTTTTCATTTTTAATGAAGTATTATTATAAGTTACATTGATTAGATCCAGCATGTGTTTGTTAAATGTTCATTTTGTTTAACAATTATAGCTATTGTCAGGGCTCCATCATTAGGTGAGGAAAATAAAATATTAACAGAATGATGACTTCGGTAGGGGGATAAGTCTGAAAATCAACTTTATTTTCCTAACACGGTTTATACAATACATAGATAATGCTTCTTTTTCAGGGACAGCATGCAGCAGAGTGCTTGATAATAAATCAATATGCACTGAGTCAGTATTGGCTAGGAATGGCTAGTTCCTTCCAATCTTCCCGGGTGATGGAAGAAGTATTTGACATAGTTTTTTGTTTGTTTGTTTGTTTTTTCTATATGGTTCATTTACATGACACTGCCAGATCATCATATGGTGGGTTTGGGGAAAATGAAGGAAATAATAGGCTAGATATATGTAAATTATGTGCTAGAAATAGAAGCTTAGCACAGAGAGAGTAGTTAATTGGTCTGGCCACAGTGGTTTTGTCATCTCTCATATGCCTACAACTATTTATTTATGGGCTATTTGCTTATGACGATTTAAAAAAAAATCTGTTTCAGCAGCAATGACTAAAAAATGCAAGTAGATATTTAATTAAAAACAACTCTGGCCGGGCGCGGTGGCTCATGCCTGTAATTCCAGCATTTTGGGAGGCCAAGGTGGGAGGATCACAAGGTCCTGAGATTGAGACCATCCTGGCCAACATGGTGAAACCCCGTCTCTACTAAAAATACAAAAACTAGCTGCGCATGGTGGTGCATGCCTGTAGTCCCAGCTATTCGGGAGGCTGAGGCAGGAGAATAGCTTGAACCTGGGAGGTGGAGGTTGCAGTGAGCCAAGATCATGCTATTGCAGTCTAGCCTGGGCAATAGAGTAAGACTCCATCTCAAAAAAAAAAAAAAAAAAAAAAAACAACAACAACAAAAAGAAAAAACTCAATTTCCTTTTCAATCAGATTATGGGTTGAAAAGTGTCTATAAACGCATGGTGTAATCATAAAGCCTTGTATTCTGTGATTGGGACCACAGTCTAAAAGTGATATCCAGAAATCCAGAATATAGAAGGCTGAGGAAAAAAACCAGCTGCTACTTCAAAAGGTAATACTTAGTTACATTAAGAAAACTATGCCTGAAGATGACATTTTCACAGATTTAATATGTGAATTTGGAAAAATTGAACATATAATTCTGAGATGATTGGCTTTTTATTGACATCAAATTACTGTTTTTTAAAAACAATCGTGTACATTTTTAATTCTAATTTTTCTGCACTTAAGAAATATGCATCAGTAATTGTTAGTATATTAGCTCCATTAGCTACAGAAGAAATTCCAAAATAATTGAATAATGCCATCTAGATGTTTCAAACAGAAAATTGGATTAAAAAATGGTTTGATTTTTAATCAATCATTGGAACCAAAATAAAGCTGTTGAAATATTATTGTGTCAGGAAAAAAAACATTGAACAATATGATACTTTTTTTAAAAAAGTTCACTTGAAAAGCTAAACATTGTGGATAACTTTTATTGGTGACAAGAAAAAGCAACTTTGGAAAAGTTTTTGCAAGTAACTTTATTTAAAAATCAATATAAAATTAAAACAAATGCATTTTCCTAAAAAAACTACAGGTAATTATTAAGAAACAGATTAATACATATAAATATGTTCTAGAATAATTATTCTTCCTCTTATTTGTAATACTTCAATAATAAATACAAAGAAGTTATTTTTCTATTTTGCCTCAAGATATGTAATTGTGAATTTAAATTTCTGAAGGGATTTCATTTTCAGAAGTAATTGGAAGGTAACGATTTCATAGCTCCATTGATACAGTAAAAAAAAAAAATGCCTGTAAGGAAATAACATAATAAATATTAAATAATTTTGCATATGTTGGTAACCTTTTATTCTAAAAAAAGTTTCCATTGGAACAATAAATATTTTAGTCACCCTAATTTTACTAAATATCATTAGATAATCCTGTGATTGATGGAACCAAATTATCATTCCATACATCCTTGACTACACTTGATATTATTATTTTAATAGTTGCCAAACAAATGAACAAAAGTTGGAACGTAATGTGGTTTTGATTTATATCCCCAGATTACTAATGAGCTCAAACATCTAGCCATTTTTCATTGGTCATATGACTTTCTTCTTTTCTAAAATGTATCTATTTACCTGTCCTGCTTTCTTCTACTGGGCTAGATTGTTTATAGATTTTCTTGTGTAGTTATTTTGATTTTTTGGGGCGCTGGTAATTTTATGTATATTTTTCTTAGTGATTTTCTGGAGTTTTATAAACCCCCAAGATAATTTTTAGAATTTATGATCTGAAGATTTTCAAAAAGCTAACTCAGAAGTCATTTGTGGCCATAATGCTAACTTCTAATGGAAAAAAATAATTTTGCCACTTTAGCAAAACATACTTTAAAGATACTAATTAGAAAGCACTGAAGTGCTCAATTCTATCTTTTTAATAAAATTTGCATTTAAATAGTCATTTCAACAAAATCTTTTCCCCTACAATAAGAACCAATTATTAAATGTTGATTACGTATCTCCTGCATGGTTTTCTAAATATTTCACAATTGTCATTTTGGTAACAATCACTTAGCATACTTGTTAGAATTGCTGGCTCTCCAGGTCTCATTTCAAATGATTGAACAAGGATTTTGAACCAAATAATGAGAAATATTTGAATATATATTTTATGACCCATGTAATTATTTGGGGATATTTGTGAAACTCTGGTCTGACACTTAAGATAAAGTAAAACATCAACAACAACAACAACAACAGCAACAGAAAGAAAACACACAAAGAACATCAAGTCAGGAGTCAGGAATAAATACCTTATCTTTTCCTCACTCCTGCCTTCTCAAGTCATATGCCCCTGTCTTCTTTCTCATTCTTGATAAATACTACTCCATCTATCTAGCACTTCACAGGAGTAATTAACCTGTTAATTTGCAATTTAGCAAAAAGCAAGAAACCTACTTCTGAACATTTTCTTTAGGAACATGGTTCTAGCTATACACTGTGTGTCAGGTAATGCTATGGATAGCCATAAAATAGCAGTATTTAACAAAAATATTTGACCACGGTGGCAAAATTATCTTTTCTAAACGATCCACTGCTACTAAGATTACCTTGATATTTTGGAGACTGTACTGACATTTTGAATTTCACATATTCATGGGAGATTGGAAAGTGTCTTCAGATATCAGCGTCTATAATGTTAATACTTGTATTAACTTCCACATTTTTCTGTGTTAAAGCAGGTGTGCAGTATTGGATGAACAGGTATGCCACTGAAGCATAGCTGTGATTAAAATTTTATACGTTTTCATGAAATTGCACATGACAACATCTCCACAGAAAATTTAGATTTTTGGCTCACCTGGGAGATGTTCAAGAAAAGGACATTTTATATTCTTAATGATTTCCCAGCTGGTTCTTAAAGCGAGGTAGCACAATACTGTGGAAAGAGGCAGTTCTGTCATCTGACATTAGACTTTAATATATGCTAAATATTTTGAGGCCCAAATTTCAGATGTATGAAGTGGGGTCTAAAATATCTAGCAACTGTGTGTGTAGTTATAAAGATCATATAATAATAATTGACTCTGTTGGCCTGGTACTTTTCTGTAAAACAAAGACATCATTTAACTATTTAACTTTGTTACTTAGTATAGCTTCATTTGGGCATTTTTAAGGAATATTTATATTGTGATAAAGAAAACAGTTAATACTGGCAGAGAATGGTACTTACTCCAACATTGACTTTGCAGAGCTCCAGCTGTTCTGTAAAGAAACTGACGTGAATTGCAAAGAAAAAAAATAGTGGATGATTGAAGGTTGTTTAGGGGCCAGTCTTTATTTACTAAGACTATGTAATTTTCGGAGAGGACACACAACCTGTGAAGTGTTGGGCGTGAAGGATGAAGACTCATCAAGAAGAGGCTGCCTCAAGGATCATCCTCTACATTTCTAGCTTGAAATACAAGGTATATAGTGCTGTGAATTTCTGAAATAGTGGAATACTGTAGGGGGAAACATGTTTGGAGGATGAAATATAATATAATTAAAATAATCCCTACTAACCAGTAGAGATGGGTTTCACCATGTTGGCCAGGATTGTCTCAATCTCTTGACCTAGTGATCTGCCCAACTCGGCCTCCCAAAGTCCTGGGATTACAGGCGTGAGCCTCCACACTCAGCTAAAATTTTCATTTTTTATTAAAGCCTTTTGAACATTATTAACAGTATTTTTCTGATATTATAAACTATTCTCTAATATTTTCTTCTAGCAATTTGGCAGCTTTGGTTTTTACATGTATTTTTAAAATCATAGTCCATTTACTCTTGTGCATACTGTGATGAAAAGATTTACTTTTATATGTCTTTAACAAATGTGTTTAGTCCATTTTGCCTTCAATTTTTTTCTTAGGATATTATTGAATAGTGCATCACTTCAGCATTGCTTAGACTGCAACTTCTGTCATAATAGTGTATTTACTTCTGGGTTACTTCTATTTGCAATAGATTTCCATACTACAATATTTAGAAACAGCTGTATGAAAGTGTTCCCTATTAAACAGAGTCCTCGGCTGGACACATTGGCTCACACCTGTAAACCCACCGCTTTGCGAGGCCAAGGGGGATGGATCACGAGGTCAGGAGTTCGAGAACAACCTGGCCAACATGGTGAAACCATGTCTCTACTAAAATTACAGAAACTAGCCAGGTGTGGTGCAGGCGTCACCCAGCTACTCAGGAGGCCGAGGCAGGAGAGTCACTTGAAACTGGAAGGTGGAGGTTGCAGTGAGCCGAGATTGCATCACAACACTCCAGCCTGGGCAACAAGAGCAAAACTCCTTTTCAAAAATCAATTTAAAAAAAGAGTCCTCTTTTCCATCTTCCTCTTCAACATCATTGTTCTCCCACACTTACTACAAATTTGCCCAGATGAGTCCCATCCCTTTTCAATTCTGTATTTAGAATCAGCTTGTCAATGTACATGAAGCATCTTGCTGTAACTTTTATTATGATTGCCTGAATTTTTGTATTAATATAGAAAGGCACGTCTTATCATGTGAAGATTTTTTAACAATTGCCTGGCCACCTTTTTATGTATATTTTGGCTTTCATTTATTATGCCCTTCAATAAAATTTAGTACCTCTCTTTGAAAATTGTTGTGTTTTTTTAAATGTTTATTTTTATATGGCTCATAATTTTGTTCTCATAAACTCTATCAATTGTAATTAAATTCTAATCATATTGTTTAGAATTTTAGGCACAACTTACCTATATGCTTAATTACTCGTTGTTAGTGTTATTGTTTATATTGTTATTGCTAGCTTAGGGATATGCTCTTCTTTATTAATTTGTCTACTCACCTTCTTGAATTTTCCCTTTTGTGTGAATTTCCTTTTTACTGAAACTTAACCTTAAGAAATTATTTCAGCAAACAAATTGTTTGTACTACATCCTTTCAAGTTTTATATATCATGAAGTATCTTTATTTCACAATCACATTTTAATGATAGTTTTTTAAAAATATATATATTATTTTAGATCATGGCTTGAAAAACCCCTGCTGCTTTATTTTTAATTGTTGCTTTTTAGAAACTTCTTGCTAGTGTAAATGCCATTCACATATAGGAAATTTGTCATTATTTCTAGTACCCCTTAAGATAATTTCATTGCGTTTGGTATCTGTTTAGGGTGTTTTCTCTTTGTTTGTTTTGGGGGAGAACAATAAATTTCTACTCTCTGAGCAAGTTTTTTAAGTATACAGTACAGTATTGGTAATCGTAGTCACCATAGGGGAATGTTTGCATCAGCTATCAGTGAAGTTCCAGCTGTCAAGACTTGTTGCGGATAATGAGTTTCCCTCTCCAGATGTCTCAGATCTATAATGGTATAGCTTACTTCTCCCAGCATTTAAAAACTTTTATTCAAAAAACAATAGTTGCTGCAAATGTGGAACCTTTGCACTCTGCCTGATGTCTACAAATATTTATTATCTTGCACTCAATCTGAATGTTCTATATCAGACCTATTATCTAATTTTCACTACCACTGTCATAGCTTGTGACTGAGGATCAGTGCAGGGACAAGCAGTGGCCCTCCTCGCACTCCCGGCCCAATGTATTACATATAAAGTAAGTGAAAACAGTGTGCTTACTTTGCAGATACTGCTTTAAGACATATCTCTAAGCATCTTGTCTATATTCACTTAAGTTTAGCCCTCATGGATATCCCAATGACATTGTGCTGACTTATTCTCTACTTCTGTTTAAAAAAAAAAAGTTTACTTCATTTTTGTTAGTTTTTATTCTGCCTGTATTTATTCTTCATTTTTAAAGAGAAGAACATGACACAAGACTGAAATATTTTATGCAATCTACATAGAATTAACCCTGTATGTCACTTAGAAAGCCTGTGTGTGTGTAGAACAATTTGAGTTGTGTGTTCCTTTTAATTATTTTGCCACTGTGTCAATAGGTAGAACTTGTGTTCTTCTCCATTAGTTAACAAAAATAATGTGTGGGTATGGTTGTGTGACTTTAAAACTCAAAACAAGTTTATTTGATTATAAAACATTCAATTTTGTGAAATCAGACATAGATTTAAAAAATATCTTTAAATCAATTTAAAGTCATCTAACTTCTTTTAAATTCAATTAAGTACCTCTTTTTGTTTGTTTTTTGATGGTCTCATATCTTGCTCCATGTCATTTTCTCAGAGAAAATTAGTAACACAACATCAGCTTTACCAATTCAAAATTTTCAGTGCCTTACCTCCGCTTGATCTTAAAGTCTTAGCTGATTTTATTGGTAGACTACACCATCTTTATTTCAACTAAGTTCTCGAAGATTTCAAAACTGAGGGGTTAAATAAATTACTTATCACCTATTTCTGTGAACTACTCCTACTCAGGGTGCTGGAGATGATACCATTTCATGGTCTTAAGTTTCAAATCAAAGACAAACTAAATCAGATTGAATTATTCACTGCTTTTCCTGGGCCACCTGATATTATGGTCCAATCAGGAACATTTTAAAGCCTGTATGTTAGGTCAAAAAAAGCACAAGGCATGGTTCAATTGGACTCCTAATTTAAAATGAGGAAAGGAGAAGGGAAGGAAAGAAGGAAGGAAAGAAAGAAGGAGGGAAGGAAGGAAGGAAGGAAGGAAGGAAGGAAGGAAGGAAGGAAGGAAGGAAGGAAGGAAGGAGGAAGAAGAAAGGAAGGAGGAAGGAAGACAGAAGGAAGGAAGGGAGAGAGGAAGGAAGAAGGAAGAAAGGGAGGGAGGAAGGAAGGAAGAAAGGAAAAAGGAAGGAAGGAAAGGGGCCAGCAAAAAGCTAAAGATAACTTAGAGCTTGTAATCATCATGAACTCTGTTACTATATTATTTCATTAAATAAGAAAGCCAAAATTTGTGCTACGCAGGAAGTGTAAATGGAAGTGGATCTCTGTTATCTGTATATTATTTGTAGGTTCTGGCTTCAACTGAACCAGTCAAACCCAACTTGCACCGTTTGGCATGACCTGGTCATGCTCCTACAGCTTTTTAAACATGGTTCATTTTTTCTGTTTATGGCTTTATTTCTTCAGTGACTTCCAGATAGTCTTATTAACTTTCAGTCCCTTATTCACTCTCAGCCTCTCAGTTTATTATTTCTATGTGTTTTTTTTTTTTTTTTTAACTTTGTATTTTAGGAAAGACCCCAGTGGCACACATCTCCTTTAGTTTTACTCTGGCACTAAAGTTGATGTAGGGCCATCAATCCTCTGTCTTTAGAATTATACATAAACTATGATTTACACCCAGTTTGTCATAAAAAATTGTATACATTTTCATTCAACCTCTCTTTCCACTTCGCTAATTCACCTTCTTGTCTTCTGAATGCTTTTCCAATTGGACCTTGCCAGCCACCTCCCCTTTCTAGGAAGAACTTCCTTTTTTCAACAATGTAAATGAGACTGCTTTTCTAACAGCAGTGATGGCTCTAATTGAACTTCATAAATCTTTACAAAATTACAACTCATAAATCTTTACAAAATTACAATTGCCATCAGTGAGGTACCACTGAAACTATTTTTGTCAAAATAAATCTTGGCATTGGATGGGCAGAGATGTGGGGATGGACTTTTCCAAAGGAATACCATCACTTTGTTTCAGTGTTTAGAATACACTTTTTTGGCGGGGGGAGGTGGGTAGAAGGGAATAACTGTGCCTTCAATGAGTTGGAATAAAACAAACCATCATCATTTCAATCTATAATTATAAGAACTTCAGAACAACCGGTAACCTGAGTTTAAACTATAGTATCAGTTCACAAAATTCCGCCTTTTGATAATATAGCGTATTTCCCAAGAGGAACACTCTTTAGTCAGATGGGTCGTGTATTTACAAGTGGCTTTGGAGACTTGTGATTTTACACCAGCACCTACTGTAACTAGAGTAGAGTTACTGGTTTCCTAGCTTTGTGTCTCTCTATATGTCAACAGGGGGAAAAAGACTTAAATAATCAAAACTGATGACTCTAGAGGGAATCCCTCTAATGCCTCGGCTGTTATTAAGGCACCCTGAGGGGAACACTTTAATGGCTCTTGACCATGGCCCTTCTTTCCTGGCCAATCTGCCCCCTGGATCTTCTGTAAGACCAGTATAGCCTCTGTTAACTTTAACTCAGCAGCAAGGCACCTTTTTCTGGCTCCATAGTGCCTACTTAAAACAAAACAAAACAAAACAAAAACAGAAAATGCATATCTTGAATATTGTCAAATAAGGCCTCAGTTAAAACAGAAGACAGAAATTTCAGACCAATTGATACATCATGTTTTAATTCAGCAGAACTGTCTTCTATTTCTTTACAAGAAGTGATCACTTGGTAATGAGAAACCTGGAAAAGTTGTGAAAATTAATTTGCTTCTCCAAGAACATTCAATAAATCATCCTTTATAATTTTACTGAAAAGGCAGGAGAGTGATGGTCTGCATATCATCCACTATTCTCTTCACTGCAATGAGGTTAAAAGATAGCATGAACAATGACGGTTAATACTATACTTACATTTTAACGAAAAAGTTAAGGTTTACAATGCATTTTATTTTACCCAGAAGTGGGTAGCCATTATTCCAACTGTATTCATTTGGGTGAGTTTGAGGATTAAATTCTTAATGTCTGGAACACAGTGTACAGTCGTATCTTATTCTCCCTGTCTTGTGGGTAGCTGATCCACAACATTTTGAAGAGTTGTGTCACAGATTCATGGGTATAAATGTGAAATAAGTGAAAACTAGTATGTATCTTGAGTATCCCTTATTCTTGCTAGACACAATGTCACGGACGCAGTACCTCTCACAAAGTTTTATGGATCACTTCATCACTAATAATCTATGGCAGAGTTTCAAATTACTATAACTCCTAGGAGGATTTCTACTTTGGGATTCCTGGAGCCTAGGTTTCCGTTCTTCCTACAAATTACAGGTTTCATTATTTGATGACAAATCAACTATTTAGTAGCAATATGTGCTGAATGGTTGTGTAAAGTAAAGCTAATAAGCTTTGTAGGATGGAAAGTATTTAAAAATGATTGTCAAAGGAGTCTATTTTTAACAATGGAAACAGAAACTAGCAAGTGCATATGTTGAAGGCAGTAACATGCAGAACCTCTTTGTGGTTTCAGAGGAAAAGACGGCAACCCAACCTCAGCATGATAGCATGTTTAACTTCAGTAGGATACTGTTTGTATTTTTAGGTACAGTGTGATTTTACGTTGCTGAGTTGGTAATTACAGTTAAGGTAGGTGCAAGAATAATTCCTGATAAATGAAAATAAATATATATACAAATGATACTACTAGTCAGGTATTTAGGAATTACAAAATTTGTTCTCTATTGTCAGATATTCATTTCCTCCAATGAAAACTGTAAAAGAGCACGTTTTTCAAAGCAACTGTAAGTCTGTCTCTGGTAATAGTTGTGTGATTGAAACTCAATGATTCCTTCTCTCCTAGAGGCTTCTAATGGAGAGAGATCATTATTGAAGCACATATTAAAATATACTCCTGATAGAACATTATTTATGTCAACATGAAGAATAATTTTGGGAGGTGTTTGTAGTTCTTTCTTTTTTCTTTCTTTTTCTTTTTTTCTTTTTTTGAGACAGAGTCTCATGCTGTGTGCCCAGGCTACAGTGTAGTGGCATGATCTCAACTCACTGCAAGCTGCACCTCCCAGGTTCATGCCATTCTCTGCTCCAGCCTCCTCAGTAGCTGGGACTACAGGTGCCTGCCACCATGCCCGGCTAATTTTTTGTATTTTTAGTCGAGATGGGGTTTCACCATAGCCAAGATGGCCTCGATCTCCTGACCTCATGATCCACCAGCCTCGGTCTCCCAAAGTGTTGAGATTACAGGCGTCAGCCACTGTTGACAGCCGTAGTTATTTCAATGTCCACTGAACAATTTTAACTTAAGGTAACTTCATACTTCTTTGTAACATTAAAGAGTCTTTGGATTCAACTTTAAATCTTGAAATACAGTGGATTTAACTATTTAGAGTAAGAACAGATATATTTAAGGTAATAATATTGGTTGAAATGTCTAATTTATGACAGAAGATATGCTGTCTACACTCATCATTTCGCAGTTACTTTGTGAAAGATCACAAAGCACCACAGGCAAATCCAGCATTCTATCCTTGGGCCCTGATTGTCCTTGCTGGGCCTTCCTCCAAATCCTGACTGCCTCACTGCCATTCAAGTTTGAGTGGGGCACTGTACGTGGTATAAGCAATGGATGCTGACCTGCAACCGCAAAAAAAAAATTAATCATATAATTTTATTCACTTTCTTTTTACCACATTATGATACCAACCCCGCTGAGCATAGCTCACTTTCTGCAATCCTCTTGAATGAGGTCTTTGTTAATAATTTTCCATGGAAACTTACTTGATCTGGGCAATATATTCCTCTCGGAAATTTAGTTGTGTGTATCTATGATGTGTTGATTAATTCTTGGCTCTTTCACTACAAGCAACTATCCACGAGATCGAAATAAAATTAGCAAAATGTCAGGTGCGATGGCTTCCATCTGTAATCCCAGCACTTTGTGAGGCTAAGTCGGGTGAATCACTTGAGGTCAGCAGTTCAAGACCAGCCTGGGTTATATGGCAGAACACCCATCTCTACTACAAATAAAAAATTAGCCAGGCATGGTGGTGAATGCCTTTGGTCCAGCTACTCAGGAGGCTGAGACAGAAGAATCACTTGAACCCAAAGTTGGAGATTGCAGTGAGGCAGGATCACACCACTGCACTCCTGCCTGGGTGAGGCAGTGAGACTCTGTCTCAAAAATATATATAAAATAAAATATAAAAGCTCCAGGATATCCTTTTGCCTATGTATCATACATCATCATTTAAAGAACAGGACAAATATTTATAAAAATGAGACTATACCAACAATAATATTAAATATAAAAGTTTAATTTTGAAGTTCATTATTAAAGGGAGCCTTAAAAAGGTGCAGAACGGATAAAATTCAAATGTGTATCTTTATTAAAATAGGAAGAAATTTTTGGATCAAAAGATGAATTAATGTCAAAATGTGTCAGATGGAATGTCATACATATGATACTGTGTATTAATACTTTGACACATGTGTTTGGCAATTTTGTGACAAAAAGAAAAAACATATCAACTTACCCTGTATTTAACAAAAAAATCCCTTCATTATATGATATAAACATATTTATATTATATTAAATTAAATATTTAACATTTAAATATTTAATATTTCATGTTTATTTGAATTATAATAAATTTGCCATGGAGACTGTGTGTGTGTGTGTGTGTGTGTGTGTGTGTGTGTGTGTGTGTGTGTTTGAGAGAGGAGATTTCTTATTGTAAAATGGATTATGTTACAAAATTATTTCAAATTAGTTATTTTCAAAAGGGTATACATTTTCCCATAAAAATAATACCGTAAGAATTGGAAAGATACATAACAATCTTTATAATTTCAGGATCCAACATTAATAAACTCTGACAAGCAAGACATAATTCACGTTGACTTTAAAATGAATAGGAGGATGGTTAGAAGAGTGGAGCAATGCAGCCAGTGGAAGTGAGAAAAAAATCTGACAACTGAACACCTCTAAAATCAGGAGTGATGGATAAAGCTTTCTGGGTATGGATTTCTAGTAGAAAGGTAACATGTACAAGTCACTTGCAATCTAATTGTTCATGGAATAAAAACCACCTAACAGCTTATTATTTAAAATTAATAGTCCTGTTGCTTAGCACATATTCATAATTTCCATGGCAGAACTGTGTTTCCCGTTCCTTTGCTTCCTGTTAGGGGTTAATGGGATGCCCAGACATGAAAAACAGGGAAGGTCTTGAAATGTGTTTGGCAATTGAACTTACCGTCTTGCTTTCCTGCTTTTCTTTACAAGAAGAAAATAACTTAGCTGTAGGTTTAAAGAGAACACATTAGAATCGACTGAGACAAAACCAATTCCAACTAAGCTTAGAAGAGTAAAAAATCCCTCTTTTTCTGCAGTTACAAAGGCAAAAATACATGCTTACTATAAAATACCACCAAGTTTTGGTATGGGTAATTATGCAACATTATTGAGACACTAAATTGTATACTCTTTACCTAAAAAAATAGTTTTGCCAAACAAGCATTGGTACAGAAAGTGTTAGATTAAGGCCTATACAGGAAAATTCAAAGTAAGTAATATTAACAAGAACAGTGATGATAACCTCAGTAGCAATAACAATTAAAACAGAAAATTAAAAGTAAGTAATATTAACAAGAACAGGGATGATAACCTCAATAGCAATAACAATTACAACAGAAGTGTCTTACTTACATTATCTCATTTTACATAAAAAAGACAAAATTTACATTGTGAATTGGAATGCTTAAAACTTCAGCTTTTTTTATTTTAAAATACTATATTTCCATGTAAATGGGGTCCTGCATTTTTCACTCAAATCAGTGAGACATCTCTTTATTGTGGCTGAGCTGCTCTTACCTGTGTATGTGGGAACAAATCTTGTCCTAGTTTTCAGTTTCTTGAATGAAACAGCAGTAATAACAAAAATGAGAGGTCCTCATCACTGACGCTACGTATGGCTTTTTAAAAAAATCAGTGTTAGTTTCTTTATTTTTTGGTTGGCCTGTCCTTAGCTTTTCAAACAGGCAATATCTGTCTTTAGAGAACATCTATCCTTGCCTAATCCTTTGCTAGCATATAATATAAAGCAGGAGAGAGAGAGAGAGTGAGAGAGAGAAACATACAGAGAGAAGCAAATAGAGAAACAGAGAGAGGGAAACCAAGAAACAGAGGGAAACAGAGAGAGAGAAACAGAGAGAGATAAAGAGATAGAGATTCTTCAAAAACAATAAATTATGTCTGCATCTGAAAGAAAGTAAAATGTACTGATGAGCTTGAACTAGGGAATGAAAACTTTGGTTCTATATGTTTAATTAGTTTCTAATTTCTCTGTAATCTCATCATGAGTCTCTAACAGGAAATAATATTGACCATACATTTGGTACAATTAGGTGCTCATATCTTAGATCATTCTCAAGGGGCTCACTAAATTATTTACTAAGCCTAATGTATTACCAATGCAGGTTTAACTCCACCTCTAGTGTAACTGTAAAATTCAGTGAGTAAGCAGTGCCCTGTGATCATCATGGGCTTGTTGTTAGAGATAAGTGAATAGAGTGCCTTGCACAGTGTCTATAAGGAAATACTGTATCACCTTGCCCTGCTCCATTAAAGGAATGAGGGTTTACATCATATTCCACACAAGGAAAACATTTTTAAATGCTTCATTTTCCCTAAGGTAAACCACAATGACAACAACAACAACAAGAAAAACAGACTCATTCTGTCTGGTTCCAAAAATTAAATCAAATCTTGAGCTTTTCTGTAAGTTACTGACTCCCTAACAAAAATAATTTTATCTTGGCCTTTGAAATGTTGATATATAAAAATGGGAGAATGTCATCTAATTTGACAATAATTCAAAGAAGTTATTAATTGTCCATCATGAACATTACAGCTTTGATAAATTAAATATCTAGTCATTTTTTTTTAATTTTACAGCAAGTTCTGTTAAAACCTGTACTCCAATTAATAATTTTCTGCAAATGAATTTATTTTCTTTTCTAAATGACTTAGTCTCTGAGTCTTTGACATTTGATTTCCAGTGAGTGCCCATAAACTGTTTTATATTACCGTTGTTATGAACATGGCAGTCATTTTCATAGTTCATAAATATGCATAGATTCAAATATGTACTATCTATGATAAACTTTTCTTTTTTTATTATACTTTAAGTATTAGGGTACATGTGCACAACGTGCAGGTTAGTTACATATGTATACATGTGCCATGTTGGCGTGCTGCACCCATTAACTCATCATTTAACATTACGTGTGTCTCCTAATGCTATCCCTCCCCCCTCCCCCCACCCCACAACAGGCCCTGGTGTGTGATGTTCCGCTTCCTGTTTCCATGTGTTCTCATTGTTCAATTCCCACCTATGAGTGAGAACATGCAGTGTTTGGTAACTTTTAAGCGGTGATTATTCTGGTGACTTTAGCAGAGCCAGGAGACTCTAAACAAACAATTTACTTCAGTTATTTTTGCTGTATAAACAGTGATGCATGTTTCCTCCAAGGTTCAACTGAGCATTCAACTGAGTATTCTTATGACTAGTCCATGAAGAAACAATATGATCACCTAAAAACAAACCCAGCTGAAACATGCAGGAAACACTAATTTTGAATATATGGTTATCATTTATTGCATATTTATTCACCAAGCACTGTCTTGATAAAAACTGTAAGATATGTCAATCAGCCTTAATAGACTGACTCTACAGGAGTGACTAATCACTCCCCATAGGTAGGCCTTTCTTACCTGGACACACTGTTTGTTCTGGATATGCTAACCACTTTAAAGACGTTGATGATTCTAAACACTCATTCAGGTACCAGTGCATGATCTGTTAGGAACTGGCTGCACAGCAAGAGGTGAGTGGCTGGCAGGCCAGCAAAGCTTCATCCGTATTTACAGCCACTCCTCATTGCTTGCATTACTGCCTTAGCCCCACCTCCTGTCAGATCAGAAGTGACATTAGATTATCATACCCCGTGGTGAACTGTCTATGCGAGGGATCTAGATTGTGCACTCTTATGATTATCTAATGCCTGATGATCTGTCACTGTCTGCCATCACCCTGGGACAGAAAGCAAGTTCAGGCCTCCCACTGATTCTACATTATGGTGAGTTATATAATTATTTAATTATATATTGCAGTGTTGTAATAATAGAAATACCGGTACAGAATAAATGTAATGTTCTTGAATCATCCCAAAACCATCAGCTCCCCACCCATGATCTGTGGAAAAATTGTCTTCCATGAAACCAGTCCCTGGTACCAGGAAGTTTGGGAATGTCTGCTCCAGACCAACCACTCCAGAGAAACTATAATGACTGAGCCATATCAGCGACCTGAGAAACTAAAAATTCTAAAAACACAAAACAATCTGCACAAAAGACTACTACCACAGCCTCCCAGGAGAACTTGACCTGCTCTACATTCTCACAGAGATGAAAGGGCCCATCCAAGTAGAAATTTCAAGTAATCTCTAAGTAGGTTACCTGCTACCTTTTATGTATATAAAATAAGTACACTTTCTTCAGGTTTATGTGAGTATTGTTTCACATAATAAATCCCACTGAGTACTCAGACACCCTCTGAACTTGTAAAAATGCTGCCTGTTAACTTATCAATGTTGTTGCTGTCTAATGAAGGATAAGCAATAATTGTTTATAAAATTTTAATGCTTGTCTTAGTGCTTCTTTATTTAATCTTTTAAAAATTCAGTCAGCTACTGTTTACGTGTGTACTATTAATATGTCCTCTCTTTAGAACCTGATAAAAAGAAAGCTGGACATAAGAATGCTTTTACTACTATGGTTTCCATAAGGATAAACTTGGACAGAAACTGTTAGTACATTCTAAAGCATATATTTAGTAAAATAATATGCTATCACCAGTAATTTTATTACTAAGCTAATTAAGTTTTGTATCTAAGATGAATGGGATTATTAGAAATTAATTACTTGAATAAAGAGA
The DNA here is from genome assembly GCF_000001405.40 of Homo sapiens. Lineage (NCBI taxonomy): Eukaryota > Metazoa > Chordata > Mammalia > Primates > Hominidae > Homo > Homo sapiens. Next base: position 22,699,593 of record NC_000024.10, read on the forward strand.
ATGCATTCATGTTTTAGTATGAACTTTAGTATGCCAATTTTCTAAAGAGTTCGGTTAATGTTACTCATTCATCATTCTGTTCCACAGTTTGTTGAGCATGTACTGCACATTTGGAAATTGGAGATCCATAGGTTGATGCACAATATATGAAAACTACCTTCTCTGACATAAAAAATATTACACATTTTTATGTCAAACACAAGCATGATATGAAAACATACTTTTAACGACACTTTCAAGTCTAAACTCTCCTGAAACTGACATTCATTCAAATTTCTCAATAAGCTTACACACACAATTTTTATCCTAGCATCCATTGTTTTCCATACCATTCTGCAATTAAAATATTTCACTGCAAAATCTACTCAATATTGTATTTTCCTCTGCACCGTTTCTTCATGCCAGAGAAAATGAAGTAATGTAAGGAAAAGCTACAAGAGATTGGAGAGAAAGTGTAACACGAGCTGAGCCCTGAAAGGAGAATGGAACTCCAACCAATTGTAGAAAGGATTCGACTCTCAGGCAAAGGAACTTAGAATCAATTTCATGGTAACCTCAGAACCTTCATATTTTCTCTTTCTGTCTTACTTTCTTTTGTGCAAGTCCTTTCTTAGTTTCCAGGTGTGGGAGCTTTGCCTGCATTGTTACTTTGATTCAGAAGTCATCAAAAAATTTTTAAAAAGAGTTTCAATCCAGCAGTTAATAGATGGAATATGAATAAGAAACCAGCAAGGATTGTTTTTATTTTGTTTTATTTTATTTTTTCCTACTTTCATAAAGCTAAGTGAAACACTTCAGATTTAAGAAATTCTCCTCTTTCCTGGAGCAAAATTAAGCTCTAAAGTTCAGAGGCAAGTAGAAAATCAAGCATCACTTCCCCTCTGACTACAAGCAAAAGAAAACAAACCTTGCAGCCAGGATAGCAGGAATCTGGCTGGGTAAAACCGCATCAAAGCTGCTCTGTAGATCAACCAGCGATGCATCTCAAGTGGTAATCTGGGAGCATGCCACCACCATAACGCTTTCAACCCTAGTAAGCAAATACCCACTTCTAAGATGAAATCTGTCTTCTTTGAGTAACCCTCAGAGCCCATAATGTTGTCAAACCAAAAAGAAAGCATCTTTTCTCATCCTATTCCCATTATAAATTAGACATGTTTTGTAAATAAATACTGCTTAACATTGCCTAGTTTCTAACCCATGCAAAAGTTTTATAGGTTCTAAAGTTATGTGCATTCTGAGATAGGTATACTAATGCAATACCTAAACTTGTTTTTACTAACCTTGCTTTTACTAACCTTGTTTTTAGACTCTCCCTTTCTCCCTTAATCACCTAGCCTTGTTTCCATGTGAATATGCTCTCCCTTAGCTATGAAAGCCAGACGAACTCCATTTGGCTCCTTCATTTACAAGATATCAAGGACTCCTTACCCACCCCCTTTCCTCAAGGAGTTAACTTGTGTAAGCTGATTGTCTACGCATCAAAGAGTCCAATTAACTGAAGCAAGCAATGCACAAAGCAAGGTACTGAAGCAAGCAATGTACAAAGTTCCCAGGATTTCACTCAAGAGATAACACCATAAAGCCTTGAGTTTGTGTTCAGCAGAGCCACCATACCTGACATCTTATAATATATTTAGAGCCCCTGCACCTGGAACTGTTTATTTCTCTGTAACCATTTGTCTTTTTAATTTTTTGCATGTTTTTACTTCTGTAGAATTGTTGCAACTGAGCCCCCTTCCCCTTCCTAAACCAAGGTATAAAGGAAAATCAAGCCCCTTCCTCGGGGCCGAGAGAATTCTGAGCGTTATCCGCCTCTCGGCTGCCGGCTAAATAAAGGACCCTTAAATTCATTTCAAAGTGTGACATTCCTCTAACTCGCTTGGGTACAACACTAATGGAAAATGTATCATGATATGCTGTATACCTTTTCAAAGGTAAAATAAATATATAATTGCAGAACCATATATTAATCTTTCAGAGGTATACAGAGAAATGCAGAGGCATGCAATTAAACCTATGATGAATATAAATAAATGAGAAAAAGGAAGAAAAATCACAGACTGTAGTGATATAATAAGAGTCATAGTTGTTTTCTTTTACTTTCATGTTTGTAAAAACGTAGTAATTGTTGGGTACCTGAAAATGTGATACTAATTCCCTTAATTACATGGTACTAAATATTTTCTTCCAAGGTTTTTATAGCCTTTAGTTTAGACAAAATTAAGTTTACCTGATGCAAATCATTTTAAAGGAGAATTTGTTTAGCAAATACTACTTTGTAATTGTAGGAAAAGTTTTTTTAATTATAATTTGTTTACATTGATCAATTTTAAAACTAGTGGAAATTTTGAATAAAGACACTTCCTGTGAAAAAAGAAAACAGCTCAGTGTATATTATATCTAAAATGCTACTAGCTTGCTTCTCCTTCTAAAAGACATAAATCTTAATCATGAGGAATAATTTTCAAATATACTCTTAAGAAGTACAAAAATGGTTTGGGAAAACTGGCTAGCCATATGCAGAAAACTGAAACTGGACTTCTTCCTTGCACCACTTACAAAAGTCCACTCAAGATAGATCAAAGACTTAAATGTTACAACTAGGACCTTTAAAATCCTAGAAGAAAACCTGGTCAATGCTATTCAGGACAAAGGCATGGGCAAAGAATTCATGTCCAAAACACTGAAAGCAACAGCAACAAAAGACAGAATTGACAAACGGGATCTAATTAAACTAAAGAGCTACTGCACAGCCAAAGAAACTGTCATCGGAGTGAACAGCCAACCTACGAAATGGGAGAAAATTTTGCAATCTATTCATCTGACAAAGGGCCGATATCCAGAATCTACAAAGAACTTACACCAATGTACAAGAATAAAACAAATAACCCCATCAAAAAGTGGGCAAAGGATATGAACAGACACTACTCAAAAGAAGACATTTATGCAGCCAGCAGATACATGAAAAAATGCTCATTATCACTGGTCACTAGAAAAATGCAAATCAATCCACAATGAGATATCATCTCTCTCCAGTTAGAATGGCAATCATTAAAATGTCAGGAAACAACAGATCCTGGAGAGCTTGTGGAAAAATAGGAATGCTTTTACGCCGTCAGTGGAAGCGTAAATTAGTCCAACCATTGTCGAAGACAGTGTGGCAATTCCTCAAAGATCTAGAACTGGAAATATCATTTGACCCAGCAACCCCATTACTGGGCATATACCAAAGGATTATAAATCATTCTATGATAAAGACATGTATGTTTATTGTGGCACTATTCACAATAGAAAGACTTGGACTCCCAAAAAAAAGGTGAAGAAAGGAACCGCATGGTTAACTCACTGAGTAATCAGTAAGTCATTGGTCCGCACTTGAGGTCACAAAGCTCTGGGGGAAGTTGGTTCAAGCTGAGTTTTCATTATAAGACAACAGTTATCAGCACCTCAGAAACAGTATATAAAAGTATTAAAACAGTTGCTTACGGCTAGCGGGGCTTCAGTTTCCCAGGTTCAATTAATGAAATTAATATAAACTTTGGTCATATAATCCATGGTTCCCAGAAGAAGGAATGCTAGACGTAGAACTCTGGGAACAAGTAGGGAGAAATCTTAAACAATGTTATGCACAGGGTCGTCAGGTCCCAGCATCAGCTTTAACATGGCGGGCTTTACTAAGGATGGTTTAGTCCCATTATACACAGAAGAGCCTAAAAATGAGAAGGAGGGAGAAACATCACCTGCCTTATCACCTCCTTTTCCCTCAGTCCCACTATCACCGGGCCAAAATAACAAAGAGTAAATGGAGGGTTTGCCTGAGCCCCGTCTTACTGTAAGTAGAAAAAAAGGCAAGAAACATACTTCAGCTATGGGACCTTGTCTTAAACAAGTGGCATTAGAAGGAGAGCTCTTAGCCTGTCCAGTAATGCAAGACCAACATGGTAATCAAGTACATGAACCCATTTCCTTTCACTCTTATAAACAATGAAGAAAAAGCATTAAAGAAAATGGAGCCACTAGACCATTTACAAAAGGAATGATTGGGGCCTTAGCAGACCAATTCTGTGTGGGCCCATGGGACTGGTCAATGCTAGCTAAAGCAACTCTGGAGCCTAGCCCATTCCTCCTCTGGAAGGCAGGATATGGACGGCTTGTGCAAACAACAAGCCAACCAGAATCAGGCAGCCGGGCAAAATATAATAGCTGATAAGCTCCAAGGGAGGTGTCCTCATGCTGATGTATAAAAACAACTAAATTTTGATCCCCAGGCCTTTGCTGAAGTGTCTGTGTGCTCTCAGAGCTTGGGACCAAATTCCCAAGACCAGAGTTCAGCAGAGGTCTTTTGTAAATGTTTGACAAGGGACTTAGGAGCCATTTGTTGAGTTTATGGATCCGTTAACTCAGGCAATTAAGAGGCAAATTAGTCACACCCAGGCCACTCCTATCTTATTGCTGCAACTGGCTTTTGAAAACGCTAATGTGGATTGCCAGCAGGCAATGGCAGGCAATCAAAGGAAAGGCAAGCACCATCCAGGAGCTCATATAAGTGCCTCACCTGGTAGGAACTGAGACAAACAAGGCCAGAATATTAGCTATGTCATTAAGCCCTCCGAAAGTGAAAAGGGAGAGAAACCAAAATTGTTTTCTATGTGGAGTGAAAGGTCATGTGAAGAGGCAATGCCCCCCTAGTGATAACCGAGCTAACTCAGGGAAAGAACCCTCTTCTATATGTTCCGAATGTAGGAAATGGAAACATTAGGCAAATCAATGCAGGTCTAAATTTGATAAAAATGGCAATCTCATAGGAAATCAGTCGAGAAACTTCATGAGGGGCCAGCCCCAAGCCCTGATCCCAACTGGGACAATGCCGACAGCTTTCCTTGGTCAGCTGGAAAGCCCACAGTTCTCTCTCTTAGAGCAGCCACTACTGGGAGTGCATGACTGGACTTTCTCTGCCCTGCCAAATTAGTGCTAAAAGAGGGAGAAAGCCCTAAAATGGTTGAGACTGGGATCTGTGGCCCGCTGCCTCTAGGAACAGCAGGATTAGTCCTTGGGCAGCCTAGCCTATCCAGTAAAGGAATTAATATGCTCTCTGGGGTAATTGATAGTGATGACCAAGATCAGATATTGGTTATAATGGAATATAAAGGTCTGCATATTCTTCCCCCTGGATCAAAAATAGCTTAGTGAAAGACTTTACCATAGTGAGACCCTAATACCCATGGGAAGGAAAGGGGAAAGGGAAGTTTTGGAAGCACAGGAGCTACAGGAATATATTGGAATCAATTAATCACTGATCGGAGACCCATGATTACCTTAAAACTTGGTAATAATAATTTTACTGGCTTATTGGACACAGGGGTTGACATTTCAGTCATTAGTGATCAGAACTGGCCAGAAATTTGGACTTGGATCACTGAGAAATAGAAAATTGTCAGCATCGGGGAAGCACACACAGCCAAACAGAGCACACACCCCTGAACATGCTATGATTCAGAAGGAAGAAAGGCAGTTATACAACCTCTGATCACGCCCATTGTTATACCCAGATGAGTGAGAGAAAACGCCGCACTTTGAGATGAATTATTTAAGCCAGCGGCCAAAGAGATGGCTAATGCTCAAAATTCTCTCAGCCCCGAGGAATGGGCTTGATTAACTTTTATACTTTGGTTTAGGAAGGGGAGGGGAACTCAAATGCAATAATTCTACAGAAGTAAAAACATGCAAGAATCAAAGAAACAAATGGTTACAGAGAGACAAACAATTTAAAAGACAAATGGTTACAAAAAAAGCAGTGTAACCAGGTGTGGGGCTCTAAATCCTTCATTAGAGTTAGATATAGATGTTATGCCAGGCATGGTCTCAAGGCTTTATGTTGTTATTTCTTTGAGTAAAATCCTGGGAACTTCTTACATTGTTTGTTTCAGTACCTTATCAGTTAATTGGGCTCCTTCCATATGCTGAGGATCTGCTTACACAGGTTAACTCCTTGAGGAAGGGGTTGGGTAAGGACCCCTTAATGTCTGGTAAATCAGGAAGCCACATGGAGTTTGTCTGGCTTTCCCAGACAAGAGGAAGTCTTACTTGTATGGGAAAAACAAGGCTGGGTAACTAAGGAGACAAGCAAGGAAAATTTAAAAGTAACGCATTAGAGTAAAAACAAGGTTAGGCACTACACCTATCCCTGTTAATCTCTGGGGATGGGAATTATTAGCGCAATTGTTGGGGGGCGGGGCACACTGCAAACCCCTTTCTAACAATGACCACTGTGGTTATTCCTCCGCTACCTCTGACTTGGCTCTCTCAAGATCCGGTCTGCTTAGAAGAGTGGCCTCTGAAGGTAGAGAAACTACAGAGGATTCATGTGTTAGTTGAGGAGCAGTTAAAGGCTGGACATCTTGAACATTCTACCAGCCCCAGGAATTTGCCTATTTTCATCATTGCCAAAAAGTCTGTGAAATGGAGGCTTTTACATGACTGATGTGCTATTAATGCTAATTTACAGCCCCTGGGACTCCTTCAAAGGGCCTCCCCTCCCCAGCAGCAATCCCTCAAGATTGACCTATAATTGTTATTGACTTAAAAGATTGCTTCTATACCATTTATCCGATGTCCACCCCTGTGTCCAATAAGCCAGTAAAACAGAACAGGAGAGAGAAAAATTTCCATTTACAAAACCAGCTATCAATAATGAAAATCCAGCTTGTCAATTTTATTAGAAAATGCTTCCTCAAAGGATGCTAAATAGTCCTACCATGTGTCAGTTTCATGTAAATCAATCTTTGCTCTCTAGTAGAAAAGAATTTCCTGACTATAAAATTATTCATCCTATGGATGATATTCTACTAGTAGCTCCAAATGGGCCAACACTTTTAAATTTGTTTACTTCTGTCATAAAGAATGCACAGCTGAGAAGTTTAGTCATTGCACCTGGAAAAGTACAAATGTCCAATGCTCTCTCCTTGGAAATAAATTGGATATCTGTTAACCTCCCAGTCAGTAAGACCTCAAAAGGTTAAACTAAATACTAGCAAATTACACACATTAAGTAATTATCAGAAATTACTGGGTGATATTACCTGGCTCCATCCCATTTTAGGAATTCTTACTAATAAACTACAAAACCTTTTTTCTATCTTAAAAGGCAATCCAGCTCTTGATTCTTCCAGATATTTAATCCCTGCAGCAACAAGAGAAATTGAGGAAATGGAGCTAGCCATCTCTCAGAGGCAGCTAGATCATATTGATCTATGATATTCAATTCAGTTGTTTGTATTTCCCAACAAACACTCCCCTACAGGGTTACTAGGACAAATGACCCCTGGGCTACATTTCCTAAAATGGGTTTTTTGTTCACATACTGGAAGTAAAACACTGTCTCTCTATATTCACTTAATTACTAAAGTCATCTATTCAGGTTGCAAACATTGCAGTCAGTTACTAGGTTATGACCCTGATGTCATCAGGATTCCTTTAAGTAAAAAGCAATTTGAAGCAGTATTACCTTTGGCAATAGACCTGCAAATAGCTTTCTCTGATTACACAGGGCAAATAGAGCACATCCTCCCTACTGATGAAGTCCTTCATTTCTTATCTCACACTCTGATAATAATGCCTATAAAAATAATTTACACCCCCATGCCTAATCCTTTAACACTGTTTACTGAGGGGTCTGCTAAACATGGAAAAGTGGCAGTCTGGAGGAGACCACACTATTCAATCACTTGAACTGGGTTTACTAGCATGCAGAGAGCTGCAACTGGGGCTCTGAGTTTGGTTGGCCTTAGAAACTTTTTCCACTCAGCCCATAAATATAGTTAGGTGATTCTGCATACTCTGTTTATTTGTTACAAAACTTTGAAACAGCACTGATTAAGTCCACTCTGGAGCCAGCTCTGTTTACTCTTTTTCTCTGACTTAAACAATTCTAGACTAATGTTCACATCCTATTTTTACTACACACATTCGAGCCCACAGCCCACTCCCTGGCCCATTGGCTTATGGCAACGAACAAGCAGACCTTCAGGTTATGACATCACTGCTAGACCAAGCCACCCAATCACATCAATTTTTCCACCAAAATTGGAGAAATTTATCTAAACCATTTTCAACTTACCCAGAGGCTAGCTAAACAAATTATCCTACAATGCCCAGATTTCCAGCGCACAGGCACGCCCCCTCCTTCTACAGGTGTGAACCCTACAGGATTCGAACCTAATCAGTTGTGGCAAACAGATGTTACAGACATCCCTGAATTTGGGAAACTAAGATATGTGCATATATCCATTGATACCAACAGTCATTTAATCAGTGCACATGCTTTGCCTGGAGAGCCTACTCAATATGTCATTAAACATCTTCTTTTAACTTTTGCATTTATGGGATGACCCACAAAAATGAACACTTTTAATGGTCCAGCTTATACCAGCTCACGATTTCAACAATTTTGTCACAGGTGGAAACTCCAACATTCCACAGGCATCCCATATAACCCCCAAGGATAGGCAATAGTAGAACACAGACACTTCACCCTTAAAAATGTGCACTAATAACAGAGACAGGGTAATATAAGTAAGCACGCTGCAACACTACTGGCACAGGCCTTATTTACCCTTAATGTTTTAAATTCAGATGACAAATTTCAATCAGTTGTAGAAAAGCACTTTGCTAAAACCTCTCAAGGCATAAAACCTGCAGTTTTATGGAAAGATGTAAACAGTAATGAATGGTGTTGAGAGGTGAGAGCGTGCTGGCAGTCCTCAGAGCCCTCGCTTGCTCTCGGCACCTCCCCTGCCTGGGCTCCCACTTTGGTGGCATTTGAGGAGCCCTTCAGTCCCCCACTTCACTGTGGGAGTCCCTTTCCAGGCTGGCCAAGGCCGGAGCCCACTACCTCAGCTTGCAGGGAGGTGTGGAGGGAGACGCACGAGCGGGAACCGGGGCTGTGTGCCGTGCTTGCGGGCCAGCTGGGGTTCCGGGTGGGCGTGGGCTTGGTGGGCCCCACACTCGGAGCAGCCGGCCAGCCCTGCTGGCCCCAGGCAATGGGGGACTTAGCACCCGAGCCAGTGGCTGCGGAGGGTGTACTGAGTGCCCCAGCCGGGCTGGCTCACCGGCACTGCGCTTGATTTCTCGCCGGGCCTTACCTGCCTTCCCATGGGGCAGGGCTCGGGACCTGCAGCCCGCCATGCCTGAGCCTCCCACCCACTCCATGGGCTCCTGTGCGGCCCGAGCCTCCCCGATGAGCACCACCCCCTGCTCCACGGCACCCAGTCCCATCGACCACCCAAGGGCTGAGGAATGTGAGCGCACGGCGCAGGACTGGCAGGCAGCTCCACCTGCAGCCCCGGTGTGGGATCCACTAGGTGAAGCCAGCTGGGCTCCTGAGTCTGGTGGGGACATGGAGAGCCTTTATATCTAGCTCAGGGATTGTAAATACACCAATCAGCACCCTGTGTTTAGCTCAAGGTTTGTGAGTGCACCAATCAACACTCTGTATCTAGCTGCTCTGGTGAGGACGTGGAGAACCTTTATGTCTAGCTCAGGGATTGTAAATACACCAATCGGCACTCTGTATCTAGCTCTAGGATTGTAAATACACCAGTCAGCACCCTGTGTTTAGCTCAAGGTTTGTGAGTGCACCAGTCAACACTCTGTATCTAGCTGCTCTGGTGGGGCCTTGGAGAACCTGTGTGACAAAACTCTGTATCTAACTAATCTGATGGGGACGTGGAGAACCTTTGTATCTAGCTCAGGGATTGTAAAGGCACCAATCAGCACCCTGACAAAACAGGCCACTCGGCTCTACCAATCAGCAGGATGTGGGTGGGGCCAGATAAGAGAATAAAAGCAGGCTGCCTCCGGAGCCAGCATTGGCAACCTGCTCGGGTCCCCTTCCACACTGTGGAAGCTTTGTTCTTTCGCTCTTTGCAATAAATCTTGTTACTGCTCACTCTTTGTGTCCACGCTGCTTTTATGAGCTGTAACACTCACTGCGAAGATCTACAGCTTCACTCCTGAGCCTGGCAAGACCACGAGCCCACCGGGAGGAACCAACAACTCCAGACGCGCTACCTTAAGAGCTGTAACACTCACCGTGAAGGTCTGCAGCTTCACGCCTGATCCAGCAAGATCACGAACCCACCAGAAGGAAGAAACTCCGAACACATCTGAACATCAGAAGGGACAGACTCCAGACGCGCCACCTTAAGAGCTGCAACACTCACCGCGAGGGTCCGTGGCTTCATTCTTGAAGTCAGTGAGACCAAGAACCCACCAATTCTGGACACAGTGTGGTCTTAATGAATTATTAACATGGGGGAGAGGGTAGGCTTGTGTTTACACCCCCTCAAGTCCTCTTTGGATTCCAGCACGAGGCATCAAACCATAACATGGCATGGCTAGGGTCCAATCTAGTACCGGAATTGAAAGAGTTAACCCAGTAAGACCCACAGTTCCAGAGGAGGCTGAACAAATCCTGCTCCAGACACAGGCACCATTTACTCCAGTTATTTTGTTTCTTTCTATGCTATCTATTGTACAATGCGACTCACATAGGGTATTGATCATTTTTATACTCTCGCTTTGCCTGCAAACTGTACCTGCTACACTCTATTGGGCTCATTAAAATATGAGCCCTAAATATGAGCCTAAAATGGCCCACTTTTCTTTCACCCTGTCACCTGGGCAGATAACTCCCTTCCCACTCTGTAACAACATGACTGCTTGGCTAGGACGGATAGATTTACACCAAGTAGGGTCCCTCAATAATAACACACATTTCCCTAAGGTGCCAGATAACACTATATAGCACTACACTATCCTCTCACCGCTTCTAAGTTATAAAGGCTCTAACCCTTACTGTGTAACTGCTCCAAGACAAGTATGGGTACATCATGGCAAAAAAAGTGCCTTAACAGTTTTAGCTACAGATAACCTCAAACTGGGCAATGCAATCCATGCTGCTTTCCCAAATATTCCTTTCCGTACTAAAGAACAGAGCCAAGAAAATAATGGATTTCACTTTAGCTGGGAAGTCTCATAGTCTCTGGTTGGGCAATTAAAACATCTTAGAGTGGAGTCTCCATGGCCAACTGCAGGGCACGCTTACAAATGTCTTTCTGCATCGTAGCATTAACCACAATATTTTATAGCCATGTCTCGTTCCCCTGTAATTTGGGCCGATGGAGGGATGGGATATCCCCAGACCCTGAGTAAACCCCATACCAACCCAAGGCACCTTATGGCACCTGGGACATCTTAGCACCTCTCTTAACACCTGCTATGGGAGATATCATAATTCCAGGCTCAACTACACTATAGCCTTTATTCATACTCACACTGATCAGTGCCTGGTTTGCACTACCCATCCATATGTTTTCCTTACAGGAACTAACATTTCCATTACACCTGGAAATGCCACATTTGTGACCCGGGTGCAGGGACAGGCTTGGTTTGCCTCATGTATCACTGGTCATGATATGTCTAGTTTAAAAACTTCCAGTGTCGTGGTATTAAGGAGACAATCTGAGGCACTTCTACCAGCCAATTTGACATGCAATTGGCAAGACTCTTCTGCCCTTGCCACCTTAGAAAGTGCCCTGTCCCAGGTCAGACACAAAAGATTCACATTTACACTTATGGTCTTTACAGGCTCAGCCATAGTCATTATGGCAACTGTTAGCATTGCTGTTGTATCTATTACTGAATCAGTACAAACAACTGCTTTTGTAGATAATCTGGCCAAAAATATATGTGATGAACTTCTCCTACAGTAAGGAAAGAGTATGCGGGAGAGCCACAAGATGCACTAGCATTCTGTCAACAGTGAAAATGTGAATGGCAACATAAACATACCTGTGTCACTTCTCTACCATGGAACCAATTAATGTATAGCTAGGGTGAGGTGAAACAACACCTCTGGGGAACCTTTTATAACAGTTTAACTGCAGACATGAAGCAAGTTAAAACTAAAATTTTAAAATCTGTTCACACCACAGATCTGCACACCCAACAGCCATGTGGAAGGGAGTACAAGATCATCTCTCCTACTTGGACCCTAACTCCTGGGGGATACTCTTTGACTGGAAAAGATTTTTGCTAATTATGCTCATGTTTGTCTTATGTTATTTGCTAATCCTAGGATGCAAAGTCTAAATAAGAGCAGTGACTGCCTCATCTGAAAATCCTGTGGCTGCACATATCTGTGCTCTGCAATCAAAAAACCCTAATAAAGAAAACAAAAATGGGGAAATGTTGGGATTCACTCAGGATGGTGGCAGAAATAGTAAAGGGAAATATTAGGGGAAGTTCTAGGGAATAGTCACAAACCTTTCGTAAGGCCAAAAGGTTACCCAGCTTGTAATAATTGAACAGATTGAAGGCAGCTAGTTCTTACCTTGGAACATTATGACATAGGGTAAATACAAGGGACAATTGAGGCTTCCCCAGTTAAGTCTGTTTATCCTACCTCCATTAACTAACCTTTGTACCAAATGGCCCTCTCAGGGGGAGGTGGACCAAGGATATTGTCCCCTAATGGTATTCACTTAGACTACAGTACCTGAGCTTTAATCATTCATAGAACTACTGTCTTAACCAAGTTCATTATCCTCAAGTGTAATTACTCAAAGCTTCTGTTGGTAATTGTATACTAAATAAATGCCTGGAGTGCTAGCTGCTCAGGGTCTGCTGCAGTGACAAACCTGTCTTGGTGTGCAGGCAGTCAGACACAGCAGGACTAGCAAAACAGAATACCTGTGTGTCAGTGTACATTTTATTCATCTGTTGTTTGGGCCAGGGTCTGCAGGCAGACGCCCACAGCTAATGCCCTCTTGTGAGAGGCAACACCTGTTAGAAAACTCAAACTACTGGTAGTTCTAGTCAGGGTAGTGGAGTTTGAGTCCTACTAAGATAGAGAGAGTAGACAAAAACCTTTGGCTTCCTATTGAAATTGCAGAAAGGATACACTTTAGGAAGAAAATCTGGATGCTAAGAATAAAGAGTTCACAATGAGAATAAGGATAAAATCCAAACAGTCTCATCCCAGTAAAGAATAAGACAAAGGTTCTACAACATCAATATCACTAGCCAACAATTTCTGATAGAGCAAATGCCAACCTTCTTCAGAGAAAGAAAACAAATCCCTTATCTAAACATGCAACTGCAGTTCACAGAAAAATGTTATTACATGTATAAAGAAACAGGAGCATATTGACATAGGAGAGATAAATAAGAAATCAGACTCTTGCATGACCCAAATGTTGGAATTCACACACAAGGGCCTTAAAACATTTCTTAAAATTGTGTTCAAGGACTTAAAAGAAAAGATAAAAAGGCTGTATCAGCAGAGATAATTCAATATCTGAGAAATTTCAAAAGTAGATGTTTTTAGTAAGACTTGGAGAAGGCAATAAGGTCAGTGTTCAAGAATGTGGTGGGCAGTATGACTTCTAGATGCTAGAAAAAAAAAAAAGGGAATGGACTCTCTCGTAGAGACTCTAGAAGAAATGCAGCCATGCCTACACTTTGATTATAGTTTGCTGAACCCATTTCACAATTCTGATGTCCAGAGCTGTGAGAAAATAAAGCGTAATCTAAGACCTGAAAAGAAGAAAGTGTCAGCTCTGAGAAGACTAACAGAAAACAGTATGGGAAAAAGCAAAGGGAGAAAGCTCTGAACCAAGACAGAACTTGAAAATATGGGCAACTTGAATAAAATACTATTTACTCTGGAATAAGGGGTGGGCCTGAGATATGAGGCTAGAGCACTGGACATGAGCCTCATCTTGGATGCTGGTAAAGCGAGTAGTTTCTTTCTGCGACATATCCTCCACAAACATCCCTTAAGAAGAATGACTTAATATAAGATATATATTTTTAAAAGGGAATATTACAGAGAATAAATATAAGAAGGCAAAAGTAAGAAAGTGTTAATTTTAGGGAAGCTATTGCAGTAGATGAAGCAAAATATAATGGTGGCTTGGATTTACAGTGGATATTGAGAGCAGAATATAGTCTGACTGGGAATATTCTGAAACTAAGTTTAGCAGACTTAATTATGGATTTGATGTAAAGTTTTAAGGAAGGAAGAAATTGAGGATAAATCTTTGGTGTTTTGTCTTGAGTGGTTGATAGTGGCGTTTGGATATTTAGCAGTGCATGCCACTATTAGTAAAAGACTCAGTTGGAAACAGATGCTGCTACTGCCTGAATGCAAAGCTCTTGTTTTTTACTACAGTAAGCTGAAAAATCATCCCTACTTGGTCCCAGGTTTTCTCTACAAAAAAAAAAAAAAAAAAAAAAAAAAAGTTGTGAAACTGGTACGATTTTTCTCACCTTTGTGATTCTCTGAGATATATGGCTTTTACTCAATTCCTTGGTCTGCACATCAAAAAACATGAACTGAATTAATCTATATCCAATTTGTTACACAAATTTATTCATCTGAAAAATTCAACATTTACACACACATTTACATACACACAGTCAAGAAATAATGAGATAAATTGGAAAGTATATGAATTGGAACCACAAATAGAATAGTTTTTGAGTCGTGGCACTAGCACTTTCTGATATGTGTCATTATATATGTCATTTAACCTTTATGAAACTCAATTTTTTATAAGTAAAAACATATATTAATACTCACAATATTGTTGTAAGCATACCAATGAAATTACTTTTTACTGTAAAATTAAAAACTAGAAGTGCTTGTTGGTTTCTCAGTGCTCTTACAAAAAATTAATCATTGTAACATTTGAAAATAAGTAGATGTGTGGAAAATAAATTAATAAACTTCTTTTCTTCTTCCAATTTCAAATATAAGCACCAACAGCAGTTTGGCAATAATTTTCACGAAGTTAATTTTGCATATAAAACATTTGCAAAGATTATGTTCATGTTTATGAAAGTGAAACTGCTATACATACATCCATGTACACACACAATACATGCATATTGTATAATTCGCTTTTGCTAAAATATATATTTTAGATTTTCTTCCAAAGGAACACATATATCAATCTTATTTGCATTAATAGTTACATAATAATCAATATTATATTTATACCAAGGTTTCAATGGATGTACCATTTAATCTTTCTAATTTTGAGAAAAATTCTATAATTCCAAATCTTTAGTATTAATAACAATGATACAATAAACATGATGGCATATTTATCTTTTAATCCTGGTAATTTTATTTGTATTTAATAAGTGGTACAAAATGTGAAAACTGGGCCAAGTGCTGTAAGTACCATGTATTGAAATTATTTAAATACTAAATTTATGTAATATTAAATAAAATTATAACTATTTAAATACCAAATTACTTTCCGAAAACCTTGTAGTAATCACATTCCTTCTAGAACCTACAATTTCATCAACAGTGGATGCTACTATTAGTTTTTATTTTTGTAAACTAATGAATGTATTATCTATTATCTTAACTTCATTTTTTTTAATTTGAGAACTAGAAATTCTGTTTTATTGTTACCGATCTCTAGAGTGTTGGTTGTTGTTTTTTTTTTTCTAGCCAGAAACGTCTGTGGCTGTGACTCCTTTGTCCAAGATCTTGTCCAGTGTCAGGAAGAATGAGGTAGAATGAGGTAGCAGAGAAGTGAATGTTGAACAAGAAGAAACATTTTGTTCAGTGTTAGTACAGTTCAAAGGAACGGTTTGCTCCTCTCTGTAGGCAGGCTTTCCAGTTGAGTGTTCAGCTCTTAGCAGAGAGGAGGCCCTGGAGAGTGTGACTCTTCTCCATGGCAAAGTCATTCAGAGGTCTCTGCAGGCCTCTGAAGCTCATGTAGCCTGACTTTTGACAGTTGGCAGATACTTCATTCCAAGGAGTTAGGCCAGTGAGGCCAAATCTTTGATTTGAATTAGCACATAGAAACTAGCTCACTTTTTTTTTTTTTTTTTTTTTTTTTTTAAGACGGATTCTCGCTCTGTTACCCAGGCTGGAGGGTATTGGCACAATCTGGGCTCACTGCAAGCTCCACCTCCCGGGTTCATGCCACTCTCCTGCCTCAGCCTCCTGAGTAGCTGGGAGGCTGGCTCACTTTAATGCTCATGACAAATTTGTTCGCACTTTCTATTTCTTAGATTATGTAAAATGTTTATTGAAATCAGTTGGAAATTGGGATGTTATTAGATTCCTTCTCTGTTGGACTTTCTCACAGGAGTAAAGTATGACAGCACATTTCTTTCTTTCAGTTGAAACAAGAGTACCGGCCTGGCGCGATGGCTTATGCCTGTAATCTCAGAAATTTGGGAGGTCAAGGTGTGTGGATCACCTGAGGTAAGGAGTTCCAGCCCCCTCGTGGCCAACGTGGCAAAAAACCATCTCTACCAAAAATACAAAAATTAGCTGAATGTGGTGGCATGAACCTGGATTTCTAGTTGCTCTGGAGGCTGAGGGAGGAGAATCACTTGAACCTGGGAGGCAGTGGTTGTAGTGAGCCAAAATCATGCCCCTGCAGTCCAGACTGGGCAACAGAGTGAAACTCAATCTCAAAAAAAAAAAAAAAAAAAAAAAAAAAATCCAAACAATAGAAAAAGAGGGACTCCTCCCTAATTTACTTCATGAGGTCAGCACCACCCTGATACCAAAACCTGGCAGAGACACAAGAAAAAAGAAAAGTTCAGGCCAATATCCCAGATGAATATCGATGCAAAAATTCTCAATAAAATACTGACAAAACGAATCCAGCAGCACATCAAAAAGCTTATCCACCACAATCAAGTCAGCTTCATCCCTGGGATGCAAGGCTGGTTCAATATAGGCAAATGAATAAACATAATTCATCAAATCAACAGAAGCAATGACAAAAACCACATAAATATGTCAATAGACTCAACACGTCTTCATGCTAAAAATTCTCAGTAAACTAGGTCTTGATGGAAAGTATCTCCAAATAGTAAGAGCTATTTATCACAAACCCACAGCCAATATCATACTGAATAGGCAAATACTGGAAGCATTCCATTTTACAACCTGCAAAAGAAAAGGAAGCCCCCTCTCACCACTCTTATTCAACATAGTATTGGAAGTTCTGGTGAGGGCAATCAGAGGAAAGAAATAAAGCGCATTCTAACAGTAAGAGAGGAAGTCAAATTATCTCTGTTTGCAGATAACATGATTGCATATTTAGAAAACCCCATCGTCTAAGCCCACAATCTCCTTAAGCTGAGAAGCAACGTCAACAAACTCTCAGAGTACAAAATCAATGTGCAAAAATCACAAACATTCCTATACCCAAATAATAGAGGGCCAAATGGTGAGTGAACTCCCATTCACAATTGCCACCAAGAGAAGAAAATCCCTACAAATACAACTTACAAGGGATGTGAAGGACCTCTTCAAGAAGGACTACAAACCACCACTCCAAGAAATAAGAGAGAACACACACACATGGAAAAACATTCCATGCTCATGGATAGGAAGAATCAATATTGTCAAAATGTCCATACTGCCATAGTAATTTATAGATTCAAAGCTATCCCCATCAAGCTACTGTTGGCTTTCTTCACAGAATTAGAAAAACTACTTTAAATTTCCCATGGAACCAAAAAAGAGCCCACATAGCCATGACAATCCTAAGCAAAAAGAACAAAGCTGGAGGCATCATGGTAACTCAATTTAAACTATACTACAAGGCTGCAGTAACCAAAACAGCATGGTACTCGTACCAAACATATACATATATACCAATGCAACAGATCAGAGACCTCGGAAATAACACCACAAATATCTAATATCTACAAATATCTGATCTTCGACAAACCTGATGAAACAAATCAATGTGGAGAGGATTCCCTATTTAATAAATGTGGGAAAACTGGCTAGTCATATGCAGAAAATTGTAACAACCCCTTCCTTACACCTTATACAAAAATTAACTCAAGATGGATTAGACTTAAACATAAGACCTAAAACCATAAAAACCCCCGAAGAAAATCAAGGCAATACCATTCAGGACACAGGCATGGGCAAAAACTTTATTACTAGATCACCAAAAGCAATGGCAACAAAAGACAAATTTGACAAATGAGATCTAATTAAATAAAAGATCTTCTGCACAGCAAAAGCAACTATCATCAGATTGAACAGGCAACCTGCAGAATGGGAGAACATTTTTGCAATATATCCATCTGACAAAGAACTAATACCCAGGATCTACAAAAAACTTAAACAAATTTGTGAGAAAAAAAAAAAACTCATCAAAAAGTGAGGGAAGGATATGAACAGACGCTAGTCAAAAGAAGACACTTATGCAGCCAACAATCATGGGAAGAAAAGCTAATCATCACTGATCATTAGAGTAATGCAAATCAAAACCACAATGAGATACCATCTCATGCCAGTTAGAATGGTGATCACTAAAAAGTCAGGAAACAACAGATGCTGGAAAGGATGTGGAGAAATAGGAATGCTTTTTCACTGTTGATAGGAGTGTAAATTAGTTCAACCATTGTGGAAGACAGTGTGTCAATTCCTCAATGATGTAGAAGTAGAAATACCATTTGACCCAGCAATCCCATTACTGGGTAGATACCCAAAGGATTATAAATCATTCTATTATAAAGACACATGCACATGTATTTTATTATGGCACTGTTCACAATAGCAAAGACTTGCAACCAACAAAAATGCCCATCAATTTTAGACTGGATGAAGAAAATATGGCATATATACACCATGGAATACTGTGCAGTCATAAAAATGATGAGTTTATGTCCTTTGCAGGGACATGGATGAAGCTGGAAACCAACATTCTCAGCAAAATAACACAAGAACAGAAAACCAAACACCACATGTTCTCACTCATAAGTGGGAGTTGAACAATGAGAACATACGGATACAGGGAGGGGAACATTACATACTGGGGCCTGTTGGTGGCAGGGTATAGGGGAGGGATAGCATTAGGAAAAATGCCTAATGTAGATGATGGGATGATGGGTGCAGCAAGCCATCATGACAGGTGTATACCTATGTAACAAACCTGCATGTTTTGCACATGTGCCCCAGAACTTAAAGTATAATAATAATTTTTTAAAAAGAACCTTTTTGAGAAAATTAAACTTTGAGAATTGTTGCCTTATTTGTGGTTTTGGCTTCTGAATAATATCTAAATGTAATCTCATTACACTTTTTTCAAGTGTTTGGTATTGGAGATAATGCTTGTCTTTAGGATTGAGAGTGGAGACTCCCAATTTATGATCAAATAATTTAGCATTATGCATTTGGGACATATCATATCCATTTTAGGATGAGAAGACGCTGTTGCTGAGGACTTACTGTTTAAAGTCACAAGAAGGAGCAGACACAAAATGCAGAAGTGAGTTTTCTGGATGCATATGTATATGTGGACCCATAAAGTGTTATGTCTTTTGTTCAACAAAATTTTATTTGGCTTACATATCCTGTTTAGTGTTGTGGATACAATAAGGTTGAGGAGTCACTCCTTTACTCAAAGACTTACAGTAAAATGGGAAAAGTGGAGGTCATCCCCCATTTCATTTCTCTATAACAGTAAAGAAAATTTCAAAAATAAATTTCTAAAAATATGGAATTTATATTCTTATGCAAATTGTGTAATATATAGATTTAAATGTAATTACAAGATGTTTTACCAAAACTACATGATTGAGATAAATTAAAAATTATTTAATAATAGGAGAAATATAACATGTTCACAGATTAAAAGCAATATTTTTAAGATTTAAAATTTTCCTAAATTTACCTATAGATTCAATACACTCTCAACCAACATCTCCCCATTTGCCTGTATTATTAGTAAAGTTCATCTCATACATGAGATACCATCTTGGATAAGAAAAGAAAGAAGTGAAATGAGAAAACTCAGCATTTGAGTGTTGTGCTTAAGTGACTATTTTTGTTATTGCATTGAACTAAGACAACTTGATTTCTTTTTTATTTTTAATTTTTTGTTAATACACAGTCATTGTTATGTATTTACTTGATTTATTGAATACAATTTTTCCCTATCTTGAGGTTCGAGATGCTCAGGAGGAACATCAGGTAACTTGAAGACATAATAAAGAAGTTAACGATTTATTTATACCTCTGAGTATAATGCAGATACATGTAAGACTTCATATAAAGTTCTTAAAACATAGATCTAATTTGCTTATAAAAAGTTGCACCATTTTTAATCTTTTTAATATCAGTGCTCAATTCATCATCATTCTTCATTTTGGGTATTTCTATTATAAAATTTTATTGACTTTAATTTGGGCATGGAAACACTAGAACAATATCATAAATTATATGTCATCATGCATTCCACTATCTCATGAGAAATCGTTAGAAATGAAGTGCAGTGCATAAACAAATTTATTTAATATGTTATTTTCATTTATTTAAGTGTTTAGATCCAGATTAAAATTGATGAATATAAGCAAGAATCCAAGACAAGAATGCAAAGTTTTGACCAATGGATGAACATTGCTAACATTTTAATCTTTATTATTTTGAGATAAAAATCACGTGTTTTAGATTTGTAACCTCCGTAATTTGTAAACAGTCATGTGTGTGTTGATGTCTGTCTATCATTTATCTATATATGTAACTTAACAATAAAACTATAGATAAAAGAACTGAACTTTATATTATCTTTGCAGTAAGTAATATTTTCCTGGTCATTATAGGCTTTATTAGTCCATTTCATACACTATGATTTCACAGTAATATGCAAAAAATATTTCTTAATAAACTACATTATTAATCAGCTATATACCTGAACACAAAGTTTGAGATAAGGACCAAATATAGCCATTTTTAATAAAATAGTCCAAGGCATCACAATATTCTATGTTCTAATGAGAACCATAGCTACTGTGGATTTAAAATTATTTTTAATTGCAAATATAAAGTATTTTTGAAGCTAATTAACTTCTGTTGTTTCCTAGAGACAAGATATCTTATCCCTTTTGCTTAGCAGGTGTGTCTATATCTTAGAGAAGAATTTAGCTGAGGTTGTGTTTGATTAGATTGATTAAATATGCATTTTACTCCATAAAGACAATTTTTATGTGTATTAGTTGGATACCTATTTCTAAAAACATAGAACTTTTCTTTATTTCATGCTGTTTGCTCCTGTATGCCAGGGATTTCAATAGGGAAACTAGCTGTCTTCTTGAAAATGTGAATATATTCCTAAACATGTTCACTACCTCATCTATGATATTTTGCACCGAGTCAATGCATTGCCCATTTCTTTGTGCACAGATTTTTTTTTTTAAATGGAGTTTCGATCCCATGGTGCAGGCTGGAGTGCACTGGTACAATCTCGGCTCACCACAACCTCCACCTCCCAGGTTCAAGCAACTCTCCTGCCTCAGCCTCCCGAGTAGTTGGGATTACAGGCATGTGCCACCACACCCGGCTAATTTTTCTATTTGTAGTAGAGATGGGGTTTCCCCATTTTGGCCATGCTTTTCTCAAACTCCTGACCTCAGGTGATCCACCTGCCTCGGCCTCCCAAAGTGCTAGGATTACAGGCATGAGCCACCGCACCCAGCCAAAAAAAATTCTGTTTTCACATTTAGCTCATACTGTCCATACAGTTTCTCTTCTTCTTGCCTTCTCTACTCAAGAGTTATGTATCTCTTCATCTTTCTGTAAAAATCATTTTAAATCTTTCTTCTTCATCTCCTATGTCATCTCTTCTCTGATAGAAATAATTGTCTTCTGCTGTATTTAATCTCTTTCTCCATTCAACCTTCATACTACTACTATACCTCTGTATCTCATAGCACCATTCACTTTCTATTTTCTAGCATAGTTAATCAACTTTACAAACATTCCTTGAGGGAGGGATATTTAGTTTATTTATTTTTTTCTCCCACAAAACTAATACAATAGTTTATGTGCAATTGGTGCTCAATAAACACTTAAAATGAGTTATTTATTCAGGAGACAGAACACTAATAAATAAGAAATACTAAATAAATTGTTCAACGAATAAATGAAGTTTACTTTCCCTTTAAGCTTTTTAACCAAAGGTCATGGATATATTCTGAGTTCTTAGTTCGAAATACAAGAATCTAGTCTGATTAGATTAGACAAAATAATAATAATAAAGTACATAATCTCACAGAATCTCTGAAAAGGCTAGAGAGCCCTAGTTCCCTTAACAGGAGCAAAGCCTGAGCATACAGCAGATGCTGATATATGGAAAATACCATCCATCTCTACCAACTGCTCAGCACTCATGAGATGCAAAGCAGGATCACAAGTCTCTGTTAATGTCATCCCTTAGGCTGAACACATTTTAGCTAAATTCTACAGAATTAATGTGTGTATCTTCCTAGCACCCACTGTGAATACCTCTCCTTCAAAAATCTATTGCTTGTGAAAAACCAGGTATGTTTAGCAAGTCATGAAACAACTGTAGTCATTCATTAGTGGTCACAGACTCACATTTAAGCATAACTTTAAAGGTTTCATAGACCTGACACTTATTGTTCTGAATCAACATTGATCTCATGAAGATGAACTGGAGGTTGAAAGCCTGCAATTACCCACCAGCTAGGTACACCATTATTAGCCATGATAAAAATGTGTCTGGGTTTTAATGTCAGGGCATATTGCCCACCTGAGAATGTAATAATCCTGAGAAATGACAGTTCCACTTCCATGTCTTTATAGTTCCCAAAACTCACTCAACCACATCAAGCACATACCAAACTATCCTTGGGTTTCAATGCTGACTTAGCAAACCAGTGGACTGAGAGAAATAACAATTCAAGTTAAAGATGAGTGCGGTGGACATTAAGCAATGTAACTTGTCAATCATAAGATCAGAAAATAGTGTGACAAGGACAACCTCCAGTAGACAGAACCAAAGTATTTGATTTTGACATCACCCATCTTAGAAAAATATCCTGATTTAGTTTCCATGAATATCTGATGTAATTTTACATAGCTTCTCACTGCAGTAAAACAAGTCAGGTAGATATGCTAGTCTTTTCCTTAAAAGTGTAAAGACTGGAAAACTCCAAAAAACCTGAAATACCAAAGCCTGAGCATGGTGGAACTGGCATGGGGGGTAAATCATTTAATTACTATTGAGCCTCAGGTTCCGCAACTCCTTTTTAATCCTCAAATCTTTTAGACACTATTTTTTTTCATAAAATCATACACTTCATAAGAATTATTCAAAATTTTTGGCTACATTATATACCAGCTTTGCCTGAAGTCAGATATAACCATGTGGTAAATTTTTGTCTGGTGCAATATATCAGAAAATGTTTGTGCCACTTCTGGGCTGTCCCTTTCAAAGGAGGAAACGGTCATTCCATTGTCCTTATAAATCATCTGGCTAACCAGAATGCGGTCATGACTGCAGGAGTTGGAACAGCCTTCTTGCACCATAAGATGCCTGTTGAGGATAACAGAACAACAAAATAGAGGGAATGTAGGTTTCTGAAAACTTTGAGGGTTTGAGTTACCACATCAGCTTAGAATTGCATAGAAGAGAAAAATTAACATCTGTCTCATTTAAAACTACAATGATATTTTAATAAAACACAACTCATTGATTCCACTGTTGCTACTATCCATAACACTATTGTGTGGGCAACCTTTACTACAGAATCAAATAAAGTTATCATGACAGGTTATCAGAAACCAGCTGAATCAGTATCTTGCCATCCCCATCTCATATTTGTCAACTTGGATGACAAACAGATAAATACTAGAATTTAAAATAAATCTCAAATTAAAATTTAACACAGTTTCATCTGAACCATGCCTAGGTTTTGGTTTTTGCTTTAATTCTCCATTCAGCAGTAAAAGAAAAGGGAATATTTCAATAATTATTATACAATTTATTATCTATATTACTTATTCTAATAATTTAATTTTAAAATAATTTAAGAACATGCATATTTATAAAATTATTAACTTTAAAACTTTGGTTTAACAAAAATATGTATTCTATGATATAGTTTTTGCTTAGAAATATACATTTATGTATTCATGCATATTGGTATAAATGTGTCAATGTATATCAAAGAAAACTCATGGAAGCTTACATAAGGACTTCTCAGTTACGCCCTCTAGGAGAGCAAATAAAGATGATAGGTGAATAACTTTTATTTTTTATTATATACTCATGTATTAATTAAACTTTTCAATGAGCATTGGTCTTTATCAGCAGCATGAAAAGAGTCTAATACAGTAAATTGTTACAAGGAGTGGGGAGCTGCTGAAAAGATACCTGAAAATGTGGAAGAGACTTTGAAACTGGGTAACAGGCAGATATTGGAACAGTTTGGAGGGCTCAGAAAAAGAGAGAAAATGTGGGAAAGTTTGGAACTTCCTAGAGACTTGTTGAATGGCTTCAACAAAAATACTGATAGTGATATGAACAATAGGTCCAGGCTCAGGTGGTCTCAGATGGAGAGGAGAAACTTGTTGGGAACTGCACCAAAGGTGACTCTTGCTATGCTTGAGCAAAGAGAATGGTATCATTTTGCCCCTGCCCGGCAGATGTGTGAAACTTTGAACTTGAGAGAGATGATACAGGAGAGCAGTCTCAGGGGGTATGCCTGCAGCTGCAGGAAGATATATGGGAACAGACACACAACTCTCTCTCCCAGATAAGCACAACAAAGAGACACAGAAACAGTCCAAGTCTCTGGTATACTCTTCCACCCTGAATCCTGAGAAACTCTTAGTGTGTAAGAGACTGTCTCTTGAACTAACTCGGCCAGAAAACACTCTCAGGTTTGTTTTCTTTAAAATCAGCCTGTCCTTGACTGCCAAGCCACCTTTTGTTTTTCTTTCCTCTTCCTTCATTTCTTACATTTGGTGCCAAAACCTGTGACTGGTGTTGGGAGAAGAGGCTGTCTTGCAACCCAGGAAGCAGTGGGCAATGGCAGCTCATCCTGAGTTAACTCCTGTATCCTAAAAGCCTCTGGCCACACGCCCAATCTTATCTCTCACTTCACTTTTCAAGTAATTTGTGTGAGCAGGACAACTAACTTGAAGGGGCTGTGAGGCTCAGGCTGAGGCTACTCCCCATGGGCTCTAAAACACTCAGGTCTCGGGAATCCACCTCTGACCACCTGCATTGGGTATTTTGCTCGCTAACCCTCCCTTGCCCCCTCTTTCTCCATCTTCTCTCTCTCTCTCTCTCTCTCTCTCTCTCTCTCTCTCTCTCTCTCTTCCTCAAATGGCTACAGTATGGGAGGCCCTTTGCCAATTCCAGCCAGAACATCCAACATCAGATACTATTTCAGATGACCGGTGAGATCTGCCTTCTCCTGGCTTTCTCTCTGTACCTGGCCTGCTGTCCAGGTCCTGGGAGGTCCAATCGGACTAATGGGGCTGGGCTAGAGGAAATATTGGTACACAGCTCCTTCTCAGGTTAACGGTCCTCTTTTGGAAAGAGGATTCTGGGTCTCTGTCTTTTATCTGGGGATGCCTAGAACAAAACAGACACCACCAGCTTCCTCTTAGCAGTCCACATGGGTGCCAAACAATTTCACGTCCCTACATCCTTCCCACTGGACTGCAGTATTAGCAACCAAGGCAAACTTGGCTTATGGCAGACCTTAATGCCAAAGCATTTAATTTTCTCCTGCAACATGGCCTTAACAACTTTACTACCAGAAATGGCAAATGACAAGAGATGTCCCCATATTCAGGCTTTCTTCTATCATCAATCCCACCCCTCCTCCTCCTCTACCTGTTCAAAAACTACTCTAACTGGTTAAACCTTCTCTGCCATTCTCCCTCTCTGGAAAGTGGCTAGGGTTAAAGGCAGTCCTTGCATTCATGCCCCCTTCTCCATGTCTAATTTGTGGCAAATTGAACAGCTTCTGGAACTTTTCTCGAAAAATCACTCTCATTATTGCAGGAAATTCCTGCACATAACCCAGTCTCTTAACTTGGCAGAACATTTACATAATTCTAATCTCCACCCTTACCTTTAATAAAAAACAGTGCTCAGCTTAATTAAAATGGATATCAAAGCTATAAGTATATTCAAAAGGGTTTTATGTTTTTCTCTTCATAAATCTTGTTTTCCTGAAAAAAGTTTTATCTCAGTCAAAATTACTTCTCTTCACTCTGTCTTGCAACTCTTGCTGCATGCATAAAAGACCCCAGTCTGGTGGCCTAGAACTCCCTAGAAAGATAGAAAACTTGCCAGAAATCCATCTTGAAAAAAATAACTCTTTTCCTTATGGAACCCCTGGAATTAAAGGTGAAGAAGTACCTCTCAAAAATCTTTATTTGTCTTCCAGCTATGCTTGTTTATTAGGCCCTAAAATTTGTTTACCTAGCCCTGCTCTTAAAGGGCCTCACCCAGAGGCCAATAATCTAATCTGGAAATTAGCAAATGGAAATTGTATGACTATTGAATCTTCTTCTGGTTGCCTGTGAGGCTATATATGTCTTACATATGTTATGTCTATTAAAAAGAACTCTAATGAATTAATTGTCCTAAGAAAAGAAAGTGCTTAAATCAAATATTTTTAAGGAAAATGCTAAGCAAAGTAACACTGTGTATACTGCCATTTTACTTTATTCTTCTGTTGAAGCAAAATTGTGAGGTCTCATTATGTGCGTGTGCTTTTGCTAGATGTCCCAGTTGGCTGTGCTGAGATGTACCAGTACTGTTTATGGTGTAAGTTTAAATTCTTAAGTATTTTCTCCTACCATTGTATTCCAAAACACACTAAGCTGTATTGCACAGTTCAAAATTTCGTTACTTAAGGGATCCATCTAGGCATTGTTCTTGGTCTTAAATTGAATAGCAAACACAGGACATGTCTGTTATCAGTATCTTAATTTTCAAAGGCTGTCCTTTGACATTTTAAACCATGACAACAGCTATTCACATTTGATGTTTATAAAAACAACATCTTTATTAATTTTATTATCAAGTATCATAAGCCATGTTTATCAAAATAAGTTTTTTGTTGTTTTTTTTTTTAAGACGGAGTCTGGCTCTGTCGCCTAGGCTGGAGTGCAGTGGCTCGATCTCAGCTCACTGCAAGCTCCGCTCCCTTGGTTCATGCCATTCTCCTGCCTCAGCCTCCGGAGTAGCTGGGAACACAGGCGCCCACCACTACACCCGGCTAATTTTTTTGTGTATTTAGTAGAGACGGGGTTTCACTGTGTTAGCCAGCATGGTCTCCATCTCCTGACCTCGTGATCCACCTGCCTCGGCCTCCCAAACTGCTGAGATTACAGGCGTGAGCCACCGCGCCCAGCCCAAAATAAGTTTATATCAAATCCGGCTTCCAGAAATGGTAGTAGTTAAGCACATCAATTTACCATGTAAATCATTCACTTGTACCAATGGGGAAAATTTATTGTTATTGTGCTTCACAGTGAAAACAAGAATAATCTTTCATTTTTAAAAATTAATTTAGGAAAGATTACATAACTTGGCCCTTTAGTATGTATACAGTAGCACTAGTTTATACACTACTTTTGCCACTGGGGAGTTTCAGTTAAAACATCCCTCAGTCATATAGCTATGGAATGCATCTTCCATTTATAATTTCTGCACTAATAATTAGTTTGGATCAAAGTTATTTTTATATATACTACAAAACAAAAGCAAACTAGTCCACCTTAAATTTTTATGTTTAGAATTTTCTATATGTAAATCATTCAGATTAGTATCTATGTAGGTTCAGTCAAATCCAACCACGGATTTGAGTTATTATACTATATAACCCTGTAAGATACATAGAAATGTTGTTACTTTGCCTTTATAACAGAACCAAAGTGTCTGTTTCAATTTATAAATTCAGCATTTGAGTAACTTTGATTCCCAAAATTAGGAGAAAATAACAAAATAATGAGAAGGAGGAACCAGGCCTTAGTGCCACATATAGTGGTTGTAAGGTAGAGTCTCCTTCTTTCCAGAATGCTTTATTGTATTTTACTTATTATATATATTATATATATAATATAGTATATATAATATACTATAGTATATTATATAGACCTGACTGTCTGTGTCAAAGTATAATTCGCATGCTGAAGTTCTAGCTTAAAGTGGCAAAAGAAAGTTGTCTTCATTAAATATATTCATGACTTTAACAAGATAATAAGGGAACAATATTTAGGATTCAAGCTCAGTAAGAATACTCTTTCAATGAACATGTCCCTAAGATAACCAGAATTAGCAGTTAATTTATGCATCTGGAAAACTTCAGTTCCCACCAGTAAAAATAGTCTGAGTGGCTAGTGCACTTTGAGAAAATTCTGGCATACTAAATAAATAATGTACATGTGGGACCCAGGAGCTGGGTAAGCCTGCCTTTAGACAACTCTGTGACTACAAAAACAAAGCCAGCACTTTTGGAACTGATAAGGCTGTACTTAATCAGTATCATAAAGAGCATTGCACAGCTGAACTTTGCTTCCACTGGTTCAGTGGTTACTTATTTCTACCTAAGCACTCAGTCTTTACTAAAAAAAAAAATAAAATAAAAGATTTATATTTGAGAGCTACTTCACTTAAATTACAAAATCAGTCAATGTTTTTAGTTCCAAGTTACAGTAAAGAAAAAAATGCATTGTTCCCTTCAGAGACTTGTCTGGGTGTTTTAGTTATGCATAAGTAATTCTAGCAAAGGAAGGGTAGAAAAGAGATGAAAATTAATTTACATACTTGCTACTTGGGAATAAAGGGCTTTTTGAGGGGGGTTATGGATATTAAATGATTTAATTGTATTCTTATCCCTATCAATACAGGCAGTAGTTTTCTTTGAGTATGCTTAAATAACTGTATTTCTAAAATCTAAGAAGTTCCAATGAGGCAGGAAATTAAAGAAAAATAAAATTAAAAAGAAAGAGAAATAAGTTTTCCTGTATTAGTCTGACTTGTCCCAGAGGCAGCAACAGGCACAGCCCAGACCCAGGAAAAGTCTTGATAATATAATCTAATGTGTACCGCAGACTCTTCCAGCACACCCTCAACGCAGGGAGAAGAAAAACAAATTTTCCTTTGTTTCATGGAATGAGTTTGTAGATTGTTGTTCTCTGTAACTAGTGACTTCAAGTACTCTGTTTTATCTAAGAAGTACAATGAAGGTCATGAGAAACCTGTGTAGGCTTGAACTATAGCTGCGTGGGCACTATAGTGAAGGTTATAGGATAAGCCCGTGCCCAGACAAATCTAGGTAACAGACATCTGGGTTGCCTTGGCAATGGTCATGTGCAATACTGTCTTTGCCCTGCCTCTGTATCCCTGCTTTCATGCCACCATAAGCTTGCTTTAAGCTAGCCCACCCCCTTTCGTGAAGTGTATATAAAAATCAGATTCTGTCTTTGTTCCGGGCCCAGTCTTTTGGACATTGAGTCAGCTGGGCCTAAGTGCACGCAATAAATATTCTCTTGTTTCACCCCGAGGTCTCACTCATCCTTCTGAGTCCTGCAACACCATGTCAATTACTTGACATTCCTGGTCCGCAATACCACAGGCCACTCTTCACATCACGTGCTTGCCTGGATGAAGCTCCTCATTTCAAACAGTGTATATATTTCTGTGTGGTTTATTATAGTAAGGCCAGAACATATGGAAGTAACCATGCCCCTAACTATGCTGGAAGAAGTCAAGCTTCACCTGCATCTAGCACATAATTCAAAAAGAAATGAAAATATGGCCAGGTGCAGCGGCTCATGCTTGTAATCCCAGCACTTTGGGAGCCTGAGGTGGGCAGATCACAAGGTCAAGAAATCAAGACAATCCTGGAAAACATGGTGAAACCTCCTCCCTACTAAAAATACAATAATTAGCTGGGTGTGGTGGCAGGCGTCTGTAATCCAAGCTACTCAGGAGGCTGAGGCAGCAGAATCGCTTGTATCCAAGAAGTGGAGGTTGCAGTGAGCCGAGATCCAGTTACCACACTCTAGCCTGATGAGAGAGCAAGACTCTGTCTCAAAAAGAAAACAAAACAAAACAAAATAAAAAACACGTAATAGGCTTTACATTAAAGTTAAAAATTGCTAAAAATTACCGTTATAACAGGTAATTAAAACTGCTAAACATGGATTTGCATAAAAGTGTATAAAAATGGTAAAAAGTGGTTTTAGTTAAAAATTATAAGGCATAACTATGTATTTTGCTTAAGAATAAAAAAGTTGTCTTAAAGTTAAATAAAATAAAGTCGACTGTTTAAGAAAATTGTGAAAACATTGTAAATTATAATCCTATAAAGAAAACTCTGTGTGTAAACATATTAACTAATCTCGAAAGGGTAGAACGTCTGGAAAAAATGGTAAGCATGATTATTTAACATGTTTAGGTACATAAAATTGCCAAAATAGTGTCTGATAGGTTATATTTTAGGGTATAATATTATAACATGTTCCAAAGCTGTATGCCATGTCTAAGGTTCTAGTGTCTAAATATGTGTTATTAATCACAATTAAAGTTGTTATGCTGGGTTATTGTGAACCACAATGACCAAATTTCTTTGTCAACTATGTTTCTGACTGTATCCAAACTGGACATTTTGGTATTTACAGACAATGGTTACTTTGTTTAAATTCTCTTCAAAAGATGGTTTATTACCAAGCTGTAAAACTTTAACAGTTGCTCTCAAAGGAGGGTTTTCACAACAACAACAACAAACAACAACAGAACTACAGAAGACATGAAAAGCTAAAATGGTTATAAATATCAACCAAAACAAAATGGATTAAAGTAACAAAAAACACAAACAAGTTTTTATCCTTTTGCTTAGAACACTGCTAATCTGTGTCTTATGTTTCAGAGTTAAGAAAACTTGCCTTAAGCTAGCTACAGCCTTTAACAACTAAGTAAAGCATATTTCTGTAAATGGAAATTAAAATTGGTTTGCTTCTCTCTCCCTAGTTCCTCTATAATTTGAAAACTAGTTATAAGTATTCTTAAACTACAGCAATATTGTTGTTTGCATCAGTGCAATAAGAATGTATTTTCTTTTGTAAGAAAACACAGTTGGAAAAGATGGTTATTTTACCAAGGCTTTGACAGGAATGGTATGCTCTCCTTTAGTGAATAAAACTTAACTTATGAAGCCAATAAAGCCCTTGGAAAACTGGTCTCATATTTTGTGTACACAGTCCTTGTATAAGGTTTCTGATCTGTGGTAAGTATAGAATGTCACTTTCTGACAGGCCAGGAAATGCATGTTATCTTAAAACCTCAAGAGGAGAGGAATTCACCCAACTCATAGGTATTTAATGATAGAAATCCATGGCTGGGCTGGGCCTTAAAAAGTCTCATCTCAAATTCCTTCTATAACACAAAATTCCATCAAAGCTGACTTAAAAGTCATGTGTAGCAAATACTTATTTTTGGTGCACTGTATAAAACTAATTAAGCCAAGTATAATAAAGGAAAGCTGTCCTACCATGATTTTTCTTTTAATAAAAATGGGAAATTGAAGAGAGAAAATTATGTTTCAAAAACTATAGCGCACCTGTTGCTAAATTCTAGTCTGCCTAATGTTTTTCAATTTTTATTATTTTCTACAGTTTAAATTATATTCATTACAGAAATCAACTCCTAGATACTACACACTCAAGTCAAAGCTGAAAGAGCTGAGAAAGCAGCTCCTAGCAGCCCATTAAAAACATCCTAAATATCAACGTAAAAAAAAGAAATTTTAAGCTGAAAATAATAAAATATAAGTAATTAAGTGAAAATTACTCATCTTAGTCCCAACGCTACTTTACCAAGTACTTTTTATCAATCCTACCTGTCCTTTAAGCCAGATATTAACTTTTTTTTTTTTTTTTTTTTTTTGAGATGGAGCCTCGCTCTGTCACCCAGGCTGGAGTGCATGTTGTACTATGTGCAGTAGGAATATATACTGTAGTACCCTAAGGGTGAAATATCAAACAAAGAATCTCAATTACTGTAGCATTTTGTTTAATTATTATCATCATAGCAAATCTAACAGTTACTAATAAAACAATAACACATGGGTCTTTCCAAACATGTTCCTCTGCGTGTCATT
Source organism: Homo sapiens (assembly GCF_000001405.40). NCBI lineage: Eukaryota > Metazoa > Chordata > Mammalia > Primates > Hominidae > Homo > Homo sapiens. Next base: position 22,731,594 of record NC_000024.10, read on the forward strand.
GGGAAAGAAATGTTGCTTTTGTCTCAACCAATCAGGCCTAATATGAAACACTGCTGAAAAACCTAGGACTAATGTTCTTACCCTGCCTCAGTAACCTTTTCCAAAACCTTTTAACCAACAGAATCATGGCCATTTCACAGACAGCTACCCAAAAATATCTATGGACAGTGTTGCTCCTGCAGTCCATCCAAGATCAAAAAAACTTTCTGCACCCACCCCTGCATCAGCAGGAAGTAGCCAGAAGGAACATGTTGCCTCTTGTTCTTTTGTAACTAAAGGGTCTGGAATGACAGAACAAGGGCACCATCATCTTGGACAAACACTGCCAACTGAAGATCAGCTTCCTTTCTAACCTCATGCATTTCAAAGAAATCACTTGTCTTCTGACAACTAGCAGCCAGAAAGAGCAGACACTAAAACACAGAAAAGACAGCTGGGGTACAGAGGGAGGTGGAGAGGAAGTCTCTTGGGTAATTGCCAAACTTCACCTTCATAAAGCAGACGTCAGTAAAACAGTGGGCCTTAATAAGCACATTGCTTTCCCTTCAGATGCACTAACATAGGGAAGCTAAAAGCAGTCGCTGGGGGTATGTCTGCAGCTTCAGGAATATATCTGGAAACAGACACACAACCCTACCCCCTGAAACAGGAATTAAAAGAAATTAAAGAATGTGTAGGCAAAAACTCAGTTGTAGGTAAGATAACCCAATTCTCCCTGAGGAAGAGAAAGAGCTGAAGTCCTTCAAAATTTAACTGCCTGTTTTTCTGGTGGCTAGTGAGCCTTATCTCTCCCTTTCCCAGGCATTGTGAAGAACCTGTTTTTCTAGCTGTGCAGCTGCAAGGTCACAAGGCAGATAAACTCAAGGCATAAAACATGTTTTTCCTTGAAACGTAAGAAACGATGTCATGCATGTCTCAACTGAATAACTGCCTTTGTTTCTCACTTCTGTAATATGCTTCCCCCCTGCACAGATCTACCCCCACCCCACAAAATGCTTAAAAGGCAACTGGACTCTTTGTTTGGGGCTCTGTCCTTTTGGATGTTAATCTGACTGGGTGGATGCACCTAAATAATAAGTATTCTCCTCAACCTCTCTGTCTCTCTGATTCCTAAATTATCCTGCTGCACTCACAGATAAGCACAACAAAGAGACACAGAAGCAGTCCAAGCCTCTGACAAACTCTCCTGTCCTGAATCCTTAAAAAGTCTTAACCTATAAGAGAGTGTGGCTCAGACTCAACTAGGCCAGAAGCCCCTATCAGGTTTGTTTTCTAAAACAAATCTCTCCTTATTGACTCTCAAGCTACCCTTTGTGTTTCTCTCCTCTTTCTTTAGTTCTTACAATTATGGTCTTCACAGTATTGTCAAAAGTGTAAATAATTTAGGGACATAAAGAAATGTGCATGTCATGAAAACTCCTGGTAGATCCACATACTTCCATTCATTAGACTATTTATCTAGTAGTTATTTATTAAGCACTGGTTATTCAGGCACTATACGTTAATAGTTCCAAGCATAAAATGGTGAATAAGGTAAGAATAACCTTTGATCTCTGTGTTTTCTATACTATCAGAAAACAATGAACAAGCACATTAATGCATAAAATAATTTCAGATTTTCTTAAGCACTGTGAGAAAAGTAACCAAGGTGCTGTGTGAGAAATAATTTGCTTGAGAGAGTGGAAGGTCATCTCCTAAGTCCTTCAACCAGAAGCTTAGGAAATTCCTCTTTGGGGGTAACTCTACAGTCTAGACCTAAAAGATGGGAAGAAACCGGGTGTGCAGATTCAGAAAAATAGAATTAGAAAAAAGACCCTAAAGGGAGGAGCATTGATTTAATATGTCTTTTTAGGGTACAGTGAACCTGGGAGAAGCAGGTTGAGGTGACGTTGAAAGATAGAGGAGGAGGGGAAGCCAGACCCTTCAAGTTTGGGTAGGAAGTTTGTATTTTATTCTAAGTGAAAAGGAAACATTTTTTAATAGTTTCAAGAAATTTTTGACATAGCCCCACTTAGGTCTACATAAAACTAGGTATTGTATGAGAAAAAATATCTGTGGACTAGTAAACCAATATATTATTTGCCCTAGTTTCTACAAACACTAGTTTGTAGAAGCCTGAGCTTGTACTATGAAGATCCTAGCCTATCTGACACAAATTGTAGATAATTAACATTAGCCAAAGTGCAGAGAAGGCACAAAAAGGGAAGGGATTTTGGGTAGACAGAGAAGAAATTAAATGAAAATTTTTATGGACAAGTGAGGTCTGGGAAGAAGGAAACCACGGTGGAGAAGAAAGCAAAAAGTAGGCCAGGTGCAGTGGCTCATGCCTATAATCCCAACATAATATGACGCTGAGGTGGGTAGAGCACCTAAGGTTGGGAGTTCGAGACCAGCCTGTCCAACATGGAGAAACCCCATATCTACTAAAAACACAAAATTAGCCAGGCTTTGCGGTGCATGCCTGTAATCCTAGATAACTCCAGAGACTGAGGCAGGAGAATCACTTGAACCCAGGAAGCAGAGGTTGCGGTGAGCCGAGATTGCCCCATTGTACTCCAGCCTGGGCAACAAGAGCAAAACACACAAAAAGAAAGAAAAAGTAAAAAATAGTAAAACATAAGGAGCATAGGTTTTTCCTGCTCTTCTGAAATCCCAGAGTCAGAGGTGTGGAGTTAAAGGGAAATTTTGCCCACTTGTGATTTGATCTCTGAAAAAGAACTTCACTATGTCGTGTTTGTGGCAACATAGGTCACCTATGGCACAGAAAAAGTAAAATGAAGATACGGCATTGTTAAGGAGAGAGCGAATGCTGAGAGAAGTTTCAGAGATGCCCTTATGTAGGGGGCCAAGGATAGGACTCTGATGTGCCCCCGTGTCTCCTGGAAGAGATGGAAGATAACTCAGCACAGTGCTAGGAGGCATTCGCGGGGCTACACTGACAAGAGATAAGGTAGTCATGGTGCTAAAGCCATCACATAAACAGTCTCATTGGGCATCTAATAGAGGGTTTATTTATTTATTTACTTTCAAATTTTTGAAAATAGAAGAGCACAACTAACTCCTGAATTATCCAATACAACAAGTCACAAATTTATGCTGTTACTCAGAATAGAGCACGAGAATCTCAGAATGATCCAGAAATCCTACAGTGAAGATCTGGGTGAAACCAGGGACCCAAAGGTCACGCCAGGAGTCCCCATCTCTTTTCCATTTTGCAAGGGCAAGTGTTCCACTTGTGCCCCTCCTCACATTCTCATTTGGTACTTTGGGACTTATAAGTGGCACCCTGTAAAACAAAGCTCTTACCTGAAAAAAAAATTACACAATAGTGTTAGATACTATTAATTAGCCACTTAAAACCACCACCACAAATTAGTCAGGGTCAGGGCTTGTAAGGAAGATTAGGTTGATAAGACACAACCAAAAACTTTCAAGTACTGCTACATCACAGTTGTTCTATGTGTAAATTTGTAGCACTACCACAACACTTAGATTTAATGTCCTTCCATCTATTTCAGTTCATTCACCCTTCATATGTAATTGGTATGATTTTAAAAATAAATACTTAAGATATGTGTACTGCTTTCAATAAAGGAATCTAAAATGAAATGTATTCTGATCCAGAGTAAAAAATTTTATGTTTTGTGGCTGATGCTGTCTCTGCTGCCAACTGGCTCTGTAACCTCTGCCAAGTCATTTAATATCTCTGGGCATCCATTTTCTCCAGAAAATGAGGAGACTCGACTAAATTATTGCTGAGGTCTATTTTGATTTCTGAAGTCTTTCATTCATGGGAGTGCTAAAATAAGGACTGCTGAAACAATCATTATTAGATTGGCATTAATCATGAAACAATGTTAATATGTGTACAACCGTTTAGTGAGTCCAGGCCACTTGCCTGGCACAAAGTCAGTCATTTTATATAGGTGATTTCTAATCATCTAAACAACCTCATGAGAAAGTAGAAATTCAGAGAGTTTTTAATTTGCTGCATGCTACCTAGTTGGTAACTGGCATAGCCAGACTTCTAACCCATGTTTTTGTTTCTGAAGTTTCTAAATTATATATGATAATACTTATTTTCCATCTTTTTACATTGTTTTATTTGAAGATAACAGCTTCCAAGCATGTGAGAATCTTATGCGTCATTCAAGCTCCCCATTCTCTCTGAAGCTATTTTTATAGCATTGAGGTAAAGCAATCTATGTCCTGAACTCAAGAAGAACTCACTTAGATCATTCATTTAGCACTTATTTTCAAAGCTAACACATTTTTCTAATCTCTTGTAACTATCGCCTGTTTCTTTCCAACAAAACTACAAATGCTCTGAAGGAATGTCAAGAAAGGCTTGGGAGGGGTGTGGTATCAATAGGGCTGGAACTCAAGCGAAGAGAGTAAGGTGCCTGCTGTCAAAACTTCAGGAGGTCTCACTATCAGGACCTCACCAGTGCTGGGTCAGCTCAGCTCGTTCCTGGCCCTAGACAGCCCATAGCAGCTGGTGGATGGCTAGCTCACTGAGAAAGTCTGAATGAAGTTCAGCAACCTTAGTTCTTGGCTGTGACGCCCACTCCTTTGGCTGCCCAGAGAGACCCTATGTAGTGCCTGGAAAATCAACCTGGTGAAAATAAAGCTGAAGTCCAGAAGGCAGAGTAGAGGAAAGCCAATGGAAATGCCTATCTTGGTACTATATTATTATAGTATAATGCGTCACCAAAGATCGGAAACAAAAACTCATTCAGTCATTCCCTGGAGCTAAAAGCCCCGGTAATATAATGCTGTAAATAGAAAGATTTTTGAAGAAACTCCTTTAGATTGTTTCAGCCCTTGATCTATGTGGGTTAGTGCCATAGCAAAACATCACACAGTTGGTGACACTTGGTAACATTATCAAAAAAACAGAAATTTATTGTTTCAAAGTTCTGGAAGCTGGAAGTCCAAGTCAAGATATCATCAGCTTTGATTTTTTTCTGAGACCTCTGTCTTTGGCTTGCAAATGGCTGACCACCCTTTGTGTGTTTACATGGTCTTATCTCTGTGCTCATGCATTCCTGATGTACCCTTGTGTGTCAGAATGTCCTCCTTTTATAAGGACACCAGTGAGATTGGAATAAGGCCATATCCAACTGCTTTAGTTTAACATAATTACCTTTTTAAAGCCCCTATCACCAAATACAGTAACATTCTGATGTAACGGTGTTAGGACTTTAATACCAATGGGTGGAGGGCTTGGGAATTCAGCCCATAATACCATGAGTCTGGAAAATTGTAAGCTGTCACATAGGCAGATACAGCTATAATGACCAGCAGAATACCATGCATGTTAATAAATAAGTATTGTTTATTTATGCTTCAAGATTCAACTCTGACAACATCTAGATAAGCAATACATTTTTGTTGATTCCATATGATTCATTTAATGAATGAATAAATTTGTTTACTATCATCAGTGGTCACCTTCATACCCTATATGAATAGCAAAAATTAAGGGTTAGAGATGTGTCTGAGATACAAGATATTAATTAACCCCATCTTTCTTATTTAAAAATTAGTATTTTAATTAAGCAATTGAACTTAAGCAATGTTACAAGTTAAGCAGATAAATCTTATTTAGCCAGATCTCTCCTTAGTAAATAAGTAGAACTGAATATTTTCCCTCACTTTTTCTCCTCTATTAGCTTTAATCAGACCTAATTCATATACTTAAACATGGATTGGATATTTATTACTATTAATTCCTACACTGACACTAGAGTCAATTTTGGACTGACCCTCTGCTTTCAGATTATCATAAAATACAATATATTGTATTCAGTTCAGATGCTGAAAAAGTTTCTGCATTATAAATATTTATTTTAAGTATTTATTGCTACCGTTATGCTAATAATGGATATTTTTAATGTTTATTCATTGTAATTTTAGCATTATGCATATTCTCATCAACCTGAATATCTGGGCCTTTCCCCTTTGCTCCTGTGCTCCAAGATCCCCTGTCTCCCTTTGTTCACATAGCAACAGAAGGAAATAGAAGAAGAGAGACAACAAAGTTCGTAGATTTTCTTGCTTTACACATTATGACCTTTTATTTTTTTATTTTTTATTTTTGCCTGGATTCTGTCTAATCAGATGTTATTTTTCCATTTGGCTCTAAAAATAAAATTGCCCATCACTCATCAATTACAACTAACAAAAATTATTGAATTGTTTTAACATGAAATTCAAATTGCATACTATACCCTTAGCTGCAGGCCAGCAACATGTGAGGTCAAACGGTGTAAGCCAAGGTGTTCAGATTTTTTTTTTTTTGGAATATTATGTATTCTTACATATTAAATTTATCTTTACATTATCTGTTTACTTGAAATATTTGAGTAACATTATCAAATATGATTAAATAAGTATATTATTATATCAAAAGTAATTTCTTTTTCTTTTTTTTTTTTTTTTTTTTGAGATGGAGTCTTGCTCTGTCACCCAGGCTGGAGTGCAGTGGCGCTATCTTGTCTCACTGCAAGCTCTGTCTCCCAGGTTCCACCATTCTCCTGTCTCAGCCTCCCGAGCAGCTGGGACTACGGGTGCCCACCACCATGCCTGGCTAATATTTTTGCATTTTTAGTAGAGATGTGTTTTTAGTAGAGGCTTTCATGGTGTTACCAGGCTGGTCTCGATCTCCTGACCTTGTGATCTGCCCGCCTCAGCCTCCCAAAGTGCTGGGATTACAGGCAAGAGCCACCACACCGGGACTTACATCAAATGTAATTTCTTGCTGAGTTTTTGTAATATTAATTTCTAGTATCACTTAGCAAAGAGGGCTTGTGTCAAGTTTAAAAGGCCACAAAAGATGTAGTAGACTTGAATAGCATTGATCTAATCACTCATTTTACAGATGAAGAAACTAAAGGCCATATAGAAAAGGCAAAGTTGTAAACAGAGGAATTATTTTGAAGGAACTATCATTTTTAGGTTCAGAAGTTGAGAAATGTGTTCTGAACAGGACCTATGAAAACAAGTAGGTGTAATGGAAGGTAAACATGCATAAACCAAAAATATTAATAACTAATTAAATAACGGTGAGTATTGGGGGACCAGTAGCAGAGTTTGAAGCAAATATGAATTTCAGTTCTGTGTATTAGAAGATGAGGAGTCAGTTGAAAAATGGCATAAAGTTGAATGTGACAATTACATAGTTTGTGATAATGCTTGTTGGCAAAATGAACTGATGATGAAAGCACGGAGCTAAAAACACCTGTGAGGAAATAAAAACCAAAAATAATTTTTGATCCATTTGTAAACTTACTTGGCTTTAGAGGAAGACTACAGTAATGCAAATGAAGAGAATAAAGTGAGTCCATAGAATGTGGTAAAGAAAAATACAGCAGGATAGTGTCATATATTTATATAAATGATTCAAATTCTAATAATAGATTCTTGACCCTAAAATTAATCAGGCTGAATTTTTTAACAATAATAAAATATTATATATAAAGTTGGAAAACCATTATCAAAAGTGACAAAGAGCTTTAAGGTATAAAACATCTGCAATTTGGAATTTTTTGTGGGTGTAACACAAATATTACACTAAGTAAACTCCATATTCATACGTCCTTAAAAATTATTGCACAGAGTGTTGTAAAATTAATAAAACATGTTGGCCTGAAGCAACAAACAACAGGGCCTGGCAGGGTGGCTCACGCCTGTAATCCCAGCACTTTGGGAGGCCGAGGTGGGCGGATCAAGAGTTCTGTAGACCAAGACCATCCTGGCTAACGCGGTGAAACCCCGTCTCTACTAAAAATACAAAAAATTTGCAGGGCATGGTGGCCGGTGCCTGTAGTCCCAGCTACTCGGGGAGGCTGTGGCAGGACAGTGGCGCGAACTCGGGAGGCGGAGCTTGCAGTGAGCCGAGGTGGAGCCACTGCTCTCCAGCCTGGGCGACAGAGCGAGACTCCGTCTCAAAACAAAACAAAAGAAACAAACAACAACAAAACTCATGTGTGTTTAAGAGGCCACGTGAAAAGACTTTCAACTTTTGTACTTTTTCTAGATAGCCTGTCTGCTAGAGGGTTCTATGTTTTAGAACTGAGAGCTGGTCTGCATGTCAGCACATACTTGTAGTGCTGAAGTCTGTGAGAGTGGAGCAACATCTCTTTGCTTTCACGTATCCTTTGTAGCAAAATCGTTTGCCAACATAGAGAAACTCCCTTGTTTTCTTCTCAGTGGTGTTTCTGGTAAGAAAGAAGCTTAGTGTTTCCCAGTATGCATTTGCACGTTGTTTGGATGCTAAGCACTCCACCTCAGAGAACGTTGAGATAGCGGGGAAGCTCAGAATCCAGTCATTTGAAGTAGGAAAACAACTCTGATGTACTGCCCCTTTTATTTTTGTTTTCCTTAATGGATGAGGCCCCTAAGGTATTTTCAGCTCCAGAAGTGTGAATAGCAAAGCAAAGCTACAACATTAGCAGGACTAAGGATATGCCTAATCTAAGAACCATCTTAATTGTGGTTAGGGAGATAATTTCTTTGGAATTATTTACTTAGGTAAACTACCAAATCTCATGACTGCTTCCAGGTCCTGAGATTTGGTGGTTTACCTGAGTAATACATTTGTTACCTTGCTACCTCATCTTTCTTTATTTTAGTAGAAGCTTTGGTTTGTAGGAATTAGTGTCAACATTCTAATAATTATTTGGTAATAACCCTGTAGTTGGTTGAATTCTCTAAAAAAACAAAAAAAAAAAAACAAAAAACTATGTTGAAATAACCCTGAGGACCTGTGACTATAACCTTATTTGGAAATATAAACTTTTCAAATATAATCAAGTTAAGGTAAGTCACATTACATTATGGTATACCCTAAATTCAATGTCTTATATTGTTATAAGGATAGAGAGTTTTAGAGACACAGAGACACAGAGGGAAGACAGCCATGTGAAGACAGAGGTAGATGCTGAAGCGGTATAGCTACAAGCTGATGAATGCCAAGGATATATTATGCCAATACATATATGCCAATACATATACTATGTATATGTATAATATACATAATATACATCATGTATATTATACATATGCACACATAAACCCCTTTGAATAAATAGTATTACGCTTCCCTTTCCCTTTGTCCTAGCTTGAGTTGCCCAGAAAACAAGTCTGAGGTTTGTTTAGTGGGGTATATGCGATACAGGACAAGCAACACATGGAAGGAAGGAGATTTACTATAACATTTTATCAAGTAGGCCAGTTTGAAAGGGAATTTGGGCAATTCTAGAGTTAATACTTTATGGCAAATAAACTCCTCTGTATGCACAACAACCTCAATTAATAACCTTCAACCTTTGTGCCTGAAATAACACAGGTTCTCCATAGAGGTCACTACTTCTCTTGCAGCCCACCCAAGGAGAGGCCACTTATTCCCTCACACTCCATATACTGCAAGGCCTGAGCGAGGTCACAGATTCTTCTTCGTCCCTTTCTAATATCATATCAAGTACACTTTCCTAAATTTATGACCCACTCCCTTTATTCTCACAATCTTCCTGTCCATTCCAATTCCTGTCAATGATTACAGTGAGTTTAACATTCACACAAAGGCCCACCAAATCATACCAGTTCCTGAAGTTCCTAGTTTCCAAAGACCTTCTCTTACACTTTAGTTCAGCCATCATCTTTCACTGTTTTCTCTTAACTATGTTGTTTCCTGATATAGGTTCTCACGCTGTTGTCCAGGCTGGAGTGCAGTGGCATGATTATAGCTCCCTGCAGTCCTGAAATCCTGGGCTCAAGTGGTCCTCCCATCTCAGCCTCCCAAGTGGCTGGAAAAACAGATGCATGCTACCATGCCAAATGAAATTTTTATTTACGTACTTGTTGTAGAGATGGGTCTTGCTATGTTGCCCAAGCTACTCTCAGACTCCTGGCCTCAAGCAATCTTCCTGCCCTGACCTCTCAAAGTGCTGGAATTACAGGAATAAGCCACCATGCATGGTCCCCTTAATGATTCATTTTACTAATATTTTAAAGTACCTTGCCTATACATCTCACCTGTGGAAGCCCAAATGTGGAACACCTCACCCATCCCCTGTCCAAGCTGTTTCCTAGACAGCTGGCTGTCATGTTTGAGCTGCATTATGAGCACACTCATGTGTCAATACGGTAGAGACCACCTTTAGCTAATAGCCAGTTAGGAACTCAAGTCCTTAGCGCAGCAGCCCATGAAGAACTAAATCCTGCCAACAGCCAGGTGAACGAGCTTGGAAGCACATCTTTCCCCACATGTGTTTTAAAATGACTGAAATCCTGGCTAACACCTTGACTGCAGTTTCGTGAGAAGCCTTGAGCCAGACATACCCTGATAACTATGCCCAGTTTCCAGACCCACAGAAACTGTGAAGTAATTAATGGTGTTTTTTGAAGCCACTAAGTTTTGCTATAATTTGTTACTCAGTGATAGATCAACAAATAAACTAGCTATGCCCCCTTACCAAAGTCATCTCTTCTTCTGGCAGCTAAAGTGCATGCTAAGAAATTAATGTTATGTGATTAGGTAATTGGTAACTGGGAAGCAAGATTAAAATCTCTAAAAAAGTAGTCATAACAAAACAGAGAGAGATCGAGTAGCTGAAGGGAAGTCACATATACGCCATAACACACTCTGTAAATGCATCTGAATTTCTGCTTTCCCCACAAAGGTATCGTTGGTGCCATGCCTACTTAAGGTTAGTTCTTAAGGACATGGTGTTCTAGTCAAAGAGTACATGAAGGATGTGGTGTTCTAGTCAAATAGTACACTACGGATAGAGTTACTCTGATGCATTCTTTGAGCTCTTTCTGCATTATCTAAACAATTTGGTGACACTTATTTCTTTGTATTCCCATCTTTCCCTTGCTCATTTTAATTTAATAACACTTTCATTTCATCCTTTTACTCTCACCAATAGGAGGTATCATATCTCAAATACTTCATTGCCACATTTTTAATTTCTGCTATTGCTTTCGAGTACTATGATAATGATACTAACAAAGAACAATTGAAGGGCCCAACCTTCTGCAGTTAAGAGCTGTTCAGGAACAGGTCACTATCATAATCCTCTGTTCTTCCATGGCCAAAGTCCGTTGTTTCCGTTTAGATAATTTAGATACTTTGATTTTTCTCTTCTAACTTTTTCCTAGGATTGGCTCGCACTGTATTTTGAGGGCTTCTGTGTGGAATCTCTCTCTTACATTGTATAGTTAAACCACATTATATACCAGTCTACTGGTCTTATAGCCTAGGTATGGGATAGATATGCATGGCATGAGTTCAGTCAGTGACATCCATAAAACATTGGTATAGTGTAGGTATTAACGCATAAATGAATTACTTTGTCTCATAGTGTCTCAGTTTACTGGTATATCAAATGGTGCTGATAATCATTTAGACTTCATACAGAGATTGGGATGATGAAATGAGTTAAAAAACTTAGGCCACTTAGAACATTGACTGGCACACAGAAAGGCAAGCGCGTTTGCTACATGTACTAACTATAAACCTTCTAAAAATAGGAATATTACATTTCATAAACAATTTCCAGATTTCTACATATGTTATCTCACCTGATTATGATAAAAAATCATTGGGTAAGAAATGGCACAGGTTATTTTAGTCGTTTTACAAACGACGAAACAAAGGTTGAAAAATAAGTAACAACCAGCATCAACTCTCCTAAGTATCAGGGCTAAATTGTGAATCTAGATTTTTTTCTGAAAACTTTTCTGAAGCTTCTTCTGCCTGTTTCAGAGGAGTCTAGAGGTATGAACCTATGAGATTATTGATGGGGACTCAATGGATTTTGATTTCTGCGCCCTTCACCAGAACAGAGTCAGCAGTGTTTCCACTGTAGGACATGGGTGGGGTGGGGTGTGTGTGCATGTGTGAGTTCACGAGGGAAATTCAACAGAGTGTTAAAGTGAGTATGTGTGAATTGAGAAAAAATTGCCATAAGATTTGGAATCCCCTTTAGGCAATCATCATACTGTAGTTTGTCAAGCTTGGAATGATGTACTTCCATATCTTAGTGGTAGTTGTGTAGGGATGTTTTTTCCAGTATCAAACAGTAACTTAGTAATTTATGGACAGTATTCAAGAATGTTGAAATCAAGATGCTCAGGACAGCACTTCTCAGCCTTTTTTGAAAGTGTAGTGTTATTTTATTAAGAGAAAGAAAATGTGTAATCTTACCATTTGATAGAATATAATAAAACCCATAAAATAAAGAATAATATACATCTCATATTTTTATGGCACTTGAATGGGGTTTCTGATTTTATTTTATGTTTATTTTTATTAGTTTATTTATTTTTGAGACAGAGTCCCGCTCTGTCACCCAGGCTGGAGTGCAGTGGTGCGATCTTGGCTCACTGCAAGCTCCGCCTCCTGGGTTCACACCATTCTCCTGCCTCAGACTCCCTAGCAGCTGGGACTACAGGTGCCTGCCACCACACCCGGCTATTTTTTTTTTTTTGTAGTTTTAGTGGAGACGGGGTTTCACCGTGTTAGCCAGGATGATCTTGATCTCCTGACCTCGTGATCCACCTGTCTTGGCCTCCCAAAGTGCTGGGATTACAGGCATGAGCCATCGCACCCAGCCTCTGATTTTAACATAAGCTAACACGTTGCACATTTTGTACAATGCAATAACACAATTTTGTACAATGCATTTTCTACAGTGCATGTTGTACAACACAATAACACATTTTCCTTTTGTCTGATTGCATTGTACAAAAATGCAGTAACACAAAAGAAAGTATTCATACCAATGGAAGTGAGTAAGCCATGTGTTATTCAGTCTATCTGGGGTGTTAACTCTCTTTGTTGTCACTCTCACTGAGTGAAACATTGCCAAGAGAAATATATATAACTGTTATAAAATATCAGAAAATTACAATTTTTAATATCCAAAGAACTGTTTTTAATGTCTGAATTTCATATCTTTTTTACTTTCTTTTTTTTTTAATGGAAACACACTGTCAGCAGAGAGCTATCAGGTCCTACTGTTTTATCTGTAGGACTGGTGAAAGCTCCACCTGTTTAATTCAGGCTTGTGAGAGATTTTTTTTCCTTTGGAAGTGGTGGCTGTTGCCAAAATAAGAAGAAATACCATGCCCTCTGAGAGTACAGAGCAGCTGGTGTAGTTGTCCTGATATTTATGGGATATAATATAATAAACGCACATTTGCAACTGGTTGGGGAAATAACGTAATGCTTCTTACATTTATCTTTATAATCTACTTTCCTAGCAAGTACTATCCTGCCGTTCATAATATATTTAGCAAATACAGATGAAAGAAGAAGAAAAAGAAAAAACTCTGTTACTATCTGTTACCACAGGGGCTAAGAGAATGGAATGCATGTCCTAGTTAGTTAAACTATTCTTTTTATCAAATGGAAAATAAATACACAGAGAAATTTTTTCAATTTTTTTTTTCTTTGAATAATGGAAGACATTTTCATAAGAATTAGCTGGGGTTGGGGTATGTCTGGAAAGCAGGCAACACAAAGTTTCTATCTGGGAGAAAACTAACATTATTGTCAAAAAAAAATCACCTGTAATATGATCCAAATTTGTCAAGTCAGGGGTGTTACAGAAAGGAATTTGCTACCAGAAATTTGCAGTAGATGGTATTTCCACTATTCCAAACTATTTATTTTTGATGACATCCTCCTTTGTTTGAGCAGAAGTTTTATAGCGTGTATTTAGTGAAGAGCTACAGAACCTTAATAAAATAAGTAAAGCATCAGCATGGCAAAACTAGGGTCATTATGGGGACTTTAAAAATACTGTCCTACAGAAATCAGGCCTCAGGCAGTTTATGCAAGTAACAGAAATTATTCCTTAGTGTTGGGTTGTCTGCTATTTTATACTCTCCCATTTCCCATTATTTCTTATCATTTTTCCTGAAATGTCATGGGGTCTATTGTCCACCCTCTCAATGAACACCAACATTGTGACTCTCATAGGGTAGTCGCACCTGCTTTATTCATTTATTAAATGATTAATTCAGGAGATGCAAGCATGGCCCACAGATTTGGGAAGACACTGGAAATATAAAGATGTCCAGTCGACATAGCAGAGTGAACTTCTCCTCCAAACACACAGGAATGCTGTGTAAATGAAAACTATTAAATATAAAGGTGGAACTCAAAAAAAATCACATGCGGGATATGAAGCAGGATCACAAAGCTCATGCAGTAAGCTAGAGCTGAAGCCAAGGTGGGCTTACTGTTTTCCAGCACAGATTTTCATTTTGCAGGGTGAGATCATGAGTTCTGATTCTCAACTAATGGTGCAAGATGAGGTTCTCATGTCTTGAAAGGCACAAAACCTCCATATAAACTCAGAAACTATGAGACATGATCTGATTTTTCTCCTGGAGAATGGTTGGCAGCGTTCCTTCTGCATATCACTCCGGGGTGGTGGGGAAGAGAGTGGCCTATCAGCAATTGGAACACAAGCCTACCCACATGCAACTCCATTAGAATTTTTACTTTATAGATGGGCATCTACTGTATTGACAGTAAATTTTGCCTCCTCTCAGAGGTAAAATGGAAATGCATGTGTGTACTAGCATCCAAAACGCAGGGTGCTCCCAGGAAAGACAATGCCTACTAGAAATAATCATAGCATCAGAAATCACTGAAAGTTACCGTAATGAAGTAAACATCCATGCAAGAGTCAATAGATGCACTAAAGATAAGGTAACTTGAATTCATTCATAATATAGATAATGTGTTATCAAATATTAAATAACATTATCAAATAATGTTTTAATTTTTGTACCAATATTTTAATCTTCTCTCAATTTTCTATTTAAAAATATATAGACTCTTAATTCTCATTCATAAACATGTCTATCCCATGGATTGCATTCGACTTCACTTACAGAAATGGTGTCAAATTCTGGAATTTTATGAAAGGTTTATACTTGCTGGCTTACTCATTCCCTCAACAAATATTTATTGAGAGTTATGCTGTATCAAGCACTGTGCAACATGCTAAAGATACAGCATTTAAAAAGCCAACTTTTTAATGTGGCTAAAGAGGTAAGTGGAGCCTATGAGGAGGCAAGGAGGCAGGTCAACAGGTAGTGATCATTCAGCAAGGTATATTAATGCCATAAACAAACAACACAGTACACAATGGTCTTGTGTTAACCTCACCTATACAAACTGAGAGAGGCATTGAGCTTATCCTGGTCAAATTTTTTAATTTAATGTGTTAAAAAAATCTTATAGCATAAACATAAATTAAGAATTTTCCTGAATAGAAGTCACTGGTCAAATTGGCCACACATGTCTCTTCTATAAACAAAACTCCAGAATATATGGCAATGTCTAAAGAATTCTTGGTAAAAAGAATTCATATGGCATGACCAAAAATTTCATACACGTAAATTTTCAAACTCATGGAAAATTAGTAGAAAGACAACTTTACATATACCAGAGCTCGGAAAGTGTATCCCATGCTACCCTGTGAAAAAAAAGTTAATATAAAAGCACATTGCAGTTGAAACAGAGTTTAACTAAAATAATGAATAAAAAGATTGGGTTATAAAAAGATGTGATTCAAAAGAATAGTTCACAAACAAAACACACACACACACACACACACACTGCACATGGTTGTGTGTGCCTGTAATTCCAGCTACTGAGGAGGCTCAAATGGGAGGCCAAGCATTTGAACTCAGGAGTTCAAGCCTGCAGTGAGCTATGATGATGCCAAAGCAATCCAGTGTGGACAACAGAGTGAGACACTGTCTCAAAATTAAAAAAAAAGAAGAAAAAAATGATAACTGCCTGAAGTGAAGGATACCATGTCTATTATTTATATATTTGTTTATATTTATATTTATTTTTGAGTTGAAGTCTCGCTCTGTCACCTATGCTAGGGTGCATGGTGCAATCTCAGGTCACTTCAGACTCAGCCTACCAGGTTCAAACGATTCTCATGCCTCGGCCTCCAAAGTAACTGTAAGGTACTATAGGCGTACACCACCATGTCTGGCTAATTTTCATATTTTTCATAGAGATCAGGTTTCCTGGTGTTGGCCAGACTGGTCTTGAAGTCCTAGCCTAAAGTGATCTGAATTTCTTGGCCTCCAAAAATGCTGGATTACAAGCTTGAGCCACAGCTCCCGACCTCTGTTTATTTTGTAGAGTGGCAAATGACTTCGTGCTAAAGATTTTGCCATGAAGGCTAGTTTCTTCATCGTTTGAGAACTGGGCAATATTTACTTGTTTTATTTTGCGCTTTATATTATCTAACTGGTCTGTTTATATTAAACATGTACAAGTGTACATGTGTGTTGCTGCATGACTATCAATATAAAATCCCTACTGACAAATTTCCTTGTACATTAGGAAACTAGGAGTGCAGAAGAAAGTTATCTGAAACAATATTTAATAGCAAAATGTAAGAAATCACCTAAATGTGCACACAAAAAAGAGCCGATAGAAAAAAGAGCACCCACAGTGGATATCATTAATACTAATGTTAAATTTAAACTAGTTACATTAAATTGCATACAAATGTAGTAAAAGTATATGGACACTCACGGTAATAAAAATGACCAAATTTTACTTAGTTTTACTTTCAAATATAGAGGCTAACGTGGTAGTTTACTTTAAATTGTATATAGTATAAACAAGCAAGTTCAGCTTTGTTACTGGAAATAGCAATAATGCTGAGATAAGTAAATTCTAACAGGTTAGAAAATAAAACAAAGATGAAAAGGTTAAAATCCACCACCTCAATTCATCACGTTGA
Organism: Homo sapiens; assembly: GCF_000001405.40. NCBI lineage: Eukaryota > Metazoa > Chordata > Mammalia > Primates > Hominidae > Homo > Homo sapiens. Next base: position 22,748,393 of record NC_000024.10, read on the forward strand.
GGGGAGAACCGAAAAGCCAGCTCCCGACTTAATGGAAATAAATATTTCTGCCAAAGTCTGGGTACAGCTATAAAGGGTCACAAAAATTATCATCTCTGAATGACTTCGGCTTTCTTACTCACTGAGAAACTTTATGTTCTAAAATTATAAACAGAGTATTTGCTGTTTGAAATGTTATCGGTGAAGATAAAACTTAGCACTCTTGCCCGGCTGATTTGTCACTTTCCATAGAAGAAAAACTGTTTTCCAGCCTAGGTGCATAGCTTCAAATAACAGGCATTTGCACTCAAAATTCCACACAAATGTCAACTTGTGATCTACAAGGAATAAAGACACTGGGTTCTCTCACAGTCTAAACATGATGTTTTGACCTTTAATACATAGGCGTCCTTTACCTTGAACCTATTGAAACTCTGCTGTGTTTAAATACCTACTCACCACCTCTCCCATAAATCGTACAGTACCTCCTTTTATTACTTTAGTTGCCCCACAGGCATGGTCTACCTTACTCTACCAAGTCAATGCAATTGTATCAGACTATAGGTTTGTCCTGTGTAGTCATAGACTAGCTGGATTAAGTCACAGAATTTCTCTGTCTAGCTCTTTTTTCCCCATACCTAAATGCAACTGGAAAAAATGTCTAATATGCCTAGCATCCCCAGAAATAAATCACATTTTCTGATTTTGCAAAATTGATTCCAATATACAATACTCATTTGAGAAAAGTGCCATTTCTCAAGTGACTGATATAAAAATGGTAATGTCCATAATAATTTGTATTCTATATTTTTTAAATGTGGATTTTTTTCTGGCCAGGCACAGTGGGTCACGCCGGTAATCCCAACACTTTAGGAGGCCGAGGCGGGCAGATCACAAGGTCAGGAGATCGAGACCATCCTGGCTAACACGGTGAAACCCCGTCTCCACTAAAAATACAAAAAATTAGCTGGGCTGGTGGCAGGCACCTGTACTCCCAGCTACTCGAGCAGCTGAGGCAGGAGAATGGCATGAACCCGGGAGGCGGAGCTTGCAGTGAGCTGAGACACGCCACTGCACTCCAGGCTGAGCGACAGAGCCAGACTCCGTCTCAAAAGAAAAAAAAAAAAAAAAAGAAAAGAAAAGAAAAAAAAAATCCACATTTTTCTTTTTTTTTTTTTTTTTTGGTAGTTTTTTTTGTTGTTTTGTTTTTTTGTTTTTGAGACGGAGTATCACTCTGTTGCTCAGGCTGGAATGCAGTGGCATGCCTCTGCTCACTGCAAGCTCCGCCTCCCAGGTTCATGCTATTCTGCCGCCTCAGCCTCCCGACTAGCTGGGACTGCTGGCGCACGCCACTACGCCTGGCTAATTTTTTGTATTTTTTTTTTTTAAGTATAGACGGGGTTTCACCGTGTTAGCCAGGATGGTCTCGATCTCCTGACCTCGTGATCCGCCCGCCTCGGCCTCCCAAAGGACAGGGATTACAGGCATGAGCCACCGCGCCCTGCTGGATTATTATTATTATTATTATTTTATTTTTATCTTTATTTTATTTTTATTTTTATTTTTTTGCCAGGCAAGGTGGCTCACGCCTGTAATCCTAGCACTTTAGGAGGCTGAGGCACGTGTATCTCAAATGAGACCAGCCTGGCTAACATGGCGAAAGCCCATCTTTACTAACAATACCAAACAACTTTGGCAGGTCTGGTGGCGTATGCCTGTAGTCCCGGCTACTCGGGAGGCAGGAGGATCACCTCCAGGAGGCGGAGGTTTCAGAGAGCCAAAATTGCGCCATTGCACTCCAGCGTGGGCCAGAGATCCAGAATCTGTTTCCAAAAAAGGAAAATACAGTAAAATAAATGTGGGTTTTTTTGAAAACATAATATGCTGGTTTTTTTTGAAAACATAGTATGCCAGTTTTTATGTTCTTTCTGAAATTTGTATCCGTATGTATTCTTTCCACACAGAAAGTAGTATATAGACCAGCTTATACAAATGTTTCAACTATATTTGAATTTTATTTGCACAACTGTCTGAATAATTCTAATACCCCAGATTAAAGTTAGAATATGTATATTTTACCCGTTGGTCTGGTTTTTTTTATTCTTTTAAGTCTGAGCATAATAACTCGCTAAAAAGATTTCTGTAAGGCCTGGTTTCTGCTAACATTATTTTCTTGGCTGTATTTTATCTAAGTTCATTATGCAAACCGAATTTGCGTTGTGTCTTCAAAAATGACTTCTGAAAGCCTTCCATGGTCCTGTTACGCCCCTAACCATAATGAGGTAGCAGGGACCATATTTACCCTCCCAGGTTAAATAACCACAAAACTAGACAGAAATATGAACCAAAGATTTTTCTACATTCAATTCCAGGCAGCACCAAACAATAATTTCTCAGAAAAGATGAACAAAGACAGTGTAAGGATGAACCCTACTTATCACCAGGCCATAACTTAGGGGGTGTTACTAGATTGAGAAGACTAAAATCAGAGTTCAACTATATCAAGAAAGCTAGAATCTGTAGAACAAAATGCCAGAAAATAAAAGAGGACTTACACAAAAAGAAAACCCCAGAGAGGCAAAAGAGTTCATGCAGGCCTTCTGCTGGCTGTTAATCTGCATATCCATGTGAGAATATTATCTGAAGCTTAAAAGAAAGCACTGGAACAAAACTATTCCCTGTACATGCATCTATAATGTTGATTGGGCAGAGTACTTTGACTTTGCTTCTGGGTAAGTAGCATAGCATGGTCTTCGTATTATTTCTTTAGCTATACTCAATATCAGAAATGTATGAGGGTGCCTTAATGGCTTAGATTTTAGTTGTTTTAAGAGCCTGGGGTGAGACTTTGCTGGGGTTTGGTGTACTGAGTAGGCCTGTATTCAGGCTCCTGGGTAGCATCAGTAGACAGCAGCTGTGGCAGCTGCATTGGACAGGTAAGTCCTAGGGGTCCCAGGCAGCATGGAAGGGCCCCAGTGTGGTGCCTGTGGGCTAGGTGGGTCAGTCTTGAGTCCCTCATGTGGTACATGTGGGTGGCTATATTGGCAGTAGCAGCTTAGGATCTGGGTTGTGGGACCTGACATGACACTTACAGGTGTGTGGTTGTCTTGCTGCTGAGGGGCTGGGAGAAGTTGGTGCCTCAGTGGCAGCATCCTCAGGCAGGTATTTCCCACGTTCTATGGATCACACATTTTTGTTCCCTATGTTTTGACGCAGCCACTCAAATATGCTGGAATGCCTATTCCCTGGGGTATAGGATGCTGCATGATTTCCATCACCATGGACCCAACCACATTGCTGCATCCAGCTGACATCATGACACTGAGGCCTCTGGGTGGACAAGAGGGCATGTCAGCAAGGACCCAAGACACGGAGATGCAGGGGATATTGGACCCCTGGGCAAAAGGCTCTCTGATGTAGGTTCTAGACAGCCTTTTGCTCAATATCACCCTCAATACTGGGCCATGCACCAGCAGGGTGGGCCTCTGTGGGCACCGGGTCTTGCATGAGTTCCCTCTCTGGGACAGTGTAGTTGTGTGGACGTCAGGCAGGTCTCTGTTATTAGGCTTAGGATCTGTCCTCACAGGGCCAAGGGGATTCTCTGCATCTAGGATTGCAAATGCAGTCTTTCTTTCTCCCACAGTGGAGAATTCCTTTTGGTTTTGAGCCAATTCCAGCTGGCTGCTTTGGTCCCTCTCTATACTGCTGCCATCCCCAGTTTTCATGTCTTAGAGAGTCACTGTCACTTCCCTGCTGAATTCCAGCCTTCTCCCAAAGATGTTCGATTCAATGCATAGTTATCTATTTGCTATTTCAGACCTTCTTTGTGGACAAGGTGAGTCTTCAGTGACTCTAGCAGCCATCTTTATCCTTTCGTTATTGTTTTTTATTTTACTATCTATTTATTTATTGAGATTGAGTCTTGATCTGACACCCAGGCTGGAGTGCAGTGGAGTGATTTCAGTCCACTGCCACCTCCGCTTTCTGGGTTCAAGAGATTCTCCTTGCTCAGTCTCCCAAGTAGTTGGGATTACAGGCCCCCACCACCAAGCCTGGCTAATTTTTTTGTATTTTTATTTTTGTAAAGATGGGGTTTTGCATATTGGCCAGGCTGGTCTCAAACTCCTGACATCAGGTGATCCACCTGCCTCGGCCTCCAAAGTGCTGGGATTACAGGCATGACCCACTGTGCCCAGCCTTTTATTTATTTGTTTAAAAATATATGTCAGTTATTTTTCTCTCCTTTTATCATTATTATCTCCTTATAGTATTCCATATGTTATCATCCTGCTTCATAATGTTCCATAAGTTCCTTATGCTGTCTTCATGATTCCTTATTTTTCTCTTTCATTTTTATCCTCCAATTTGATTATTTTCAAAGACTTGGCTTAATTTTGCTTATCCTTTATTCTGCTTGATCCAGTTTACTGTTCGGTCCCTCTATTTAATTTTTGATGTAGCTTCCTGTATTTTTCACTTCTTTGATTTCTGTTTGATACCTTGAAATATTTTCTACCTCTTTGTTAAACTTCTCAGTTTTTAAATGCATTACTGTCCAGACTTCTGGTAATACCTTAGAGCTTTCTGTTTTGATTTCCCTGTCAGGGACATTACATACTTTCATTTTATCAGAGTCCAGTTCTGTTTATTTCTTTTGTTCTTTACCTCAGAACATATTTTCCTCTCCACTGCACTCCCTCACTGCCCTGCCCTCCTGTAACCACTACCACCAGCCCCATTTTTCTTGACTATGAGTTGGTTTCTGCAAGTCAGTGAAGACAACCATCTTTCTCTGTTGTCCTTAACTCATCCTACGTAGGAAATTTCATTTCCTTATCAGTGCAACCAGGGATTCCAGGTGCTTCTCAATTCTGTGATTGTCCAACTCACTGTCTTTCTTCTTATGCCCCCCTCGATTGTAGTATGTGTGAAATCATACTATTCCTTTGACACAGGCAAGATAGTAGCCAGCCCCATGATATGCAGGTAAAAGGTTTTGGGATTAGATGTATATTGCTTGTGGACAAGCTTAGATTCAGAGTTTATGTCCAACTAGTTCTGCCTTATGCCAAGAATAGTGTCCATGACTGACACCTGTACAGTCATTCGTTATGCTCACTCTGAATCTGGACAGATAGCCACTGAATATTTACAACTTTGACAATCTTGTTCTCTGTGATATAGGAGACTCAGAATACAGAGTCCCATTCACTTCCAGAAGTAGACAATTTAGGACAGTCCCTTAGATACAGGCTGTAAAATTTGTGATGCATGATGTATGCAGAAGCTACTTCCAGGGAGGTTCTACAGACATTGATTTCTCACCAGAGCAAGCCAGGGAGAAGGTAGTGCAGACTGCCTGCTTTCTCCTTCTGCATTGCCAAAGTCGCACAAGCTTCTTCCAGGAAGAACCTGCAAGGCAGATTTCTTGCTGTGGCAAGGCAGAGAAGAAAGCAAGAAGGCCTGAGAGGGGTTCACTGTCACATTTATACTTCACCAAAAATCTGTCCAGGGAGAATAGCAGGAGGGATTTATTGCTAGAACAAGCCTGTGAAGCAAGCTTGCTATGTCTGGTGACAGAAGGGGAGTGCTACCTCTTCCATTCAGGATTTCAGAGATCTAACTGCCTGATTTTCTCTGGCGAGTGATGGCAGAAATCTGCTATTAGAGCAAGCCAGGGAAGTGAGTGTGGGAAGTGCTGTTCTTCTCATTTAGGCTTGGAAGTATTCTGACTCTCTGCCTCCTTCCAGACAGAGACTGCAGGGAATTTTGCCGGAGCAAGTCAGGAAGAATGTCTTAGGGAGTGATGTCTGTCTCTGTTTGGCTCATAGAGGTCTGTCTCCAGCCTACTTTGAGAGAATAATTGCAGAAATCACTGAAGGAAGTGAAAGACGGCACAGTGATTGTCATTATTCTCATTTAGTCTTTCAGTAGTATTTTTCTAGCCTCCTTCCAGGGAGAGATTTCAGAGATATATTACTAAAGCACACTAGGGAAGAAGGGACTGGAAGTGCTGAGACCTTTCTTCTTGCTCCTGAAGACTTTAAACCTCTTTCCAGGGAGAGAAAATAGGCTTTCCCTAATCACTGAAGGAAGCCAGGGAAGAAGGCCGGGGGATTGATGTCCTTCCCTTTAGGCTCCACAAGCTGTATTCTTTGTTTGTTTGTTTCTTTAGAGTAGGGAATACAACCTTAGTTACAACTCCGCTGGGCTGTAATTCTCTTCATCCTGGCACTCTTTTTTAAGAGGGGAATGTATTTTTTCTCCCAAGCATGCAAAACGTTTCTCCCAAGCCTGGTGTGAAAGTCAGCTCTATTTAACTCTTTTTTTTTTTTTTCTTCAGTGAACATTAGTCCTTTACTCCTAATCTGGAACATTCTTCTTCATGGCTGTCTTTCTTTATAGGAAACCCATTTCCTTGCATTTAGGTTGGATATCTATTCTTCCTGACTCCCCTGCTAGTAGAAATTATTTTCTGGCTGACTGGGCTTAAGTCAGGAAATCCTGACTTCCTGATATCCCTGAGCAGGGAATTATTTTCTTACTTCATAGGATAAAAGCTTTTTGTTTTTTCTCTTGCTTTGTTTTCACAACAGGGATTATTCCCTAACTTTCTGAGCTTAAAGTGTGTGTGTGTTTTTTTTATTTTTTATTTTTCATTTTTTTTGCTATCACCTCTTGGTAGGAATTACTCCCCGACTCCTGGAGTGAAAATCTCTTCTACCTTTTCTATGCTTACCTAATAGGGATTATTCTCTGACTCTGTGCTAAACATCATATCTTTTTGTTGTTGTTGTTTTATTGGTGATTAATCCCAGACTTTACGGGATAGAAATATCTTTTTAGTGGATGTCTCATCTGAATAGAAATTATTCCCCAATTTCTGGCATAGTATTCTATTTTTCTGACTATTGTACTTCAATGGGATGTATTCCATGCCTCCTGGGGTAGAAAATTCTTCTTATTCTTCCTCTGGATTGTTTTTCTGATTGAAGACTTTTCCCTGGACTCCTGGTGTGGAAATTTCTGGCCTTATTTGCTAAGCAGGAAAAAAAAATTCCTGGGTCTATTTCCTGTGTAGAGATTTCCTCACTCCTGGAGTGAAAACCTGTTTTTCCTGGCTCTGTTTCATAAAAGAAATTATTTTCCTGATTGGACGTCATGTCTTTCCAGATCTCTTCCTTGAGTAACAATTATTCTCTCACTTTTTGATTTGAAAGACCTTCGTTCTTGCTCTCTTATGAAATGGAGTTTATTCCCTGGCACCTGAGCTGTAAGTCACTTATTAGCTCTCTTTTCTGACTCTCTGGATAGACATCTCTTCTTTCTGTTCTCTTTGTTAATGGGTAACATTTTTTCTGACTACTAGATTGTCTCTCTCTCCTAAGTGAGAATAATTCTCATGTGATTCTGAGTTCATAGTCACTTCTTCTTGGTTCCCTGTCCTAAATTAGTATTATTCTCTGAATCCTTGGACTGAACTTCTTTTTTTTTCCCTTTGTTCTTTTCTCTGAGATAAATATTAAATGAGCTCTCTGGTGAAAGATTGTTTTTCTACTTCTTTTCATGATTGAAGATTATTTCCTGGCTCCCTGGGATAGAAGTTTGTCTTCCCTCACTCTTTTTTCTGATTTCAAATTTTTATCTGACATTTGGGCTCAATATTCTTCTTTATGACTCTATTTCCTGATAAAGATTATAACATTAGTTCATTTAAAATCCTTACTTCTCTCTCTTTAAAAAATAATAATGATTATTCTAACTTTCTTAGGTAGGAGTTCCTTCTTATTGGCTCTGTCTTTCCCGAGTGGCATTTATTCCTAATGTGCAGAAAGTATTTTCCTCCTGGTGTTTCCCTTACTAGAGATTACTGTCTGACTCCAGGAGATAGACATTTTCTTATTTTGTTTTGTTTTTCTTAACTTGTTCTTCCCTTATTACAGATTATTCCAATTTTCTGAAGATTATTTCCTGATACGTTAGTTGGAAATCTCATCTTCCTGGCTCTTTTTCTTTATTGGGTATTATTCCCTGTCTCCTAGTGTGACATTTTCTTTTCCCAGGTTATAATTTTTCTTATGTTTATTCCCTGACTCCCTGGGGTTGCAAGTCTCTCTTGCCTTGCTCTCTAATCTGACTGGAAATTGTTTCCTGATTTCCAAGTCTGCAACTCTTTTTTTGTCAGCTTTGCTTCATGTTTGAGATTATTCCTGTATGTTCTGTGTTGTGTACCCTTCTTCCTAAGAGGGGCTCATTCTCTGATATTTTTGGCTTGAATTTTCCTCCTGGATGTCTATTCTTAAGTAAGAATTTTTCCCTGATTCTCTATGCTAACCATCTTTTTTTTCTGGCTACTCCCTGAGTGGGGTTTTCCCTGACTCCATTGACTGGGTCCCCTTTTTTCTAGCCTCTTTCCTGAGTGGAGATTATTTCCTGATTCGCTATGTTGGAGACCTTTTTTTCCTTAACAGGAATTTTCCCATCTTTCTGGGCTGTCAGGAAGTTTATCTCTATCTTAATCCACCTCTATCTCTATCTAACTCTATCTCTATCTCTATCTATCTTTCTATCTCACTATCTCTGTCTCTAATATCCACTGAAACTCTTTGACACCTCTCTCTTCTTTACTTGGATTCTTGTCTCTCCCATGGAAGTCTCATTGCCAACCATAACCCACTTTCTTGAACCCTTGTAGACTTTAGGCTTTGCTTACTCTGCATAACTTGTTGTTGGTATGCATTTTTCAAGGACAATTTGGAACTTCAAAGATCTTTGAGAAACTTAACATCTCCCTATACTGGTGCCTCTTTGATGTCTTCCTTCTTATTACTCATGTTTCTTGTTTCTCCTCTCACCACCTTCAATCTTCCTTTTACCTTCCTTGAATTCTTTGACATATCCTCCTTCAAACCTCTCATCATCCATTCTTCTATCTACCCCTAAACAAACCTATTCCTTCCTATTTCAGCCTTTCAACTTCTAAAGTCAACAGAAATTTAGGCTGACTAAATCAGAAGCTCTTGAGGGACTTCAGTATCTTCTCTACCCTCCAAGAAATTATTGGCCTGAAGTTGAAATGAAAAAATGGCTAATTAGAAGAGATTGAGTATTGTATCTCCCCAGCCTTTGGAGATGTGCAGACTGGAACTAGATATATTCTGTGCCTAAAATATAGTCCTCTGGCTCCACAGATACAATATTAGGACAAAATAGTCTCATAAAAGTCTTCTTCGCCAATACAGACAAAAGGTATTAGACCTCCTATTGAATAGGCGACCTTGTCTCATTTGCCAGAAGAACAATTTAGATACAATATAAAATGGATATAAACCCAGTGAGTTTTATATTACTCTATTGCCTCATTCATGACTAAATTTTAGGTGATCTCTAAAATCTGTTTTCCTCTATCTATATTTTCATGGCTATATGCTATATGTGTGTGATATATTTCTAGCTCTGGATATTATTACCAAGTTAATTTTTAATATCACTTAAAAGGGTGCTATTCAAATTGGCTTAGAGACATATGATCACTATTGTGAATTACATACTCCTAATAATCCTAGAAATATATATTCAAGTTCACATGACTCATGGAAATATTTAGTAAATAAGACTAGTTTCAAATTGTTTAATACAAACAGCTACATATTACAATTTGTTGTTATTATTAAATATAAAAAGATATTTGTGGGCCAGGCATAGTGGCTCATGGCTTTATTTCCAGCACTTTGGCAGGTCAAGGCAGGTGAATCATCTGGGGTCAGGAGTTTGAGGCCAGCCTGGCCAACATTACGAAACCCCATCTCTACTAGAAATACAAAAATTAACCAGGAATGGTGGTACACACCTGTAATCCAAGCTACTTGGGAGGCTGATACAGAATTGCTTGAACCCAGGAGGCAGGGGTTGCAGTGAGCCAAGATCATGCCACTGCAGTCCAGCCTGGGCGAGAGGGTGAGACTCAATCTCAAAAAAAAAAAAAAAAAGAATACACTTGTCATTTGTATCCTTCTTGGATTTACTAATTTACTAGTTAAGCTGTGTTATGTTCACTGGACATTTAAGATTTTATAAACATTTATATGGCAATTGAGTCATTTCTGAAGTTCAGTAAGAATGCGTTCTCCTTTCAACAGAACCTAATTAGAACCCGTTTTTTTTTTTTTTTTTTTTTACAAAGCCTTGTCTGAAATGTCAAATATATTTAAGAATGATTTGCATAAAATCAGAGATAACTAGGCAGCTTTAAGAAGTATAATCTGAAACTAATTGTATAAAGTTCTGACAAAGTAAACTGGAAAGGACTCTGTGGCTAAGCATGGTGGCTCACACCTGTAATCCCAGCACATTTGGACACAAGGGTGGGAGAATCACTTCAGCCCAGAAGTTCAAGCCTAACCTAGGCAACAAGGTAAAACCCCATCTCCAAAATCAAACAAACAGGCAAACAAATAACATACAAAATTAGCCAAATATGGTGGTTTGCGCCTACGGTCTCAGCTACTCAGGAGGCTGAGGTTGGAGGATCACTTGAGCCCATGAGGTTGAGACTGCAGTAAGCCGGACACTGTTTCTAATTTAAAAAATTTTATATATATATATATAAATATATATATATATATATACCTTTGTGGTCAATGACAATTCTTAGTGTACTTAGGTAAAAAATGAGGACAAATCTAGTCAGACCAGACTTATTTTGTGAACAAGAGTCAAGAGAAGTAACAGCAGAGAGAATTTTGTTTCAATGGAAAACTAAAACCACCCATGTGAGTTGTCTTACATATTTTATTAGTCTACAATTTCAATTCTTGTTTTATCCAACATATAGCTACAACTCTCCAAACTAAAATTTCAACATTGTGTCCCCCTTTCATGATTTAGCATCACTGAAAACTAAAACTGCCCAATTGTCCCCAAACCTTGTAATCTGAAGCTGGATGACTGCATTATGAACGATTTAAAAAAATCATCTTCATGCCTTTGATACCTGATGACAACACTGGAGGCATTAAAAACTGCAAACCAAAGAATTCATTAAATCATCACTGCCACCTCACACCACCATCCTTAAGCTCAACATGTGGAAGTGTCAATTGGCTGCCTTCTGAAAGGGGAAAAGGGCCTTTGATGGGAAGTAATCCGGTCAGGATGACAGCACCCTCTTAAATGTTATTAGCACCCTCCTAAAAGACTATAGAGTTCCCAAGCCACTTATACCATGTGCAGACTCAGCAAGAGGGATGTTTAAAATCCAGGAAGTGGCTGGGCATGGTGGCTCACGCCTGTAATTCCAGCACTTTGGGAGGCCGAAGTAGGTGGATCACGAGGTCAGGAGATGGAGACCATCCTGGCCAAAATGCTGAAGCCCTGTCTCTACTAAATACAAAAAATTGGCCAGGCATGGTGGTGCGTGCCTTTAGTCGCAGCTACTTGGGAGGCAGGAGAATTGCTGGAACCATGGAGGCAGAGGTTCCAGTGAGCCAAGATCATGCCACTGCACTCCAGGCTGGCGACAGAGCAAGACTCCATCTCAAAAAGAAATTAAATAAATAAATAAATACATACATACATACATACATAAATACATAAATAAATGGGCTGGGCGTGGTGGCTCACTCCTGTAATCCCAGCGATTTGGGAGGCCGAGGCAGGCAGATCATGAGGTCAGGAGATCGGGGCCATCCAGGCTAATATGGTGAAACCTTGTCTCTACTAAAAATTAGAAAATTAGCCAGGTGTGGTGGCGGGCACCTGTCGTCCCAGCTACTCGGGAGACTGAGGCAGAAGAATGGTGTGAACCCAGGAGGCGGAGCTTGCAGTGAGCAGAGATTGTGCCACTGCACTCCAGCCTGGGCAACAGAGTGAGACTCCATCTCAAGATAAATAAATAAATTAATTAAAATAAAAATAAAATCCAGGAAATGACCCCTCACCTGAACACTGTATTTGCTGATTCCTTGACCTTGGGCTTCTTAGCCTCTGGGATTACAAGAAATCTTTGTTATAAACCTCCAAGTCCAGGTATTTTCTCAAAGCAATGTCTGTGGACGAAGATGATAAAAAATTATCCTATTATTCATTCAACAGCATTATGGTCCTATGAAAAATGATGCAATAAGGATTTAACTCTTGTTTTATAAAGGCTTTTCAGAATTTATTATAACTTACTGAAACAGAATCCCTATTCCAAGGTTGATAAATTGTATCTTACAGGTTACTCTTCAGTTTCCCATACTTTTTAATCATTATGACAGAATGCCTCATGGAGATAATTTGAGTTAAAAAATCCTAGGGACAGAATATCATAGACACTTTGTCTTTTTTGTTTTTCTTTTTTCTTTTTTCTTTTTTTTTTTTTTTTGACAGTGTCTCGCTTTGTTATGCAGGCTGAAATGCAGTGGAGCAAAAAACAGGCTCACTGCAGCCTGGACCTCATGGGCTCAAACCATCTTCCTGCCTCAGCCCCCAAGGATCTGGGACTACACTGATAGACTATTACATCCAACAATGTTTTGTCTATTTTATACAGACAAGATTTCTTCATGTTGCCCAGGCTGGTCTCAAACTCCTGAGTTGAAGCGATATTCCCATCTCAGCCACCCAAAATGCTGGGATTGAAGACCTAAGCCATCACACCTACCTGGACAGACACTGTTTCTCGTGCTGCTGCTGTCAAGATACACAAGACTAGGGAGTTGTATCCTTTCATTTAATCCTTACAATCCTACATTATAGGTGAATGAAAACACAACTTCATAACATAAATAACTCACTTGAGAATCAAAGTTGGTAACTTCTCCCTTTAAAATTATTTGGAAACTAACCCTATAAAAATTATGATCTTATCAAAATTTTCTCATAAAAATACATCCTCCTTACAGATTAGTCCATTAATTTTAAGAACTGTGGACTGTAAAACACTGGATCTTAATCTATTTCATTTCTTTAGGTTGTATGATCAGGAAAATTAATTGGTTTACTTATTTGGGTCCAAATCTTTTCATTTTTATCATTAGATGATATCTTAAACCTTTACACAATTGCCTATCAGAAATTTTATGATGTTGTTTTATGTTTTACACATTTCAGTTTCCAAAAACCATGAGGTTTAAAGCATTCCTATTCGTATCTTCACTTAAATCTGATAGTGTGAGCCTGATGGCTCATACATGTAATCCTAGCACTTTGGGAGGCAGAGGCAGGTGAATGAGGATTTTAAGACCAGACTGGCCAACATGGAGAAATGCTGTCTGTACTAAAAAAAAAAAAAAAAAAAAAATAGCCAGCTGTGGTGGCACACACCTGTAAACCCAGTTACTCGGGATGCTGAGGCAGGAAAACAGCTCGAACCCAGAAGGTAGTGGTCACAGTGAGCCAAGATCCAGCCACTGCACCCCAGTTTGGGCAACAAAGCTAGACTCTGTCTAAAAAAAAATCTGATAAAATCCCAAGCCTTCTAGATAATTTCTGTTTGTAAGAACTTATTGCTAAACCATTACTTACAACAACCATTGTCAAATATTATAGGAGATAATTAACATGAGTACCTCCCACATAAAAACACTTATTTTCCACTATTTAAACTAGGAACACTTAATTTCATTAAGCTATGTATTTAGGAAACATAGCTGGTTCAGATTTTATTTAGTTGGAAAACAATGTTTTCATCACCATTATCCCCCATCAGTGACAGAAAGGCTTCAAGAAGAAGGTTCTGGATGTCTTAAACTTTAGTACCAACCATATCTAATTATTTCCTTTTATCTACATGATTCCTCTGAATGATAAACATTTTATGGTGAGGCAGAGAGTTTCATAGTCTTTCTGAATACTTCTCAAGCTTTTAAAGCTTGTAAGTGTTTAAGAGAAACACAGCCTAATTAGAAAATGTGGGCACCTTGCAAGGGAGACGTAATTTATGCCTACTTTTGCATGTATTTATATTCAAAGCTGCAAAAAAATTTTTCAACAGAAACCACACCATTTAATATCCCATTTAATTTGCTGTTAAGCACGTGTAGCCATAAAATCAGGCATTACACATTACATGTATAATTTTATTCTGAAAATTTTAATACAGCCATATCATCTAAAGAGAGAGTTTTCAAATAGCATTAACAATTATGAAATTACTTTGAAAAAACAATTCCTTTTCATCTTAAATACCTCAGAAAATTCATGGAGGAAGTTAGGATCTACCTCTCCCCCAAAATCAACATTTTGTTTTAGTGGTACTCACGAACTGATACAGAAATAACATTTTAATTTTTGATTTGCAAGCAAGGTTTGGTAAGCAATAACTATTATCTTTCTTTTTTTTATTTTTACTTTGTGAGACAGGTTTGCTTTGTTGCCCAGGCTAGAGTGCAGTGACAAGATCTGGGCTCACTGCAACCTCTGCCTTCTGGGTTCAAGCAATTCTCCTGCCTCGGCCTCCTGAGTACCACGGTAACTATTATTTTTAATATCTCCTTTAATATCTGCTTCAGCCTCCTTTTTCACCTTGTTTTCCCTCACCACTTGCTGTAGATGCCCCATAACTTGAGCTACTGTATCCTTCACCAGCAGCAGGGTGCACCCTATCCACAGAAGGTAGATTCCTTCATTCCTTTCTGCCACCGCGCTCATGACCACAGGAATATAAATCACCACTGCTTCATGAGTAACTCTCCTGACTTCTGCCATATATATCTCATGTACTGTTATAATCATAGTGACTACTTCCACCATAACTCATCCAAGGCTCTCATGCAGGTTGTTCACCAGGAGAGGTCCCTGCAAGGTTGATAAAATATAGAACTTATAATGAACTACATTTAAACATTTTTAATGGTATCACTAATGCATGTATCAGTTAAAGTACTATTTGGAAAAATCTGCTTTCCTCTGTCTTCATTGACAGCATATTAATTATGTCTGAAATAGTCAAAAGGTTGCATTTAAAAGAATATAAGAATAGTATTTTGAAGCATAAGAAAGTTTATTTTAAAGTGAACGTTAAGTCACATTTTCTGAAAATGAACTGAAGTTCTCACCTACATGTTCACCACGCATTATACTGTTAACAATTCTCAGTGTTTAAACATGTTATATTTTTCCTTTATGATTTTCCTTAAAATTGTATTAAAACAATAATCTGGTGTATTAAATATAATACTATAATTTACAAATCAAACCCTGACACTTACCATAACTCTGATATGCATTTCTGTAAGAACTTCCACTGGGATGTACTAAAGGATCTCTACCACGGCCCCCACCACAGCCATCACAGTCACTAAATTTAAAAAAGGTTTGCTAACGTCAGCAGGAACAACTTAAGAAATCCCTTTGACAAAATCAGAAAATATTATAGTACCTATATGCTCTAGAGGATTGTTCATTCCAACTAGAATGACCGTAATCATGGTATCCATAATCTCTAGATGGTGGAGCATAATCCCTGGTGTCCCGGGAACTTGTATGAATTCTGCTTGCATAAGTTAAAGCAACAAATTTTAAATTATCAACTTCTAGTATCCAAAACATAAATAACTTACAACTTGAACAAAATGAAGGGCCAAATACTTGAATACATATTTCTCCAACTAAAATATGCAAATGCTCAAAAAGCACATGGAACAAATAATCATAATTAGTTATTCAGAAATTGCATTTCAAAACCAAAATGAGATACTATACTGCACACATACTGGAATGGAAATGATTTTTAAAAAGCAGGAAATATCAAGTGTTTGAGAAGATGTAGATAATTTGGAACCCTCATACAAATGCTAGTTGGAATGGAAAATGGTGCAGCTACTATGGAGAAATGGGGTGGTTCCTCAAGAAAATAAATACAATTATCATAGGACCAAGCAATTCCACTCACTCATATATACCAAGAATTGAATAAGTGTATGCAAACAAATATGTGTATATAGAAATACTGTGGTGGAAACAACCCAAACAAAATAATGGGTTAGCAGGTTGTGTAAGGAGAGAAGTGCTGCAATGTAAATGAACATTCAGAGCATCATGCAAACGAAAGGAGACAGTTATAAAAAGTCTTGTAGGGCTGGGCGCGGTGGCTCATGCCTGTAATCCCAGCACTTTGAGGCTGAGGCAGGCGGATCTCGAGGTCAGGAGATCGAGACCATAGTGGCTAACATGGTGAAAACCCATCTCTACTAAAAATATAAAAGATTAGCTGGCCGTGGTGGCAGGCACCTGTAGCCCCAGCGACTTGGGAGGCTGAGGCAGGAGAATGGCGTGAACCCGGGAAGGAGAGTGTGCAGTGAGCCAAGAGTGTGCCACTGCACTCCAGCCTTGGAGACAGAGCAAGACTTCATATATATATATATATATATATATATATATATATATATATATATATATATATAATATATATCTCCAGCTAAGTAACATCACTGTGTCTTAAATGGCTAAGTTTTAGTTGTTTATAAATATTTCCTAAATATGATAATCTTACAAATTTACATTTGTCTAAACTAATACAATTTAGTATTTATGTACCAAAGTAGTGCAATACAAACAATAAAAGTTGGTTTAGAAAACCCAGAAAATGGCTGGGTGCAGTGGCTCATGCCTGTAATCACAGCACTTTGGGAGTCTGAGGTGGGCGGATCACGAAGTTAAGAGATCAAGACCATCCTGGGCAACATGGTGAAACCCCATCTCTACTAAAAATACAAAAATTCACTGGGCCTCTTGGCACACAACTGTAGTCCCAGCTACACGGGAAGCTAAAGCAGGAGAATCACTTGGCTGGGAGCCAGAGGTTGCAGTGAGCTGAGATCGTGCCACTGCATTCCAGCCTGGCAACTGAAGAAAATCTAAAAAATAACACAAGAATCATTTTATATTGGTGTGAGAGAAAGATGTGGGATAAATGCAGGGTGAAGAGAGAGCAAAAATCTATCAGTTAAATATATAAATATAATCTAGATAAAGAAAAATAGGAGAAAAATAATATATTACTGTTCATATAATTATGGTATGAAGAAAGCCTCTTCAAAACGTATCATAAGGGTACAACAAATTCCATTCAAAAAAGCTAAAATATTTACAAAATCAAAAAATGACACCTCAGAAAAATACATTATCTGTAAAATTTGTATCAGAAATACAATCCTTACAAATCCATTATGAAATATTAAATTTTAGCTTAGGCTATGCTCAATTTTAATAATCTTTAAGAATTTAATATTAAATAATAAAAGATATTTTCATATAGCTACAAAAAATGTAGATATATTCTAATGCCCTCGTGGTGTCACAGGTAAGAAAATGCATATTCTCATACATGGCAGAGTAGTATTAATCTTCACCCTCAAGATCAATTGAGAAAAAAAATACCATGAAGCTATGTACCTTAAAATGGAGCAAACACTGCAATTTCAACTTGAGAAAACATATCCAGTGAATTACACATCTGGTTATTAAAACTCAGATGTTAGGTTTTTGAAGGTTGGTTAATAGATAATACAATTGAACCAATTTTTTAAAATACATGGATTTTTTTAAGTAAAAATTGACCCCTCATTCCTATTGAGTAAATCATTCATAAATACCATTTTCAGTGTCTCATCTTCCAGCAAAGAAACCACTGCTTCATATTTGTGAAGCAGTGGTTTTTAGATTTTCCTGAGTCACAGACTCTTTTGAGAAACTGAAGTTATAGATTTCTTAAATGCAAAATGCTTTATGGCAGGCCAATGTGCAAATTACGTATATCAAAATGGCAAAGGAATATATTTGTATAGATATTTCCATGTGTATACATAAATAACAAATATTATAAGATCAATCCTAAAATAATGAGTTACTTATTTCCTGTTGGAAGGTTTTCAAGATTCCATCTTATTTTGATAATACATTTTATACAAAGTTCTGGCTCCCAAAATAAGAAACTCTATAGCATAATGAATGTAAACGAGTTCTGCAGAAAACCTGTTGAGTACAGAAAATCAACATTAATAAACTCAATTTGGTTTTAAATGCGTGTTATTTCAATGCAAAGTAATTAAGATTTTAAAATAAAATTTTCATATTATTTCTATCTTTCTTATAATTTATCTTTAGTACTTACAAATAATTTTGCTCATTATCAGTAAGTTCATTTTCTGTACATAAAGTAAATAAAATTGAGAAATTTTGATATCTTCAAACTTATTGTCTTTCAGTCCTACGGTTCCATCTTTATATTTTAAAACATTACCCAGTTGTCCTTCACATGAGGGACACAACCCTCTTGTCCTCTACTACCTCCTCTTGCAGATCTCAGACTTCCTGAAGGGCTCCTGTTTCTCCAGGAAGGTGGTGATCTCCACCTACCATCACTTTGAAAAGATGTTTTCTTGACTTGTTCTACTTTTATTGCTTTTCCATCCAAAGACCAAAAGTATTAACTGTCCTATCAATAACACTGTCACATTTAACCAAACACATTTTACAAACATTTTTGCATCCACTATATTTCAGTTCTAGATGTTTTCTCCCAAAGCAAATATATTTTTTTTCTGAAATGATGATGTCTTTCACAGTGCCAAATTTGAGATGTTTACTGACCACATACCTTCCATTAAGGGATCAAACACAAATTCTGTTATTCAAATTCCTTGAAAAGTTTTCCAGTATTAAAAACATCATCTCAAAAAAAATTAGCCCATCACCCATCTATGGGATAATGTAGCACATCTCTTTTTTCCAATGTATGATCTACTTCATCTTTGTAGTCACATCACTTATTTAATTGTTTCAGTGTCCCAAGGGTATATGTAATAATGTGTCATCTAATAAAAAGATTATTTATTCCAAGTGATTAGCCATATTATTCATTCTGAATTGTTTCTTGTTTGTTCTGCTAATACTTACATAAAATGTCCCAATATGATTTACAATTCTATATTTAGTCTAGTTCTGTTTCTGTAACTGTGATCCTTCCTTGGTCTCATTCAGATTTTTTGCCTTACTCATTTATTATCTTGCCTTAGAAGAGTCCCTAATAAATGACTCTTAATATAGTACTTCATGTTATTTCTCAGAAATGCTTAAATGTTCTAATTAATTTCATAATAACTTTCTTCAGTTTAATCTTTTCTATAGGCTAAGGTAATTTTTGAAAAAAAATGTCAGCAAAAATTGTATTTAAAAATGGCATTGCTTTGTTTTTGGGGGAAGATCTTAAATCCTTTCCAAGACCTCTTGCAGTTACATAGGCAGTCGTTTCAACCTTGGGACTTCTTTTGTTATTTCTGGGCCCAAAATATGTTCCCCAGATTTGCACATGACTGCTTCCTTCCCAGTATTCGGAAGTCAACCAAACTTTCTTAAACTGTTCATTCCCCCTGAAACCTCTAAGTACTTCCTTTATTTCCATTCTTAACTTTTGTGTGCATATTACATTTATATTTGTTCTTACACAATAAGATATGTTAGATGAAGTAATTTAGAATTTCTACAGAAATCATCTGTTCTTGTGCTTGAAAACTTTGAGGAAAAAGAAATTATTACTATACATCAGTCAAAATTATTTCCATACCTAACACCAAACCATGAGCAACTTTCAGTTTCTACCCAAATTTAAAATATGAAAGTATAAAGGTGAATAAAAATGTACTTTCTTCGATGAACCAGGAAGTGTGCTAGATGTACCAGAAATAAAAGCAACTAGGAAAACTTAAATATGCACTAAAGACAATTATCAACAGATTAATACATGGTACAGTGAGGACAAAATACCCACAATATAAAATAAAGAAGAAAATGTAAAATCTAAGCTGTCTTTGAAGCATAAGTTGCTATTTGTGAGACATATGCCAGGAAGAATAACTCTTAAGAAGTCCGAAAAAGCATATTGGTGAAAGCATGAAGAGTAACGGGAACTAAAAAGAGACTGAGATGATGTTATAAAACAAAACAGCTCCAACGTACCCAGAATGCAATGATTTTGATGGTAATACAAAGGAATTCAGTAGGTAATAGAATTATAAAAAGGTTTACAGCTGTAATAAACACACAATCCCTAGAATTTAAGATTCAGTAAGACAGAGACAATTGGTTGGATCAAAATAAGTCCTCAAACACACTGGTAAAATGAGTCATTAGGTATTCATGTTACATAAATCACTCTGGTGACAGGATAAAAATGATTTTAGGAGAAAAAGAGCAAGGATGGGGCAGAAATGCCAGTTAGTAGTTCTGTTACCCAACTTCAATGTACTCATATTATTTTCTACTTTCAAGTACTTAACATTTCCTTAAATGTAAAGGTCTTGTTTAAATACACTTGCTTAAGAATGTACTTTCAGAAAATGAGAAAGAATCTTTCCTTCTTGTGAGTCGGTCTAGATGTCTCTCTGTATAAGATTTCCATCTTGTAAGTCCGTCTACCTGTCTATCCATAGTTTGTCTATGCTATAGAAGTATTTCCATGAATTGGAAGTAATTCCATTAATAGAATTTAATAAATGCTGATTTATTTATCTCACTTTTGTGAGGGTTCCTTCTAAGTTTTAAAGCTGCTTGAAAGCTTTGAAAATCTATTTATACTTGTATTTAAATACTAACATACAAATAAGATTACCATATATTGATTTATGTAACATTTATTCCAATATCCTTCCAACTACCGTTGCACTTAGATGACCAAAAGAAGAGGATGGCTAAAGCATTTCAGATCATATGACATTATGCTATCTTCAAAAGTTTAGTAATATGAAAAAGACCTTGAAATTCTGTTAAGTGAGGAACAGTTAGGATATTATTAATAAGGGACTCTTACGTTTCCCTTCATATCTTTGACAGCATTCTTAGCATCTGCAGGTTTTCAAAATAAGTACAAAGCATCTGAAGTTGCTGGTTTCCCAATCATTTATCAAAAGAACTAAAATATATGAAAACATTTTACATTTATATAATGGACTCACCATAGTACTAACAAACCAAAAAAATTGCATTTCACATCATTACTATGATTTTTAATACTAAGTCACCTCTGTATTCAGCCTATTTTATTCCAATTTGCTCCCTACCTCCACAACATATGTACTTTTGCTCAGTTTCCTTTCTCAGTAGTAGGTAACCTTTACCAAAGAACCTTCGCCTGCTGCCATAAGAATTTTCCCAGTATCGAAAAGAAACTTGAAAATAACACTTTAAAACAAATATATATTTTAATTTATGTATTCAGTAAATATACTGAGTATATATTTACTTTGGAAAATATATATATAACCAACACACACACACACACACACACACACACACACACATATATATATATATAACAGTTGCCTTCCAGTATGGGACCATATTTCCCAAATACTGCTTTAAGCATCTTTTCATTGGTTTCTAAACGGAGGCCACCAATGAAAAGCTTGCCAGGCTGATCTGATTCCACCATTTTGCTGTAAATGGTAAAAAATAAAAAATAAAAAAATAAAAAACTCTAGATAACAATAAATAAGCCAAAAGATAAAATTTTATTACATACTGTGTTGAAAACTCTAGGGAAATTCCCTTACGGAGGCTGACATCTTTCTACTATTTCTTAATTTAAGTAGTTAAAATTTGTAACATGCAGAGCGAAAGGGGCAGTGACTTCATGGACAAATGCTGCATTTTAATACGTACCTGACAAAAACTTGTTTGTAAAAATGAGATGAGAAAAGCTATTGTAATTTTCTTAAGCTGTAATACGCAGAATGCCCCATTTAAATAATTCTATTTGAAAACTATATATTTATACAGTACAATGTGATGTTTTGTGTTTTTTTTTTCTTGAGATGTCAATTTCCTATTGCCAATGTGCACTGCTCACTGCAGCCTCCTCTACCGAGCCTCAAGTGATCCTCCCACGTTTCAGCTTCCCAAATAGCTAGGACTACAGGAGATCACTATCACAGCTTGTAGGCATTTTTTTTGTGTGTTTCTTTAACAGACACGGTTTCCCCATGGTACCCAAGCTGGTCTCGAACTCCTGGGCTCAAGCGATCTTCTGGCCTGGTGCCACCAAGGTGATGAGACTTGAAGGGTGAATGTCCACGCCCAGCTTGATATTTTAATAAATGATTAAATCAAGTTAAATAAAATACATGCTTTCTTCGGGGAGAATATTTTAAATTGTTTGCAATATTTTAGTGATTTGAAATATACAATAGATCAGGGATCCCCAAACCCTGGTCTCCAACCGGTATCTGTCTGTGGCCTGTTAGGAACCTGGCTGCAGAACAGGTGGTGAACCTCTGGCACTGCCTGAGCCCCGCCTCCTGTCAGATCAGCGAAGACATTGGGTTCTCACAGGAGTAAGAGCCCTACTGTGAACTGCGCATACGAGGATCTAGGTGGCGCTCTCCCTAGAAGATTGTAATGCCTGAGTGTGACCTGAGGTGGAACAGTTTCATCCAGAATCCATCCTCCCTATTCCCCGCTGGCCTGCCCTGTCCCCCTCGCAGCCCCGCTGTCCCACCACTGCCCCCCGTCACACTGCTCTGGCCTGAAACCCCTTCCTACACTGTACTCCTCCTGGAACGGCCGCCCCCAACCTCCCCAAGGTGTCCACCTCACCACCTTCTCCCCCTGCTCTCCTCTTGTCTGTGGAAAAATGCCTTCCACTAAACCTGTCCCTGGTGCCAAAATGGCAATAAATTAAAGGAGCTCATTATATTATGCAGGATGGTCTCCAACTCGTGATTCCAAGCCATCCTCACACCTCCTCTTCCCAAAATAGTAGGATTACAAGAGTAAGTCAGTGTGCCAAGTTAGTAGAATAACTTAAACGCATTTATTTTTTCTCCGTTTTAGGATATCACCATTTATCTCGATTACACCCACTTATTCGGTTTAAATTACTTACGGTGCCAGAGATAAATGAAACATGTTTCAAATACTGTCATACAATGAAGGAGACAAAGGCTTTTCGGAGACAAATTTAAACTGAGATTATTTGTGGCCCCAGATTTCCTCATAACACTAAAGTAACGCAATTTGTCAAAAGTTCATAATTCCTCTCAAGCAAATCACAAATTTGACATGTGATGAGTAAAAGTACCAGTTTTTAATCAAATGGTTAAGTATATTGTCGATTTATTTGAATTATGACCACATTCACAGAGAAAAAACGCTTTAACAAAAAGTGCACATGAAAAAAATGGCGCCCTAGCTCCGTCTCCCACAGCTTGCTGGCATGTCGGAAATTTACGACGGTAAAGGGAAGAATCCTCAAGAAAAATCAGTGAGTTTAACAAAAGTGAGTTTCTTAATAGCACTAAGGAGTTCTCTCCCTACTGTTTCTTCCCATAATTCAACACCCACACATTGAAAACCCATCCTCCTGAATAGACAAAATCCAAAAACTTCAGGGTCTTTGTATTCATGCCAAGAAACGAATCTGTGCAAAGAAACATAAAATAAAGCTGCTTTTTGGTAGCACAAACTGATATCCAACACTTTCAGATATACAGTTGTACTCATAAACATAAGTCCACACCCAATAACAATTATAACATTTCTTAACATTTGCCAAAAAAAAAGCCTGAGAGAAATGGTCTTTACCACATTTCATCTATTTGCAGGAGATGACTTAGACATTAACTCTTTCTCCTGAGATAAAAACATGTCCACTCTGCTTAAATTTATGAATTTTTTACCTCATTTTCCTGATTTTCTGAGAACACCCGTACGCGACCCCCTGTCACCAGGGGCTGAAGGAACAGTAGAGGCTAGAGGCATACCCAGCTAAAAAGCTTAGAAACTCGGATGTACCACCCGCCGCGAGAGCCGCAGAGGAAGCAGGGAAAGAGGAGCATAACATAAATCAAAGGAAGGGTGGCCCAAGAAACTTCTGTATTTAAAAAAAATAAGGAAAGAAAATTAAAATGCCAAAATACGTTATACATTGTTTTCATTTTTTACTGTCTTCAACTGTGGTAGTCTGATCAACCTTAAAAGAAGTATTTTTATTATGAAATAGTCATCCATGTTTCATCCCCCTCTCAAATATTAGCAATAAGCTCACTCTACATGGTGTCTGCTTATTTTGTAAAATAATGCATAAAGGGGAAAAATAATAATTAAATTTAAAGAAGTTTACAAGAAGCAAGCAATAATGAGTAAAATAACATTAAAAGAAAGCGAGAAAAATAAATCAATTAGGAATGTAAAGTTTCCAAATCTTAATCTTGTATCTTCTCTTTTTGGTTGTCATATATATTTGGAGACCTTATTTTATTTGCTTAGTAGATAAATGCAGTGATTTGACCCAAACTACCAAAATTAAAAATATATATATACACACATAGGCAATTTCTCTGTCCTCAATTTGTGTATAATAAATAGCATTCTTCATTAACAGAGCTCTAGTAAAATAAATATTTTATTTATGTTCCTGAAAAAAATATTTTATTAGCTGAACGACTGTATTTTCCATGGTAAAATTATTTCATTCTATGAATTGTGTTGCAAAATAAAAGGTAACTTAAGAAAATACTTTTAAATATCTATGCAATGCAAACCAAACTTATTTTTCTGAGTTTGTCTATAAATTGTGCGTACCAGAATTTAAAAGAACATTTCTTTAAAAAGTGCTTACTTATAAGCCACATTTTAAGTGCTTTATATTAATTTAACAAATTAAAACCTATACATTGTATACTCACACTTATGAACTACTTAGTTCACAAAGTATACCATAACAATATAGAGCTGACTGTGTCTGCATAAATATTTTAATTTATCTTTTCAATATTTTCTTTTCTGATGAATAACCTAACAGTAAAAGCATGCTCTGAAGGTAAAGATATTCTTACATGTTTACGTATATTTTAGAAAAATGTTTCTTAAATTATGGCTACAAATCTATTGGCATTATTAGTTTCTTTCTTTTTTTATTACACTTTAAGTTTTAGGCTACATGTGCACAACGTGCACGTTTGTTACATATGTATACATGTGCCATGTTGGTGTGCTGCACCCATTAACTCATCATTTACGTTAGGTGTATCTCCTAATGCTATCCCTCCCCCCTCCCCCAACCCTCCACCCCACAACAGGCCCTGGTGTGTGATGTTCCCCTTCCTGTGTCCAAGTGTTCTCATTGTTCAGTTCCCATCTATGAGTGAGAACATGTGGTGTTTGGTTTCTGTCCTTGTGGTAGTTTGCTGAGAATGATGATTTCCAGCTTCATCCATGTCCCTGCAAAGGACAAGAACTCATCCATGTCCCTGCAAAGACATGAACTCATCCTTTTTTATGGCTGCACAGTATTCCATAGTGTATATGTGCCACATTTTCTTAATCCAGTCTATCATTGTTGGACATTTGGGTTGGTTCCAAGTCTGCTATTGTGAATGATGCCGCAATAAACATACGTGTGCATGTGTCTTTATAGCAACATGATTTATAATCTTTTGGGTGTATACCCAGTAATGGGATGGCTGGGCCGAATGGTATTTCTAGTTCCAGATCCCTGAGGAATCACCACACTGACTTCCACAATGGTTGAGCTAGTTTACAGTCCCACCAACAGTGTAAAAGTGTTCCTATTTCTCCACATCCTCTCCAGCACCTGTTGTTTCCTGACTTTTTAATGAACTCCATTCTAACTGGTGTGAGATGGTATCTCATTGTGGTTTTGATTTGCATTTCTCTGATGGCCCGTGATGATGAGCATTTTTTCATGTGTCTTTTGGCTGCATACATGTCTTCTTCTGAGAAGTGTCTGTTCATATCCTTCGCCCGCTTTTTGAAGGGGTTGTTTGTTTTTTTCTTGTAAATTTGTTTGAGTTCTTTGTAGATTCTGGATATTAACCCTTTGTCAGATGAGTAGATTGCAAACATTTTCTCCCATTCTGTAGGTTGCCCGTTTGCTCTTTTGGTAGTTTCTTTTGCTGTGCAGAAGCGCTTTAGTTTCATTAGGTCCCATTTGTGAATTTTGGCTTGTGTTGTCATTGCTTCTTGTGTTTTAGACATGAAGTCCTTACACATGACTATGTCCTGAATGGTATTGCCTAGGTTTTCTTCTAGGATTTTTCTGGTTTTAGGTCTAACATTTAGGTCTTTAACCCATCTTGAATTAATTTTTGTGTAAGGTGTAAGGAAGGGATCCAGTTTCCGCTTTCTATATATGGCTAGTTAGTTTTCCTAGCACCATTTATTAAATAGGGAATCCTTTTCCCATTTCTTTTTCTTTCTCAGGTTTGTCAAAGGTCAGATAGTTGTAGATGTGTGGCATTATTTCTGAGGTCTCTGTTCTGTTCCATTGGTCTATATCTCTGGTTTGGTACCAGTACCATGCTGTTTTGGTTACTGTAGCCTTGTAGTGTAGTTTGAAGTCAGGTAGCATGATGCCACCAGCTTTGTTCTTTTGGCTTAGGATTGGCCTGGCAGTGCGGGCTCTTTTTTGGTTCCATATGAACTTTAAAGTAGTTTTTTTCCAATTCTGTGCGGAAAGTCATTGGTAGCTTGATGGGCATGGCACTGAATCTGTAAATTACCTTGGGCAGTATGGCCATTTTCACGATATTGATTCTTCCTACCCATGAGCATGGAATGTTCTTCCATTTGTTTGTATCCTCTTTTATTTAATTGAGCAGTGGTTTGTAGTTCTCCTTGAAGTGGTCCTTCACATCCCTTGTAAGTTGGATTCCTAGGTATTTTATTCTCTTTGAAGCAATTGTGAATGGGAGTTCACTCATGATTTGGCTCTCTTTGTCTGTTATTGGTGTATAAGAATGCTTGTGATTTTTGCACATTGATTTTGTATCCCGAGGTTTTGCTGAGGTTGCTTATCAGCTTAAGAAGATTTTGGGCTGAGACAATAGGGTTTTCTAGATATACAATCCTGTCATCTGCAAACAGGGACAATTTGACTTCCTGATTTCCTAATTGAATACCTTTTATTTCCTTCTCCTGCCTGACTGCCCTGGCCAGAAATTCCTACACTATGTTGAATAGGAGTGGTGAGAGAGGGAATCCCTGTCTTGTGCCCGTTCTCAAAGGGAATGCTTCCAGTTTTTGCCCATTCGGTATGATATTGGCTGTGGGTTTGTCATAAATAGCTCTTATATTTCGAGATACATCTCATCACTACTGAATTTATTGAGAGTTTTTAGCATGAAGGGCTGTTGAATTTTGTCGGAGGCCTTTTCTGCATCTATTGGTATAGTCATGCGTTTTTTGTCTTTGGTTTGGTTTATATGCTGGGTTACATTTATTGATTTGCATATGTTGAACCAGATTTGCATCCCAGGGATGAAGCCCACTTGATCATGGTGGATAAGCTTTTTGATGTGTTGCTGGATTCAGTTTGCCAGTATTTTATTAAGGATTTTTGCATCTGTGTTCATCAGGGATATTGGTCTAAAATTCTCTTTTTTGTTTGTGTCTCTGCCAGGCTTTGGTATCAGGATGATGTTGGTCTCATACAATGAGTTAGGGAGGATTTCCTCTTTTCCTGTTGATTGGAATAACTTCAGAAGGAATGGTACCAGCTCCTCCTTGAGCCTCTGGTAGAATTAGGCTGTGAATCCATCTGTTCCTGTATTTTTTCGCTTGGTAAGCTATTAATTGTCGCTCAATTTCAGAGCCTGTTATTGGTCTATTCAGAGATTCAGCTTCATCATTTTTCAGTCTTGGGAGGTGTATGTGTTGAGGAATTTATACATTTCGTCTTGATTTTCTAGTTTATTTGCCTAGAGGTGTTTATAGTATTGTGTGATTGTAGTTTGTATTTCTGTGGGATCGGTCGTGATATCCCCTTTATCACTTTTTATTGCATCTATCGATTCTTCTCTCTTTTCTTCTTTATTAGTCTTGCTAGCAGTCTATCAGTTTCATTGATCTTTTCAAAAAAAAACAGCTCCTGGATTCATTGATTTTTTTGAAAGGTTTTTTGTGTCTCTGTCTCCTTCAATTCTGCTCTGATCTTAGTTTTTTCTTGCCTTCTGCTAGCTTTTGAATGTGTTTACTATTGCTTCTCTAGTTCTTTTAATTGTGATGTTAGGGCGTCAATTCTAGATCTTTCCTACTTTCTCTTGTGGGCATTTAGTGCTATAAGTTTCTGTGTACAAAATGCTTTAACTGTGTCCCTGAGATTCTGGTATGTTGTGTCTTTGTTCCCATTGGTTTCAAAGAACATCTTTATTTCTGCCTTCATTTTGTTATGTACCCAGTAGTCATTCAGGAACAGGTTGTTCAGTTTCCGTGCAGTTGAGCAGTTTTGAGTGAATTTCTTAATCCTGAGATCTAGTTTGATTGCACTGTGGTCTGAGAGACAGTTTGTTATAATTTCTGTTCTTCTACATTTGCTGAGGAGTGCTTTACTTCCAACTATGTGGTCAATTTTGGAATAGGTGTGGTGTGGTGCTGAGAAGAATGCATAGTCTGTTGATATGGGGTGGAGAGTTCTGCAGATGTCTATTAGGTCTGCTTGGTGCAGAGCCAAATTCAATTCCTGGATATCCTTGTTAACCTTCTGTCTCATTGATCTGTCTAATGTTGACAGTGGGGTGTTAAGATCTCCCATTATTATTGTGTGAGGGTCTAAGTCTCTTTGTAGGTGTCTAAGGACTTGCTTTATGAATCTGGGTGCTCCTGTATTGGGTGCATATATATTTAGGATAGTTAGCTCTTCTTGTTGAATTCATCCCTTTACCATTATGTCATGGCTTTATTTGTCTCTTTTGTTCTATGTTGGTTTACGGTCTGTTTTATCAGACTAGGATTACAACCCCTGCCATTTTTTGTTTTCCCTTTTCTTGATAGATATTCCACCATCCCTTTATTTTGAGCCTATGTGTGTCTCTGCACGTGAGATGGGTTTCCTAAATACAGCACACTGATGGTTCTTGACTCTTTATCCAATTTGCCAGTCTGTGTCTGTTAATTGGAGCATTTAGCCCATTTACATATAAGGTTAATATTGTTATGTGTGAATTTGATCCTGTCATTATGGTGTTAACTGATTATTTTGCTCATTAGATGATGCAGTTTCTTTGTAGCATTGATGGTCTTCACAATCTGGCATATTTTTGCAGTGGTAGGTCCCAATTTTTCCTTACCATGTTGAGTGCTTCCTTCAGGAGCTCTTGTAGGGCAGGTCTAGTGCTGACAAAATCTCAAAGCATTTTCTTCTTTGTAAAGTATTTTATTTCTCCTTCACTTATGAAACTTAGTTTAGCTGGATATGAAATTCTGGGTTGAAAATTCTTTCCTTTAAGAATGTTGAATATTGGCCCCCATTCTCTTCTGGCTTGTAGAGTTTCTGCTGAGAGGTCAGCTGTTAGTCTGATGGGCTTCCCCATGTGGGTAACCCGACCTTTCTCTCTGGTTGACCTTAACATTTTTTCCTTCATTTCAACTTTGGTGAATCTGACAATTATATATCTTGGAGTTGCTCTTCTCGAGGATTATCTTTGTGGCATTCTCTGTATTTCCTGAATTTGAATGTTGGCCTGCCTTGCTAGATTGGGGAAGTTCTCTGGGATAATATCCTGCAGAGTGTTGTCCAACTTGGTACCATTCTCCCCATCACTTTCAGGTACACCAATCAGACATAGATTTGGTCTTTTCACATAGTCCCATATTTCTTGGAGGCTTTGTTCATTTCTTTTTTTTTTTCATTATTATTATACTTTAAGTATTAGGGTACATGTGCACAATGTGCAGGTTAGTTACATATGTGTACATGTGCCATGCTGGTGTGCTGCGCGCATATACTCGTCATTTAGCATTAGGTGCTCCCCCTCCCCCCTCCCCCAACCCCACAAAAAGTCACCAGAGTGTGATGTTCCCCTTCCTGTGTCCATGTGTTCACATTGTTCAATTCCCACCTATGAGTGAGAATATACAGTGTTTGGTTTTTTGTTCTTGCAATAGTTTACAGAGAATGGTGATTTCCAATTTCATCCATGTCCTTAAAAAGGACATGAACTCATCATTTTTTATGGCTGCATAGTATTCCATGGTGTATAAGTGCCACATTTTCTTAATCCAGTCTATCATTGTTGGACATTTGGGTTGGTTCCAAGTCTTTGCTATTGTGAATAGTGCCACAATAAACATATGTGTTCATGTGTCTTTAAAGCAGTATGATTTATAGTCCTTTCGGTATATACCCAGTAATGGGATGGCTGGGTTGCATGGTATTTCTAGTTCTAGATCCCTGAGGAATCACCACACTGACTTCCACAATGGTTCAACTAGTTTACAGTCCCACTAACAGTGTAAAAGTGTTCCTATTTCTGCACATCTTCTCCAGCACCTGTTGTTTCCTGACTTTTTAATGATCTCCATTCTAACTGGTGTGAGATGGTATCTCATTGTGGTTTTGATTTGCATTTCTCCAGTGGGCTTCATCCCTGGGATGCAAGGCTGGTTCAATATATGCAAATCAATAAATGTAATCCAGCATATAAACAGAACCAAAGACAAAAACCACACGATTATCTCAATAGATGCAGAAAAGGCCTTTGACAAAATTCAACAATGCTTCATGCTAAAAACTCCCAATAAATTAGGAATTGATGGGATGCATCTGAAAATAATAAG
Source organism: Homo sapiens (assembly GCF_000001405.40). Classification (NCBI taxonomy): domain Eukaryota; kingdom Metazoa; phylum Chordata; class Mammalia; order Primates; family Hominidae; genus Homo; species Homo sapiens. Next base: position 22,778,927 of record NC_000024.10, read on the forward strand.
AGTTATCTATAACAAGACCACAGCCAATATCATACTGAATTGGCAAAAACTGGAAGCATTCTCTTTGAAAACTGGCAAAAGACAGGGATGCCCTCTCTCACCACTCCTATTCAACATAGTGTTGGAAGTTCTGGCCAGGGTAATTAGGCAGGAGAAGGAAATAAAGGGTATTCAATTAGGAAAAGAGGAATTCAAATTGTCCCTGTTTATGGATGACATGATTGTATATCTAGAAAACCCCATCATCTCAGCCCAAAATCTCCTTAACCTGATAAGCAACTTCAGCAAAGTCTCAGGATACAAAATCAATGTACAAACATCAGAAGCATTCTTATACACCAATAACAGTCAAACAGAGAGCCAAATTATGAGTGAATACTTATTCACAATTGCTTCAAAGAGAATAAAATACCTAGGAATCCAACTTACAAGAGACGTGAAGGACCTCTTGAAGGAGAACTACAAACCACTGTTCAATGAAATAAAAGAGGATACAAAGAAATGGAAGAACATTCCATGCTCATGGGTAGGAAGAATCAATATCGTGAAAATGGCCATACTGCCCAAAGTAATGTCTAGATTCAATGCCATCCCCATCAGGCTACCAATGACTTTCTTCACAGAATTGGAAAAAACTACTTTAAAGTTCATATGGAACCAAAAAAGAGCCCACATCGCCAAGTCAATCCTAAGCCAAAAGAACAAAGCTGGAGGCATCACGCTTTCTGACTTCAAACTATACTACAAGGCTACAGTAACCAAAACAGCATGGTACTGGTACCAAAACAGAGACGTAGATCGATGGAACACAACAGAGCCCTTAGAAATAATGCCACTTATCTATAACTATCTGATCTTTGACAAACCTGAGAAAAACAAGCAATGGGGAAAGGATTCCATATTTAATAAATGGTGCTGGGAAAACTGGCTAGCCATATGTTGAAAGCTGAAACTGGATCCCTTCCTTACACCTTATACAAAAATTAATTCAAGATGGATCAAAGACTTAAATGTTAGACCTAAAACCATAAAAAACCCTAAAAGAAAACCTAGGCATTACCATTCAGGACATAGGCATGGGCAAGGACTTCATGCATAAAACACAAAAAGCAATGGCAACAAAAGCCAAAATTGACAAATGGGATCTAATTAAACTAAAGAGCTTCTGCACAGCAAAAGAAACTACCATCAGAGTAAACAGGCAGCCTACAAAATGGGAGAAAATTTTCACAACCTACTCATCTGACAAAGGGCTAATATCCAGAATCTACAATGAACTCAAACAAATTTTCAAGAAAAAAACAAACAACCCCATCAACAAGTGGGCGAAGGACATGAACAGACACTTCTCAAAAGAAGACATTTATGCAGCCAAAAAACACATGAAAAAATGCTCACCATCACTGGCCATCAGAGAAATGTTCATTTCTTTTCATACTTTTTTCTCTAAACTTCTCTTCTTGCTTCATTTCATTCATTTGAACTTCCATCACTGATACCCTTTCTTCCATTTGATTGACTCGACTACTGAAGCTTGTGCATTCATCACGTAGTTCTTGTGCCATGGCTTTCAGCTCCATCAGTTCCTTTAAGGACTTCTGTGCCTTGGTTATTCTAGTTAGCCATTTGTCTAATCTTTTTTCAAGGTTTCTAACTCCTTTGCCATGGGTTTGAACTTCCTCCTTTAGCTCAGAGAAGTTTGATCATCTGAAGCCTTCTTCTCTCTACTTGTCATGTCATTCTCCATCCAGCTTTGTTCCATTGCTGGTGAGGTGTTGCATTCCTTTGGAGGAGGAGAGGCACTCTGATTTTAGAATTTTCAGTTTTTCTGCTCTGCTTTTTCCCCATCTTTGTGGTTTTATCTACCTTTGGTCTTTGATGATGATAACGTACAGATGGGGTTTTGGTGTTGATGTCCTTTCTGTTTGTTAGTTTTCCTTCTAACAATCACCACCCTCAGCTGCAGGTTGGTGGAAGTTTGCGGAGGTCCACTCCAGACTCTGTGTGTGTGGGTATCAGCAGCGGAGACTGCAGAACAGTGGGTATTGGTGAACAGCAAATGTTGCTGCCTGATTGTTCCTCTGGAAGTTTTGTCTCAGAGGGGTACCTGACCACATGAGGGGTCAGTCTGCCCCTACTGGGGGGTGCCTCCCAGTTAGGCTACTCGAGGGTCAGGGACCCAGTTGCGGAGGCAGTCTGTCCGTTCTCAGATCTCAAGCTGCATTCTGGGAGAAGAACTACTGTCTTCCAAGCTGTCAGACAGGGACATTTAAGTCTGCAGGGGTTTCAGCTGCCTTTTGTTGGGCTATGCCCTGCCCCCAGAGGTGGAGTCTACAGAGGCAGGCAGGCCTCCTTGAACTGTGGTGGGCTCCATCCAGTTTGAGCTTCCCAGCCACTTTGTTTACCTGCTCAAGCCTCAGCAATGGTGGGAACCCCTTCCCCAGCCTCGCTGCTGCCTTGCAGTTTGATCTCAGACTGCTGTGCTAGCAATGAGTGAGGCTCCATTGGTGTAGGACCCTCTGAGCCAGGCACAGGTTATAATCTCCTGGTGTGCCATTTGCTAAGACCATTGGAAAAGTGCAGTATTAGGGTGGGAGTGACCTTGTTTTCCAGGTGCCCTCTGTCACCCCTTTCCTTGGCTAGGAAAGGGAATTCCCTGACCCCTTGAGCTTCCTGGGTGAAGCAATGCCTCACCCTGCTTTGGCTCATGCTCAGTGCACTGCACCCACTGTCCTGCACCCACTCTCTGACAATCACCAGTGAGATGAACCTGGTACCTCAGTTGGAAATGCAGAAATCATCCACGTTCTGCATCACTCACGCTGGGTGCTGTAGACCAGAGCTGCTCCTATTTGGCCATCTTGTAACCACCCCCTGTTAGTTTCTTTCTTACCAAAACCCACTGTAGCATTTTCTTCTCATATTCTTTTTGTCACATTCTTAGCAGAAGAACATTGATTTGACTATGGCTCTCTCTACATTATTGTTACCCTTTTTCCATTTTGAACAGATAATTGTTCCCTTTGTATTCATTGATATTTACTTGATGGAATGCATTTATTAATGTTATATGTAACTGAGTAGTATATACTTAATTGTTAACTAATACAAATAATTAGTAAGTTAGCTAGTGAGACTACAGCACAGGAAAAATAGATATGTAAATTATACATTATGGTTGATGCCATAAGATGTATGAGAAAATGTCTCAGTATTTTTTTAAAAGAGGATACACATAATGTCATTTTCTAAATAATGATAAGGATCAACCTCTTTGATAAAATATCTACATATATTTTACACCAAGTTCATTTTTAGAAGTCCCATAACATTCGTATAATTTTTGTTAGGCCTAATTTGCAAAACAGGAAACTTAAGTTACAAGCCTTTAAAAGGTACACAGTTTTAGGAATCTATTACTAAAAAAATTGATTTAAACCAACAAACCTTCCCTCTATAAATATTTTCTTCTTAAAGAAAACTGTCTCTTATAAAGACATTGTAAAAAACAAGATTGAAAATGATTTTTAATCTATTACATATACTTCCAAGAAACATTTTCTAGGCAGAGATAAAACATGTGGAGATGAATGGAGTCATTATAATCCATGTGGTGGAAGGAAAAGCAAAAACACAAATACAGAATTATATTTACTGGGAGGATATGCAGAAACATGCAATGTTACAAGTAAAAATCTACTCGGTGGAATAACCTGCCTTTTTTTGTGATCAGTGAAATAGGACTAAATACACAAAGATCAAGGAATGTCACTAAATACACAAAGATCAAGTGGACACAGGGAGAGAGTGCAAGATCACGAAACATCTTGCTTGCCATGCAAATAGGCTACTTTTTTTAGGGCAGCGGTTAAAAATCATTTGACCAAAAGCTTGGTGTCTACCAGATGGTATAATGCATGTGGTGATTTGTACAATATAAAGTTTGGCAAACCAAGAAAAATCTAACCTTCACCACTTAATAGCTGTGTGAAGTTAGACTGCTTAATCTTTGAAATTTACCCAATCAGCAAAGAGAATATAATAACGGTATCTACTGGATATTAGTATCATAAGATTAAAATTTACTGAGCTCACTATGTGCAACATAGTTTAGGGCTAAAAAATCTATAGAATTGTAATTACATTTATATTCAGTGAGACCTAGAGGTTTACTTGCAATCCTGCTTTCCTTAGTGACTGGTCAAAGCTACACAAAATATATTTAAAAAATTGTGTTGCTTCTGATGTTTCACATCAAGTAAAACACCCAATTGTTTAATTATATTATTATATACTTACACTTAGACATGCCTAAACAAGGAAGACAAGGAAATGAAGAAACACACATGCATGAGTACACACACATACACACACACACACACACACACACACACATTGAAAGAATAACAAGAGAATAATTTAACAAGAGAAAGAAACATGAAAGAATTATAAGAAATCTTTGCACTATTATAGTGATGTGGAAAATAAGATGACAGATAATTTCAGAAAACACATGATTTATCAAGAATTGTTTGGAAAGAAAAACCCTATCTGTAGGCCCAGGTTGTTGGCTTAAGCCTGTAATTCCAGCACATTGGGAGGCCAAGGGGAGCCAGATGACTTGAGGCCAGGTGTTCCAGGCCAGCCTGGGCAAAAAGGTGAAACTCTGTCTCTACCAAAAACACATACAATTAGCTGGGAGTAGTGGCATGAGACTGTGGTCCCCGCTACAGGTGGTGAGCTGGGAGAATCCTTTACACCCAGGAGGTGGAGTTTGTACTAAGCGAAGATCATGCCACTGCACTCTGGACTGGGTGATACAGCATGACCCAGTCTCAAAAACAAAACAAAACAAGTAAACACACTAAATACCAAACTCGTATATAATGAATCCTAGGGAATAAACCTGAAAAACCTGCTTAGGCATCACTATTTTGCTGACAAATTATTCCTTCTTCATTTCCCTTTTTTCTTTTTCTTTTTTCCTTCCCTTCCCTTGTCTACTCTTTCTTTTCCTTTCTCCCTTCCTTCCTTCTTTTCTTCTTTTGTTTGCTCTTTTTTTTTTTTTTTTTTTTGAGACAGGGTCTCTGTCCCCGGGCTGTAGTGCAGTGGTTCCATCATAGCTCACTGCAGCCTCCCAATTCCAAGTCTCACGTATCCTTTTCCTTTGCCTCCCCAATAGTTAAGACTAAGGGAATGAGCATATGAAAGGATGATAACCATCATATATTATTGGGTAGTTGTGAATGTGATAATAAATTAAACATTAAATAGCAAAAATTCTAAAAACTGATAACAGCAAATTTAGAAGAATGTCTGGTAGGCTTTGTTTTCTTTTAACAAAACTAAACACTCTCTCAATCTCATCCAGCGGTCTTGCTTCTTGGAATTTTTCCAACTAAACTAAAAACATGTTTACATCAAAATTTGCATATGGACATGTTGTATAGTAGTTAAGTGGATAAACTGTGGTTTATGGACTATTTATCTAACACTGTTCAGCACTGAAAAAAATGAGCTTTCAAGTCATGAAAAGACATGGAAGGAAATTAAATGTATATTTACAAGTGAAATAAGCAAATCAGAAAATGCTACACATATTATTTCAAATATATGGCAATCTAGAAAAAAATTATTGAAGAAGTAAAAAGATTAGTGGTCACAATGATTTACAAGGGAGAGTACAATAAATAGGCACAACTCAGGTAATTATTAGAGTATACAATACTGAAACTATTCTACATAATACCATAATTTTGGATATATTTTATTACATGTTTGTCAAAACTCATAGAATGTGCAACAGTAAAAATGAGTCCTAATGTAAATTGCAGATATTGAATGATAAAGTGTTGATGTAGGTTTATGAATTGTAACAAACATACCAGTCTCATTAGAGATATTGATAGTGGGGAAGGTTGTACATGTGGGCACAGGGTGTAAGGGAGCTTTCTTTACTTGCTTCTCAATTTTGTTATAAGGCTAAAACTACTCTACTAAGATTTATTGATTTAAAAGCCTCAGTAATTAAGATCTGTATTTCAGAGCAATCGTCATAAATAATTATTAATAAAAATTAAATGTTGGACAAAATATTTTATGGAAAGATAAGATCAGTATCAATATGAATGCTATGCTAAGGAATACTGAAGCATTAAGCAAAATAAAGAATCAATAATGTGCCATCTTTAAAAATATTATAATACTTTTTTATGATTATGCATTATTTTGGATTATGAAAACATTGCATTAAAAAGTATTCTTAGTGTTGATTGTTGAATTTTTTGGTGACCTTTAACTTTTGCATTTAAAGTAATTGTATTCACTTCATCTGCTTAATTTGTAGTTTACTAAATCTTGGAATGGAATAGTAGACACAATGCAGGAGAGGCAAGCCGCAAACAGAGCTAAGCCTCCTGGTTTCTTGGCTTTGTTCAGGAAAGAATTCAATGTCAAACCAGAAGTAGAAAAAAAAAATAGCTTAGCTGATGATGAGAGGTGATAATGTGCTAGCAGCCCTCGCTTGCTCTTGGTGCCTCCTCGGCCTCGGAGTCTGCTCTGGCTGTGCTCCAGGAGCCCTTCAGCCTGCCACTGCACTGTGGGGGCCCCTCTCTGTGGCTGGCTGAGGGTGGAACCAGCTCCCTCTGCTCACGGGGAGGTGTGGAGGGACAGGTGCCAGTGGGAGCCAGGGCTGTGCATGACACTCCTGGGCTGACATTGGTTCCATGTGGGTGCAGGCTGGGTGGGCCCCACACTCAGCGAAGCTGGCCAGCACCTGCTGGGCTTGATCAGAGGATGAGCTCCCTCTGGGCTGCTGGAGTGCCTGGGCTAGATGCCACAAAGTCCCCAGTGAGTTCCATTGAGAGGTGAAGCCAGCTGGGCTTCTGGGTCAGATGGGGACTTGGAGAACTTTTCTGCCTAGCTTAAGGATTGTAAATGTGCCAATCAGCACTCTGTGTCTAGCTAAAGGTTTGTAAATGCACCAATTAGAGCTCTGTGTCTAGCTAATCTGGTGGCAACTTGGAGAACTTTTGTATCTAGCTAAAGGATTGTAAATGCACCAATCAGCACTCTGTCTAGCTAAGTTATTGTAAATGCACCAATAAGCACTCTGAGAAAACCGACCAATCAGCTCTCTGTGAAATGGACGAGTGAGCTCTATGTGAAATGAACCAATCATTAGGATGTAGGTGGGGCCAGATAAGGGAATAAAAGCAGGTCACCCGAGCCAGCAGTGGCAATCCACTCAGGTCCCCTTCCATGCTGTGGAAGCTTTGTTCTTTCGCTCTTTGCAATGAATCTTGCTGCTGCTCCTTACTTGGGCCCACATCACCTTTATTAGCTCACCGTGAAGGTCTGCAGCATCACTCCTGAGGCCAGTGAGATCATGAACCCACCACGAGGAATTAACAACTCCAGACAAGCTGCCTTTAAGAGCTGTAACAGTCTCCGCGAAGGTCTGCATCTTCACTCCGGAAGTCAGTGAGACCACCAGAAGCAAGAAACTCTGGACACATCTGAACATCTGAAGGAACAAACTCTAGACACACCATCTTTTAGAACTGTAACACTCACCACTAGGGTTGGCAGCTTCATTCTTGAAGTCAGTGAGACCAACAACCCATCAATTCCAGACGCATTTTGGCAATCACAAAGGTACTATCGCCTATCACCAAGCAGTGAGACTATCAGCAAGTGGTAAGACCATCGCCTATTGGTGAGATCATCACCTACTGCCAAGTGGTGAGTACCATCAGACCCCTTTCTCTTGCTATTATGTGCTATTTTTCCCTAGAATTCTGGGGCTAAATATTGGGCACTTTCGGCCAGTTAAAAGCAACTAGCGTGGCTGCTGGACTAAAGACACGGGTGTCAGCCTTTCTGAAAAGGGCTCTCTAACAACCCCCGACTCTTTGGAGTTGGGAGCGTTGGTTTGCCTCAAACCAGCTTCCACTTTTCCTGTAATTCTGGGCCAAGCCAAGGGTTGACAGAGAGGAAAGCCATTCGGCTCCAGGGTCCTGACAACAAGTTGGTTGACCCTGCAGCCATGAGCAGAACTCTCAAAGGCATGTTGCCCAAGAGAGACTCGTCCATCTATCCTATCTATCTTGACACTTGCCCCTGGGTCCTAATGCCTGCCAGACAAACTTCCTCTTGCCACTTTTCTCTGAGGCTAGCCCCACTTCTAAAAACCATTCCCTGTCTCTGGTGCTTCCTTAGTTTCTGCTATAATATGATTTCTAGTGTAAGCTTCAGGACTCTGTTACCTTCCTCAGGCACCTGGGCTCACCAATCAGAAAAACATATTTTTTGCCCAAAGCCCCATTGCAGGGGGAAATATCTGGAATTTTAGGATCCCACCTCAGACTAGCAGGCCTAACAAAAGCTATTGCTGAAGCTAGGATATGGGGAGCCTCAGAAATTGTATCCTTCTTATTCACATAAGTGAGGACAAAAGGTGTCACACTTCCAAACCTGGAGATCATTTCCTTCCCTCAGGTTATGGACCTCCACTTCTTTTTTTGGGCATAATATCTTTATAGGACACAGATAAGGTCCCAGTACTAAGAGGAGAATGCTTAGGACTCTAACAGGTTTTTGAGAATGCATCAGTAAGGGCCACTAAATCCAATTTTTTCTGGTCCTCCTTGTGGGCTAGGAGGACAGGCAAGGGTGCAGCTTTCCCAAAATGCATCAGAAAGGGCCACTAAATCTGACCTTCTTCACTCCTCCTTGTGGTCTTGGAGGAAAACTAGTGTTTCTGCTGCTGCATTGGTGAGTGCAACTATTCTGATCAGCAGGGTCCAGGGACTGTTGTGGGATCTTGAGCAGGCATTGTCCCTCCTGCTGCATCAGTGAGCACAACTATTCTGATCAGCAGTGTCCAGGGACCATTGTGGGTTCTTGGGCAGGGGGAGAAACAAAACAGAACAAAACCATAGGCAGTTTTGCCTTTCAGATGGAAAACACTCCGGCATCAAGAGGTTCACCCTTGAAATGCATCCTAAGCCAATGGTACCAATTTGACACACCAATCCTGAAAAGTAGGTGGCTCATTTTTTTCTGCACTTTGGCTTGCCCCAATATTCTCCCTCTGATGGGGAAAAATGGCCACCTGAGGGAAGTACAAATGACAATACTATCCTACAGCTTGACCTCTTTTGTAAGAGGGAAGGCAAATGGAGTGAAATGCCTTATGTCCAAGCTTTCTTTTCATTGAAGGAGAATACACAACTATGCAAAGTTTGCAATTTACACCCCACAGGAGGACATTTCAGCTTACCCCCATATCCTAGCCTCCCTACAGCTCCCCTTCTTATTAATGATAAGCCTCCTCTTATCTCCCCTGCCCAGAAGGAAATAAGCAAAGAAATCTCCAAAGGACCCCAAACCCTCCAGACTATCAGTTATGCCCCCTACAAGCTCTAGGGGAAGGGGAATTTGGTCCAACTCAGATACATGTACCCTTCTCCCTCTCTGACTTAAAGCAGACCAAGGCAGACCTGGGGAAGTTTTCAGATGATCCCGATAAGTACATAGATGTCCTACAGAGTCTAGGGCAAACCTTTGACCTCGCTTGGAGAGATGTTATGCTACTGTTAGGCAAAAGCCTGGCCTTTAATGAAAAGAATGTGTCTTTAGCAGCAGCCCGAGTTTGGAGATACCTGGTATCTTAGCCAAGTAAGTGATAGAATGACAGCTGAAGAAAGGGAAAAAATCCCTACCAGTCAGCAAGCCATCCCCAGTATGGATCCCCACTGGTATCTTGACTCAGATCAGGGGGACTGGAGTCGTAAACATCTGTTGACCTGTGTTCTAGAAGGACTAAGGAGAATTAGGAAAAATCTCATGAATTATTCAATGATGTCCACCATAACTCAGGGAAAGGAAGAAAATCCTTCTGCCTTCCTTGAGTGGCTATGGGAGGCCTTATGAAAATATACTCCCCTGTCACCCGAATCACTTGAGGGTCAATTGATTCTAAAAGATAAGTTTATTACCCAATCAGCCACAGATATCAGGAGAAGGCTGCAAAAGCAAGCCCTTGGCCCTGAACAAAATCTAGAGGCATTATTAAACCTGGCAACCTCCATGTTCTATAATAACGACTAAGAGGAACAGGCCCAAAAGGAAAAGCAGGATCAGAGAAAGGCCGCAGCCTTAGTCATGGACCTCAGACAGACAAACCTTGCTGGTTCAGAGAGGACAGAAAATGGAGCAGGCCAATCACCTGGTAGCGGTTGTTATCAGTGTGGTTTACAAGGACACTTTAAAAAAGATTGTCCAATGAGGAACAAGCCACCCCGTAATCCATGTCCGCTATGCTGAGACAATCACTGGAAGGTGCACTGCCCCAGAGGACAAAGGTTCTTTAGGTCAGAGGCCCCCAACCAGATAATCCAACAACAGGAATGAGGGTGCCCTGGGCAAGTGTCAGCTCACGTTGCGACCCTCACTGAGCCCTGGATATGCTTAACCATTGGTGGCCAGGAAATTGACTTCCTTCTGGACACTGGTGCAGCCTTCTCAGTGGTAATCTGCTGTCCTGGATGACTGTGCTCAAGGTCCGTTACCATCCAAGGAATCCTGGGACATCCTGTAACCAGGTATTTCTCCCACCTCCTTAATTGTAATTGGGAGGCTGCTCTTTTCACATGCCTTTCTTGTTATGCCTGAAAGTTCTGCACCCTTACTAGGGAGGGATATATTAGCCAAAGCTGGAGCCATTATCTACATGAATATGGGGAGTAAATTACTCATTTGTTGTCCCCTACTTGAGGAGGGAATCAACCCTGAAGTCTGGGCATTGGAAGGACAATTTCGAAGGGCAAAATATGTTCACCCAGTCCAAATCAGGCTAAAATATCCCACCACTTTTCCTTGTCAAAGGCAATATCCCTTAAGGCCTGAAGCTCATAAAGGATTACAGGATATTGTTAAACATTTAGAAGCTGAAGGCTTAGTAAGGAAATGCAGCAGTCCCTACAACACCCCAGTTCTAGGAATACAAAAACCAAATGGTCAGTGAAGATTAGTGCAAGATCTTAAACTCATCAATGAGGCACTAATTCCTCTATATCCGGTTGTACCCAAACCCTATACCCTGCTCTGTCAAATACCAGAAGAAGCAGAATGGTTCATTGTTCTGGACCTCAAGGATGCCTTCTTCTGTATTCCCCTGCACTCTGACTCGCAGTTTCTCTTTGCCTTTGAGGATCCTGCAAGATCACACATTCCAACTTACATGGACAGTCTAGACCCAAGGATTTAAAGATAGCCCTCATCTGTTTGATCAGGCACTGGCCCAAGATCTAGGCCACTTCTCAAGTCCAGGCACTCTGGTCCTTCAGTATGTGGATGATTTATTTTTGGCTACCATTTCAGAAGCCTCATACCAGCAGGCTACTCTAGATCTCTTGAAATTTCTAGCTAATCAAGGATACAAAGTGTCTAGGTCAAAGGCCCAGCTTTGCCTACAGCAGGTCAAATATCTAGGCCTAGTCTTAGCCAGAGGGACCAGGGCCCTCAGCAAGGAATGAAGACAGCCTATACTGGCTCATCCTCACCCTAAGACCTTAGAACTGTTATGAGGGTTCCTTAGAGTCACTGGCTTTTGCTGACTATGGATCCCCAGAAACGGCAAGTTAGCCTGGCCCCTCTATACTCTAGTCAAGGAGACCCAGAGAGCAAATGCTCATCTAGTAGAATGGGAACAAGAGGCAGAAATAGTCTTCAAAACCTTAAAGCAGGCCCTAGTACAAGCTCCAGCTTTAAGCCTTTCCAAAGGATAAAACTGCTCTTTATACATCACTGAGAGCAGGGATCACTCTTGGAGTCCTTACTCAGACTCGTGGGACAACCCCACAACCAGTGGCATATCTAAGTAAGGTAATTGATGAAGTAGCAAAAGGCTGGCCTCACTGTTTATGAGTAGTTGCAGTGGTGGTGGTCTTAGTGTCAGAGGCTATCAAAATAATACAAGGAAAGAATCTCACTGTCTGTACTGCTTATGATGTAAATGGCATACTAGGTACCAAAGGAAGTGTATGGCTATAAGGAAACTGCCTACTTAGACATCAGGTGCTACTCTTTGAGGGACCAGTTCTTCAAATACATATGTGTGTGGCCCTCAACCCTGCCACTTTTATCCCAGAGGATGGGGACTCCATCGAGTATGACTGCCAACAAATTATAGTCCAGACTTATGCCACCTGAGATGATCTCTTAGAAGTCCCCTTAGCTAATCCTGACCTTAACCTATGTACCGATCGAAGTTCATTAGTGAAGAACAGGATATGAAGGGCAGGTTATGCTATAGTTAGTGAACTAACCTTACTTGAAAGTAAGCCTGTTTCTGCAGGGTCCAGTGCCCAGTTAGCAGAACTAATGACACTTACCCGAGCCTTAGAACTGGGAAAAAGAAAAAGAGTAAATGTGTACACAGATAGCAAGTACGGTTATCTAATCCTACATGCCCATGCTGCAATATGGAAAGAAAGGGAGTTCCTAACCTCTGTGAGGACCCCCATTAAATACCACAAGGAAATTATACAGTTATTGCATGCAGTGGAAAAACCCAAAGAGGTGGCAGTCTTACACTGCCAAAACCATCAGAAAGGTGAAGGAGAAAAGTCAGAAGGAAACTGTTGGTTTGATTCTGAGGCCAAAATTCCTGCCAGGCAGAATCCCCCTTTAGAAATACCTATGGAAGGACCCTTAGTATGGAACAAACCCCCACCAAGAGATTAAGCCTCAGTATTCCCCACCTGAAGCAGAGTGGGGAATTTCATGGGGGCATAGTTTTCTCCCCTCAGGTTGGCTACAGAAGAAGGAAAGGTACTTATACCCAAAGCCAGCCAGTGGAAAATACGTAAAACCCTCCACCAAACTTTACATATGGGTATTGAAAACACTCATCAAATGGCCAAATCCCTATTTACAGGGCCAAATCTTCTCCAAACCATCCAACAGGTAGTCAAAGCCTGTTAGGTGTGCCAAAGGAATAATCCCTTCATCCATAGTAAGACCCCTTTGGGAGAGCAAAGAATAGGTCACTATTCTGGAAAGGACTGGCAGTTAGATTTCACCCATATGCCTAAGTCAAAGGGATTTCAATACTTGTTGGTCTGTGTTGATGCCTTTACAGATTGGATAGAAGCTTTCCCCTGCAAGACAGAGAAGGTTTAGGAAGTGATTAAACTCCTAATTCATGAAATAATTTCTATATTTGGGCTTCCCCAAAGCTTACAGAGTGAAAATTGTCTGGCTTTTAAGGCTGCGATAACTCAAGGAATTTCCAGGGTGCTAGCGATACAATATCACCTTCACTGTGCCTGGAGGCCACAATCCTCAGGGAAGGTCAAGAAGGCAAATGAAACACTTAAGAGACACTTAAGGAAACTAACACAAGAAACACATCTCCCATGGCCTAGCTATTTTGACCATTGCCTTGTTGAGAATCCGAAATTCTCCTCACAAAATGGGGCTCAGTCCATATGAAATGCTGTATGGACGATCTTTTCTCACAAAAGACCCCCTACTGGATCAGGAAATGGCCTACTTGGTCAAAGATATAACTTCTTTGTCAAAATATCAACAAAACCTTAAAAACCTACCTGAAGGATGTCACAGAGAAAAGGGAACAGAGTTGTTTCAACTCTTTGTGGGAAGGACCATACTCGGTAATCCTCTCTACTCTCACTGCGATTAAGGTGGCAGGAATGGAAACTTGGATTACCACACCTGAGTTAAACTTTGGACGTCCCCTGAGGAACCTGTGGAACCGTCAGCTCAGGAGTCCCAAGATCAGCCAGACCAGCCTCGATACACCTGTGAACCATTGGAGGACTTGCATCTTCTATTTCAGAAGGAAACATCCCACACTAAAAAGGCTCCTACCACTGATCCTGAGGAAAAACTCCTTCCTGCTTAAAAAAGATAAGTGAAAACAACACACTAACCATACTCTTTGTGATAGGATTATATACTCTAGCTCCTGCCAGTACGAAAATGCTAATCACATCAACCTTCCATCTTTCTTCTTTTAACAGCAATTTACTCCTACCTTTAACTCAGACTCGAGAAAATGATCTCTTCTTCCAGAGCATCCTCTTTACCTTCCTATTTGCTCTTTGCCTATGCATCCCTCCTGCTTCCTTGGATACCTCATATAATCACCCCTCCCCTTCCACTTTTTCCTAATTTCCTCTACAAGACTCTCAACTTAACCCAGTCTCTGTTAAACCAGTCCAGTCCTTCCCTGGCAAATGACTGTTGGCTTTGTGTCTCCCTATCAACCTCTTCTTATGTTGCCACTCCCATTCCTGCCAAAAATTGCATCTTTACCAACTTAACCTACCACCCTTGTTATGAAGGAAAAGACCCTTTCTGACTTCTAAATATGCAATCGTTAGCCAACTTCCCCATCTCTGATAGGATCAAGAATACCCTAACAGGATGTGCAATCCAACTTTTACGTTCTTAGATTTCCAACCACACCTATTATGCAAGCAATGAAAAGCCCATACATGGCCCTGTAGCTATGAATACTATCTTAACTTTCCAAGCTCCTTTATGCAGCCAATGCAACCTCTTATGAGCCTGCCCCTGGGGCACCTACTACCCCATCAGTGTAATTACACCCTACAACTTCAAGCCCCAACTGATCATAGTAACCCAAACAGCTCCATTCAGACAGCTTGTCTGCTTCTCAGGGCCCCAAAATCATCACTGCCTCCCTGCTTAACAAACGGTCCAGGTCTTGTAATGGCAAACATACTCCCTGCATGATCATTCACCCCTGGGCCCCCTGCAGCAGTGCCCCCACCACTAGTGAATGCCTTCTCATCCCCTCTTTCAATCACTCTCTCAAATTGTTCCTAGTGGATACAAAACGTTTTTTTCTCCAATGGGAAAATAGAACACAGGGAGCCATTCAGTTTTCTCCCAACACCCCTTGCCAGCCAGTCACTGGAGCTACCTTGGCAAGTACTCTAGGAGTATGGGAAAAAGAAAACAACAAATTCACACACCTTTTTAACATACACAACCAGTTCTGTCTACCCAGCCAAGGTATATTCTTCTTATGTGGAACATCGACCTATATCTGCCTCCCCACTAAGTGGACAGACAGCTGCACTTAGTCTTTCTAACTTCCAACATTAACATTGCCCCAGGAAATCAAAACTTATCAGTACCCCTCAAAGCTCAAGTCCATCAGCACAGGGCCATACAACAAATACCACCTACTTATAGGGTTAGGAATGGCTACTGCTACAGGAACCAGAAGAGCCAGTATATCTACTTCATTATCCTACTACCACATACTCTCAAAGGATTTCTCAGGCGGTTTGTAAGAAATAACGAACCTATCCTTACTCTGCAATCCCAAATAGACTCTTTAGCTGCAGTGACTCTCCAAAACCGCTGAAGCCTAGACCTCCTCACTGCTGAGAAAGGAGGACTCTGCACCTTCTTAGGGGAAGAGTGTTGTTTTTACACTAAGCCATCAGGGATAGTACGAGATGCCACCCAGCATTTATAGGAAATGGTTTCTGAAATCAGACAATGCCTTTCAAACTCATACCAACCTCTCTAGTTGGGCAACATGGCTTCTCCGCTTTCTAGGTCCTGTGGCAGCCATCTTGCTTTTACTCGCCTTTGGACCCTGTATTTTTAACCTGCTTCTCAAATTTGTTTCCTTGGAATTGAGGCCAAGAAGCTACAGATGGTCTTACAAATGGAAACCCAAATGAGCTCAACTAACAACTTCTACTGAGGACCCCTGGACCAACACGCTGGCCCTTCCACTGGCCTAAAGCGTTCCCCTCTGGAGGACACTACAACTGAAGGGCCCTTTCTTCACCTCTATCCAGCAGTGAGTAGCTAGAGTGGTCATTGGCCAAATTCCCAGCAGCAGTTGGGGTGTCCTGTTTAGAGGGGGGATTGAGAAGTGACAACATACTAGCAGCCCTCGCTCGCTCTTGGTGCTTCCTTCACCTCAGCATCCGCTCTGGCTCTGCTTGAGGAGCCTTTCAACTGGCCACTGCCCTGTGGGGGCCCCTCTCTGGGGCTGGTTGAGGCTGGGACTGGCTCCTTCTGCTGGCCTCCTGTCTAGCTAAAGGATTGTAAATGCACCAATCAGTGCTCTGTATCTAGCTAAAGGTTTGTAAACACATCAATCAGCGCTCTGTGTCTAGCTAATCTGGTGGGGACTTGGAGAACTTTTCTGTCTAGCTAAAGGATTATAAACACACCAATCAGCACTCTGTGTCTAGCTAAAGGATTGTAAACGCACCAATCAGCAGGCTGTCAAAATGGACCAATCAGCTCTCTGTAAAATGGACCAACCAGATGTCTGTAAAATGGACCAATCAGTAGGATGTGGGTGGGTCCAGATAAGGGAATAAAAGCAGGCCACCTGAGCCAGCAGTGGAAGCCTGCTCGGGTCCCCTTCCATTCTGTGGGAGCTTTGTTTTTTCACTCTTCACAATAAGTCTTGCTGTTGCTCACTCTTAGTGTCTGTGCCACTTGTATGAGCACCACGAAGGTCTGCAGCTTCACTCCTGAGGCCAGTGAGACCATGAACCCACCAGAAGGAAGAAACTCCAGACACATCTGAACATCTGAAGGAAAAAACTCCAGACACACCATCTTTAAGAACCGTAACACTCATCGTGAGGGTTCGCGGCTTCATTCTTGAAGTCAGCAAGACCAAGAACCTACCAATTCCGGACACAATGAGACAGAATTACAGCTCTTGCAGTGTTACAGCTCTGTGACTCGTCTTTCAGAACAGGGTTACACCATAGCAAGAGAGGAACAGGTCAGGGATATTTTGCAGTCATATTTATATTTGCTTTTAAATGCATGGATTATTGCAGAAGTGCAGAAATTTATAGGGAAGGGGTGGTAATCATTGGATCATTGCCATAGAAGGGTGGTACCTCCTGTGTGTTGTAGCGGCAATGGTAAAATGACACGGCAGACTGGTGGGCATGTCTGGTTGAAAACTCCTTCTGCCTAGTCCCTGTTTTAGTTAGTCCTCAATCTGGATCCTATGTGAGCCCTACCCCTGGAGTTGAGTCCCACCTTCAACCTCATTCTCCACTCAGACATTAACTACTTTCCCTTAATCTTAAGGGGGCTGCAGGAGGGAGGAGGTCCATGCACTGTAACTGCTTCCTGCTGAGTCATGAGCATTGGCCTTGCCTAGCACTAGAGAAGTAAATTTCTCTGGATGCATGAGCTAAAGGGGAGAAACAACATTATAATTCTCCAGGTCAGTACATAAGATAACTCAAAAGCCTTAAGCCAGCGTTGTTTTCACCTGGAAATATAGTAATCTACAAGATACAAACCTTACTATGAGGCTAAACAAACAAGTAAATAAATTAGTAACAATACAGCTGTCAAGGGTCCTAAGATAGATTTTAAAAAGGTGGAAAAAGAGAGAAATACCCTTCTTCACAGAAAATTGTGAAACTGACAATGATACCCTTCCTCTTCTAGAAAATTCAGGAGCTCAATTGTGTTTTTCTCAGTCTTCCCTAGTAGGAAGACCCTCTATTCCCACTGGCAGCATTATGTTGCCAATTCTGGATGAATGACTGTTGATACTTTTAAGTAGGTAGTGGCGATCTTCCAAAAATTTAGATTTAGGTTACAGTGTCCTCCATTTGTGCCTGCAACTTATAAGAAACAGGTTTAATCCTGGACAATTGTATCCAACTAGGTATGCCCTAAAGTTTAAAAGGACTGGGATAGTCAACAACACCTGATAGGGGCCCTTCTGTTTTGGTTGTAATTGATTCTCAGGGGATGCTTCTTTCAAAATGTTTACAAAGTTTCATGATTGAATAGGAGGCCAGTTAATTGTGTTGTGAGAGGGGACAATACTTTTTGTCCATAGGCTTGGAGGAGTTTTCTAACCTAGCTTAAGTTGACAATATGTGTCAACTTATGAGTTAACTATGTATCTCTTTATTAAGCAGGAGACCCCAAGCTAAACATGGCCTCACATAACTCGCCTCAAGTGGATTTTTTGGGAAGTATTTTAAGGGTCATTCCTATGTGTATAAAGACTATGGCTAAGAGAGGAACCTGGGTCTCTGAGGTCTCCTGACATGACTTAGCTAATGTCTTTTCAAAACATGATTAGATTTTTCTATTTTACCTGAGGATTGAGTACTCCATGGGGAGTGAAGGTGATAGGTAACGTCTAAAGCTGAATGCAATCTATTGGGTCACTCTAACTGTGAAGGTAGTTCCATTATCGCTCTGCAGACTTTCAGGTAATTGAAACTTTACAGTTGATCTTATTAAGTAAAAATTTGGACACTCATAATGCCTTCTCTGTCCTTGTGGGAAAAGCCTCAATTCACTTGGTGAAGGTGTCTATAAAAACAGGCAAATGTTTCCTTCACCTGTATGGTTGTATCTGATAAAACCCTATTTGCTGACTGGGCTTGGTGGCTCACACCTGTAATCCCAGCACTTTGAGAGGCCAAGGTGGGTGGATAACGAGGTCAGGAGATTGAGGTCATCCTGGCCAACACAGCAAAAGCCCATCTCTACTAAAAATACAAAATTAGCTGGGCACGATGGCACGTGCTTGTAATACCAGCTACTTGGGAGAGTGAGGCAGGAGAATCTCCTGAACCTGTGAAGTGGAGGTTGCAGTGTACAGAGATCGTGCCCCTGTACTCCAGCTTAGCGACAGAGTGAGACTCCTTGTCAAAAACAAACAAACAAACAAAAAATTCTATTTGACAGGCTTTCCAGTGTATGCCCCTCAATGTTGTAAAGGTTTGAGTAGAGGAAGGAGTGTGGAGTAGCTTCCTGGATTGTTACGGTCACAAAGATCATAGGCCCTGGCCGTCCTCTTTATAGTCTGGAATAGATTCTTTCCTTAAATGATTTGAGAAAATAACTTGTATATTGAGACCTGTCCCAAAAGTGAGGAGTCATATAAAAGATTAACTCTTTTTCATTGCATTGCCTCAGGGAGAAAGAGTTTTGTTGCATTCTAGCAACCATCCTGAGGGATTCTTTTGTAAGCCTTTCTGTTCTGCCGATTGAATTTTTTCGTGGGTACAGTGTGGTGTTCCCAACATGGGTGCAGTATCTGACATTAGCCAGTGGCCTGTAACAATGTTACCTCTTTAGATGTGGCCTCAGCCGTTTTCTTTCCCAGAGAATTTCCTTTGATAATAGAAGGGCCTTCTTTTTAGTGCCTACTGCAGTGAATCATGGCTACCTTCTTTAAGAGCTAGACAGTTAGTTATATGCAAATACTACATTATCTAATGCCAAGAAATTGAGAATCTGCAGATTTTGGTATCCATGGATGTCCTGAAACAATCCCTCACTGATACTGAGGGACCATTATGTATACTTTAATATCACACATCTCACAATGGAAGTAAAGCCTCCATTATCACTCAAGTAATTGGCCATCCTGTGGCTTTCTCTTATAGGTAGGTAGTTTCAACTTTGACATCTTAATACTACATCTAGAAAAATTTCTAAGTTTTCTTATTAGTATATATGATTTGTATGTTCTTTGAAGTTTTCCATGTAGGTAATCATGTCATCTACAGATGAGGAATATTTTACTTCTTTCTTTCCAATTCTTATATATTAAAGTATTTTTATTAGTATTATTTGTCTCATATTACAAGTTAAAAATCTGCAGGACAATGTTGAAGAGAAATGGTAATAGCGAGCCTTCTAGTCTTTCTTCTGATTTTGAAGGTAGTATTTTCTGATAAGGAACACTTTCTTTATTTGTACTTTAATCTCTTATTATAAATAGCTATTCTGTTTTATTTGATGTTTATTCTGTATTCATTGATGTAATTATACTTTTTCCTACTTTAATATATACGTATGATGCATTAAATAAATAGATTTCCTTAAGTTGAGCCCCTCCTTTCTCTTTGAAATAAATTTAGTGTAGATATGTGGTTATGATGTATAACCTTACATTTGTTTGCTCATTGATATGGTTTGGCTCTGTTTTAACCCAATCTCATGCTGAATTTTAACCCTCGTGTTTTGGAGGGGGGCCTGGTTGGAGGTGATTGGATCATGGGAGCAGAATTTCTCTTTAGGTTCTCATGATAGCAAATGAGTTCTCATGAGATGGAATTTTTTGAAAATGTGCAGCACTTCACCCTTTACACTCTCTTCCCTGCCACCATGTGAAGACACACTTGCTTTCCCTTGGCCCTCTCACATAATCTTAAGTTTTCTGAGACCTCCTAGCCATGCCTCCTGCACAGCCTGAGAAACTATAAGCCAATTAGGTCTCCTTTCTTTATAAATTACCCAGTATCAGGTGTTTCTTTACAACTGTGTGAAAACAAAATAATACGCTTATATTTTGCTCATGTTTTCACATTGTTGTGAAGTAAAATTAATCTTTTTTGTTTTTAATTCTTATGCTGTTTGTTTGAAAGTAGTAACAAGACATTATTCATTTGAAAATTAATTAGGATTGTTTT
This sequence comes from Homo sapiens, assembly GCF_000001405.40. Lineage (NCBI taxonomy): Eukaryota > Metazoa > Chordata > Mammalia > Primates > Hominidae > Homo > Homo sapiens. Next base: position 22,799,434 of record NC_000024.10, read on the forward strand.
TCTTCTCTTTTTCACTTCTCAGAAATATTTATTTCCTTGAATGTGTAGTAGAATCCAACTATAAAAGCAGTTGATTCTAATACTTTTTTATAGGGATAATTTAAATGTGGACACATTTTTTTTCAAAATGCTACAGTAAGTGCAGTTTCTTAGTTCTTCCTAGTTCCTAGTTTGGGTAACTGACTTTTTTGTAGAGACTTTTCTGTTTCACTGAAGAATTAAAATTTGTTTGTGTAAAGATGTTTCTAATACTGCTGTATTTCTAAATTTCTGCTGCCTAGCTGAGCATACCCTTTCTTTATGTCTTAATATTATGTGTTCTTTCTTTCCCCAGTGAATCTGGTCAGAGATCTGTAAGCTTCGTTATCTTCTCAAAGAACTAATTCTTTTTCTATTTGATTAACTTCTGCTCTTCGTTCATTATTTTCTTATTTATGCCTTTTTTCTTTTGGTGTACATGTTTCTTCCTTTCCTAACTATAACAAATGATTCACATATTAGTGCCACCTTTTTTATTTCTTCATGAAACACCAAACGTTAACCTTTTTTTTATGACTAACTTTTCTTTTATCAGGATTCCAAAAGTACTGATACTTAATATTTTAAACTATTATTTAGTTCTGTATTTCAAATTTTGTTTTTTATATGTTATTAACAAGTCTGTATTATGTATTTCCAATTTACATGATTAAAAATATGTATATTTTTATAATTGTTTGTATTGGAATCAGAATGTGTTCTTGATAATACATGGACCTTTGAAATGTATTGAGACTTGCCTTAAGGCATAGTATGTCTTTAAATGTTTCTGAGTTTTTAGAACAATGTGCATTGCTAGATACTATATCCTGTAACTGCCTATTGGATAAAGTTTTTTAAATAGCTTCTTACATAGTTTAACCTCTGCTGAACCAATAATCTTGGAGTGTTGTATTAAAATGTTTCATTATAATGTAATTCATTGATATAATTAATTGAATCAACTAATTATTTCAATTAATTTAAAGTTAATTAAAATAATTAATTGAATTGTTTAAATTATTTAATTAATTTTTAAATTTCTTGGAATATTATGATTTAAACAATTTTTGCTGTCTATATTTTAGAAGTGTAGATTAAAACTGTATTATCCTCCTAGTCTACTGAAAGTTTTGTTATCTAGGTTACCATAATTTTTCCTTTAGTATCAATTGTTGCTTTAAATCTGAAAACATGCAGTGTTTGCTAGGGCATGGAATTTACCCAGTATATCCATTTACATAATTTATTAACTGTTTCTTGCCTTGTGTTTGATGTAAGTTTCATAAGCAGCACAGAGCTCCAGTTTTTAGAAAGATATATATTTTTAGTACGCATGTTTATTTAAACTTTTTATTCAAATATTTAGATATATGTTTATAATTTTAAGTTTTATTTATATTTGCTCTAGTCCTTAGGTTTCACTTTCATCTCCTGTTTAAAATTTGTTGTATTAAACTGTTGTATTTTTTCCTCATTTTATATATTGTCATGACTTGAAGAAATATATCTTAATTATGTTTAAATCTAATCAAGATCTTTACCAGCTTTAAGAAAAATTCAAGACCTTATCATCTTTTATTTTGATTTTTTTATTTTGGATGTTTTAATATAATATTTTAAACTCTATCTTATTTCATTAAATTATATGAAATGTATTATTATTATCCACTGTTTTTGATAACTACATGCCATTGTTTTACTAGGTTTCTTCAAGAATGACCTCTCTTTCTTTCCCAGAAATTTCTTATAGAGAAAGTCTCTGTTCTAGAAAATCTTTCAGCATTTTTAAGTCATTTTATTGGTTATGAATTTTTCTTTCTTTTCTGAGAATAAAATTCTCTTCTTGATTTTAAGTTTACTCATTCAAGCCTTTCAAGGAATTAAACTGTTTCTGACTTTTGTTCTCTAAATGCTCTATTGAGTTTTTACTTTCCAAGTATTGTATTTATTGCATCTAAAATTTCTATTTTCTCTCCAGATTTTCAGACCTATCTTAACCTTTAAGATAATCTTTTAATACTTGACCACACTTTTAATATTAATGTTTCATTTTTTAAAATTCATTAAGCTAGTTATGTTATATTCAATGTCTGCTTATTAAAGGATCTGCAGTATTTCTCAAATGGTTCTTGTTGTTTCTCCTTATATTTTTCGTGTTGGTTTCTTTCATGACTTTTCAATATTTTTATATTTATGTGAATCATCTAAACTTTAGGAAAATTCTTTAAGGCCTGAGTTTAAGGTTTTTAAAGGGATATTTGTTGTACTGCAGTCAGGAGCTCTACAAAAGATTTTTTCCAGCCAATTCTTACACTGAGTTTTTGGAAAGTGACAGAAAGGGTATACATTCTGCTGTCAAACCTACATAATAACAGATTTTGGCTATAAAATTAAAGAGTAAGAATCACATCTATGCTCTTTATAACTGAAAACCAAGGTTAAGATGAATGTCTTTCTCTCTGTTTGTGGGGAGAGTTTGAATGGCTGTATTCATCAAACATTTCATAATAAGTCATCTGCAAGCTGAGGAGCAAGGAGAGCTGATCCAGGTCCCCAAAACTAAAGGACTTGGATCCTGATGTTTGAGGACAGAAAGCATCCAGCATGGAAGAAAGATGTAGGCAAGGAGACTAGGCCAGTCTCATCTTTTCATATTTTTCTAGCCAGCAGCTAGTTATGCTGGCAGCTAGTAAGATGGTGCCCACTCGGATTAAGGGAGGGTCTGTCTTTTGCAGCTGACTTACTCAAACGTTAATCTCCTTTGGCAGCACCCTCACAGAGACACCAAGGATTAATTCTTTGCATTCTTCAATCTAACCACATTGACACTTAGTATTAACTATCACAAGTCCACCCCTTGTCAACTTGAACCCACACATATCTCCTGAGATCATACACAATCTTTGAATAAGGAAAATAATAAGGTCACAAGTATGCCTAATATAATACAACTATTCTTCACACAACTGGAAATGCAGAAATCCCCAACCCAAATACCATAACGTAAAGTTAATAATACTTAAGTGCTAATGCAAAGTCAATAAATCTTATAACACATAATGAAGGAAAAAGGAAATAAAGATATTTTCTTAGTATGAGTGTATAAACACAAAAAAATTTTTTTAACAAAAGAAGAAGGAAATACAGTTACAGCCCTCGCTTTTGCAGCTGATCAAGTGGTTGTACCTGGTATTGATGACTACCTTCTTCTACTACCCTTTCTATATTCCCTTTGGTTTCAGCAAGCACCTGAGCATATTTTGAGATTGGCCAGAGTGAGACAGTATCACTAAGCATGTTAATTAATTAATTAATTAGGTTAAATCAATCTTTTAACCAAATGACTTAGAAATGTAAAAAGCAAAAACCTTCTATAATTCTTTACAAATTTTGCTAAAGAACAGATTTGTGCCCTAAGAGTACTTTGTTGTATTTTTATTGCAAGCCTCAATTTACAAAAAACCCATATAATAACTTTTTAAATTTAATTAATGTTCACAAAAGAATTCCTTTGGCAAGATTAATTTTAACAATCCTTCCACAGCTTGTTTGAACTGTTAGCTTTATCTTATCTAATTGAGAACAAATGTTTTACCCTAGGCAAGAATTTATATATTCATGCCTTCTTATAATTTTTTATTAAAAACACATTTTACTGTATGTAAATCATTTACTCATATATAACTCTACTTCCAGTGCTTTTAATTACATCTTATAATGGTAACTTCTAGCAATTTTAACTTTAATGTAAAACCAGGTAAATTGTTTTAATTATGTGCTAGGTGCAGTCAAGGGTTTGACTCCTTTCAGCATAATTAAGGGTATGGTTAATTCTATTTGTCCTCAGGCCTTACCAACAGTGAAGCAAAGTTGAACTGCTCTCAAAAACCAAAAATGCTGTTTATAACCTTAAAACATTTAGCAAATCTAGTATTTCACCTGCATAATTTCGTCCACCCACTGATACATTGATATTTGTGTTCTACTGATAATCTTTAAGGCTGTTTTTATTTCTCAAAGATTAAAAGTCATGTGAACAAAAAGGTACATGTCTTTTTTCTTCCCTTCAATAAATATTTGATCCAAGTTCTTATCATTCTTTAAGTAAATTTATTAGACCTCTTTATATAGACATCATACACACAACATATATATATAACTACAGAAACAGGCTGAAGAAAACCTAGTAATTATAAGGTTTTTGTTGTTGTTGTTGTTGTTGTTTTGAGACAGAGTCTCGCTCTGTCACCCAGGCGGGAGTGCAGTGGCGCGATCTTGGCTCTCTGCAACCTCTGCCTCTGCAACCTCAACCTCACGCCATTCACCTGGCTCAGCCTCCTGAGTAGCTGGGACTACAGGCGTCCACCTGGTTAATTTTTTGTATTTTTAGTAGAGATGGGGTTTCAACATGTTAGCCTGGATGGCCTCTATCTCCTGACCTCGTGGTCCTCCTGCCTCAGCCTCCCAAAGTGCTGAGATTACAGGCATAAGCCACCACACCCAGCTGTCATAAGGTTTTTTATTTGCCAATTTCCAGATTGAATTACTGTCCTCTCATGCATGCATTAGAGTGGCCAGACAAAATGAAGAAAAAGGATTCAGTTGACTGAGAAAAAAACTTCTACCAGCAAAACAAGATCCAGGAAAAGAAAAATATAAAGGTCTTTTAAATATACCTATAATTTGGATATCCACTTTTAATTAAGTTGAGGACTCTTTAAGAATATCCTTTTAATTTTTTTATTACCTGACTCTAGTAGCACCAAGCAGCCAGTGTTTCTGGCTTTCAAATTTTAACAAAAGTAACTTACCAGGTGCTCAGAGGAAAAAAAAAAAAAAAGTAAGGCAGTTTGTTAAGTGGAAGAGAATCAGCAAAGGGCAAAAGTTACATGCTGATATAAAACCAGAAGAGACTCTTTCCTTAAGCCAGGATTAAACCTGGGCCACCATTGTAAAATGGCAGAGGCCAAAACAAAACAGAGCCACATTGGTTCAGGTCATGTTCCTGAAAACATAAAACAAGATGGATGCCTGCGCAAAATTTTCTGACAGCTATAGAGAAGGACATACAAAGCACACCAGATTGGCCACAGCTCTAGACCAACCTGAGAAACATCTATTCACAATCAAAACTCTACAAAGAATATAAGCAGTGATCATTGGGGCATTGTCCGGCAAAACATTTCATATGAAGAAAACAAAAAAACCTTCTGCTTAAAAGTAAATTGCAGACAGGATGAAGAAAAGAAAAAAAAAGTCTTAAGTGTAGAGCAGGAAAGACAATTTTCTTTCTTATGCAAATGAGTTCCTTCAACAAGGAGAAAAACTTAATGCTGTTGGGTGAGGTTGGATCCCTTGGTCGGTGAACATGAAGACACCATGAGTGCCTCGCATTTTTCAGCCCAGAGGAGATGGGAATGAAGAGCTGCCATTCAACTACCATCCCACATGTGCCTGGGGCTGTTTGGGTAGGGTGTTGAAGAGTTTCCTCTATCCTCAGGAGAAGTCCAAGAATGAAAACACTTACAAACAAAATAGAAAAAGATTTTTTAGTTTACATCTTACTTACCTCAAGCCCCACATCTAGACACCGAAATGTTATAGAACTTTCTCCTTAGTTAAGCTAAAACAAGGATCTTCTCACATGATTATGAAGGAAGAGTCTAATGAATACACTGAAGGGTTAGGAGTAAAGTTTATTGGGCCAAAAGGAAAAAGAAAACAACAACAACAACATCAACAACAAAGTGTCAGCAGAGTGGGAAGCACTCGTGTTATCTGGCCCTGACCTCACAGATTGAGGAACACCAGGTCACAACATAGCAACTTAAGAATCCAGGTTCCTCTCCTGCCAAAAGGTGTGAATTTCAGTGGCTCCACCTCCTTTTCCCATTGCACAGGTAGGCATTATTCAGAAAGAAGCCGTCAGAAAATGGCTGGCTTCATTTGAAACCAGCAGTCCAATTTTTCAGCCATCAGGCTGAAATGAAGTAAGACACTTTATAGTTGTTGTAAATTTTTTTCTTGAATTTCTTTTTCAGATGGCTTTTTCTTGGCATGAAAATATGCTCCTACTAAGTTTTTAAAGTGAATTTGGTATTCTGCTACTTAACTGAATTTCTTTATCAATTCTCAAGATTTTTAGTGTAGTATTTAAGTTTTGCTATACAAACAGTTAAGAGATCTGCAAACAGATAATTTGACTTTCTTCCTTTTTATTTGGATGTCTTTTATTTCTTTCTCTTGCATAAATAATCTTGCTAAGACCTCCAGTACTCTGTTGAATAAAAGTGGTAAAAGTAGACATCACTGTCTTCTTCTAGGTCTTAAGTAAAAAGCCTTCACCTTTTAATGTTCAGTGTCTTATCAGGTATTGATTTGTCATATTTTGCCTTAACTGTGTTGTGTTACATACCATCTGTACCTAACTTGTTCACTTGTTTTAATCACAAAACATGCTAAATTTTTCAAAATAATTTTTCTGCATCTAAAATAAAAAATAAAGTGCCTAGCAGTAAACTTAATTAAAAAGATAAACACTGTCTACACTATAAATTATAAAACATTAATTAAAAAACTAAAAAATATGAAAAACATGAGAAATATTTTTTGTTCATGAGTTATAAAAAATATTGCTAAAATGACTATGCTACTCAAGGTAATCAACAGATTCAATGCAAACTCAATAAAAATACCAATGACATTTTTTCACAGAAATGGAAAAAAACAGGCCTAAAATCTATAGTGAACAAAAGAAACTCCCCAAATAGCCAAAGTCATCTAGCAAAAAAGAACAAAGCTGAAAGCATCAAATTACCCGACTTCTAAATATACTGCAAAGCTATAACAAGCAAACAGAGTGATACCGGCATATGAAACAGACAGATAGAACAAAGTATCCATTGATTCTAGTAATAAATTAATAAGCCTAGAGCCAAATAATTTTTAAGGTATTTAAGAGACATATTTAAGAAAAGTCAACCTCATCAATAAATGGTGCTGTAAAATTAATTTCTTAAATACAAAGTAATACAACTAGATGCCTACCTGTTACCATATTTTAAAAACTTAATTAAAAATAAATAGAAGATTAAAATGTAAAACTCAAACTTATAAAACAATTTCCATAAAACATATAGAAATTCTTAATCAGATAGGACAGAAAAAATTTTTAAATAAGACCCCAGAAGCACAGGCAACAAAAGCAAAAGCAGACAAGTAAAATTACCAGAATCTAAAAAAAAAAAAAAAAAAATAGTAAAAATAAATTTACAGAGTGAAGAGACAGCTTACACTGTGGGAGACTATATCTGCAAAATATACATATGACAAGAGATAAACATACGAATACATAACAATTTTAAGAGCAATAATAACACACTATTTAGTAATAGGCAAGATACCTTAACTGACATTTCCTCAAAGAAGACATACGAATGGCCAATTACATACAATGATGCTCAGCATTATTAATTATTAGAAAACTGCAAATCAAAGCCAAAATAAGACACCAAATCACTGCAGTAAAAATGAGTATAATTGGAAATGATACATTTCTGACCCTTTCAACAGGAGGCATTGTGACATATCTCAGGGCCTATCATTTAGGTGATACAACTTCCTCTACTGCCTGAACACTGCCCACGAGGGGCATTATGCCATAGAGTTTGCTGTAGCCTCGCAGTTATGCAACTTTTCTGCCAGAAACTTGTCTAGAAGGAGAATATTGGAAAACTTCTGGCTCAGCATTTAGGTGACAAGTCTGTCATGTCTGTTTCATTACCACAGAGTAAATTTTGACATATACCTAGGCACAGCTCACAGGCATGATACTGACTCTCACATGTGGATCCTACAGATAAGAATAATTTTGACTCTTGTAACTTGCTTTAGAAACATGAGTCATTTCTTAGATCTCTTTCTGGTAAAGAGGTCACTGAAGATTATAACAGGCTCAGATATTTTATAAAGCCCATGACTTGCACAGAGTGTCATAAGAGAACCCAACAGAAAGGTGAAATTGTGAGTCTCATATGCACACCCAGCTGACAGTAAGGACTGTCACATCTCACATACATGAAGCCAACTGTCACTCATGAAAACAGGACATGTATGGTATTGTAAGTCTCATCTCTGGAATATTCTGCCATTGTGATTGTGATAAAAATATTTGCTGAGCATCTGTGATTTGACTCTCCAGACTGGTTCCAGCTCATATATGGGATTGTGATCTCTACCTGGACCAACATATAAATGATGTGACTCTCCTGCCTTGGCACTTGTCTCATTAAGGATTGTGACATATCACTGGATCAAAAACCCAGGTGACGTTACATTCTTGCCTGAGCCTTGGCCACAGACATTGCTGTGATATATGACTGTCTCCACCAATTAGGTGATGTAACTCTCCTCTCTAGAATAGGTCCTGAACAGAAGGGTTGGTGGTGACATATTTCTAGGCCAAGCAAACAGGTGATGGTTCTTTTTCACCAGGGCTATGTGTCAAGGAGGGCATTGTAACATATCTCCGTGACTGTCACCTAGATTATGTGACTTGAGGCTTGGGCCTCACCCACACAGAGCATTGTGACATAAAAGTTAAACCTGCAGCAAGTTGATTTAACTCTTTTGCCTTGGTGTTTTCCTAAGGAAGCTTTGTAACATATCTCAGGACCCAGGTGATGTGGCTCTTCTTCCTGGTATCTTCCCACGTGTTAGATTGTGACATATACCTATAAAAGCACATAGGTGATATGACTCTCCCTTTCTCCCTGAGTCCTGCCTACTGAGGACATTGGGACATATCTCTGAGCACATGACCTAAGTGATATGATTCTCTTCCCCTGCCTGGGCCTTTAAAATGGTGGGATTGTGGCATATTGCTGAGCCTAGAGTTTAACTGATGTGACTCTACTCTTTTTTTCTGAACCATGCCCGCAAAGGGAAATTTTGACATATTGCACCCAGATGATGTTACAGTTTTGTCAGAGTTCTGAATAAAGAGGAAATTATTACATATGAGTGGGCCCAGCACCCTGAAGATGCTACTGTCCTACCTGCATGCCAGTAGCCTCAGAGAGTATTTCGACATACCTTTGACTCATTGTACACGTGTTTTGGCTCTCATCCCATGGCTAAACTTTTCCACATGTGGAATTGTGTCACATTGCTGGGTCCAGGTAATGTGACCCTTCTTCCTAGATTCTGCCTAAAAAGGGCATTGTGGCATTTGTTGCCGTATCATCTAAGTGATATTATTCTTTTTCCTAATTGTTGACAAATAAATGAGATTATGACATAAATCTTGCTTCAGTTCACAGGCATGATGGTCAAACTTATATTAGGGCTCAGTCAATAGAAGATATTTTTCCACTCATTGCTAGGCTTATGGAAATAGGTAAAATGGGTTTTCTGTTTGTACAATGCTCACAGAGGTTTACAACACTAATTCATATTGTATAAACTCCTTTGGTGGTACAGAGAGTTTTATAACAAGAAACATAAAAAAATTAAGATTGTGACTCTAAATTACACAGCCAGGTGGAAGTAAATATTGTCACAAGCACACATTTACAAAGCCCACTGTTAAGGTACTAAGTCTAACAAAGAAAAACAGTACAAAGTGGGAATCATGACACTCACATGTGGGTCTAGCCAATGGTGCGATTATGACTCATTTTTGGTCCCAGCTCATAGAAATAAAAATAGGTCTCATTCCTGAACTCAGCCTAAATGAGAGATGTTGACTATCATACCTGGGTTTAGGGCAATATATAACACTGGGAGTCCATATGAGCATGTGGGCCTCAGAGAAGTTTGCAACTCTCATACATGCCATATACATCCCTCGGATGTTGCAGAGGGTTCTATATAATGGCCCAGCACACACATGACATTGTGACTCATATACACACCAAGCTTACACTTAAAGGTACCATCCTCAAAGATGAGCAGCATCCAGGTGATGTGAGTCTTCTTCGAGTGTCCTGCCAACGAGTGTCCTGTGTCATATCACTGGGCCTAGTAACCAGGTGTTAAAACTTTTGCTTAAATTGTTTCTCGTGTATGTGTTGTGACATATTGTGTCAGAATCATAATAATGTGACACCTTTTGCCCTGGCCCTGCAACAAGACATATCATCACATATTTGTGAGCCTAAATGTTAAGGGATTTGTCTTTTTTTCTTGTGCTTTGCCCCAAAGAAACATTGTGACATTGTTGAACGTAGCAGCTAGGAAATACGTCTCTTCTCTCCTGTCTAGGTCCTTCCTACTAAAGGAATTGTGACATGCCACTGAGTGCAAAACCTAGGTAATGCAACTTTCCTCTTTATTTTCTGGAGTTTGTCAAAAGAGGGGATTATTACATATTGCTGAGCCTAACACCTAGGTGTTGTGAGTCTCCTATTTTGTTTTTTTCAACCCTGTCTACAGTGGACATGGTGCCATATTACTTGAGGCTGTACCCAGGTGATGTGACTCTTCTGACTTGGACCTGCAAGCAAAAGAGTAGATAATGTATCATGGGCTTGCATCAATGTTGTGAGACTTCTTCCTTGTTTCTGCCCACAGGTGAAATTGTGACATATACCTGGAATCATCTCACATGCACAATTATAATCATCATACCTGGACCCAGAAAGGAGAGAGATTTTGACTCTCATAGCCAGTCTTATTTCCATAAGTAAAATAATGGGTCTCCTATTTGTTCACAGAGGATATGACCCTCGGGCATATCATATAAAGCCTCAGTGGTACAAAGAGTGTCATAACAGGGAACAGCAACCAGGTGTGATTGTGAATCATGGATGCACACCCAGCTAACTTGATTGTCACTTTCATACAAGAACGTGGCCTACAAATAAGGTACTAAGTTTCACACAACAGAGTAGTCGAAGGTTGAAATTGTTCCTCTCGTACATGGTTTAACCCCGTGGGTGGTTTGGTGATGCAGTATTCAGCCCAACTGTGAGGCTGTGACTTTCATACTGGAACACAATCTTCGAGTAGAACTGGGCAATTTATGCATGGATCCTGCCCATTGTTGAGTCTGTAACTCCTCTGCTTTGACCCCTTGCACAGGAGGTGTTGACCCATGTGCACAAAGCCAGGACTTGTGAAGGGCTGTGAAACTTATTTCTGAATATTTCCCAGCGTGTGATTAGGACATAAAAATTAGCCCGGCTCCTGAATAATTTGACTCTCCTTTTTAGGCCATGACGGCAGATAAAATTGTGACGTAGGTGGACCATACACCTAAGCAGAAGTGCCTGGGCCTGCCTACCAAGGGTAATTAAACATATCACGGGGACCAGCATCAAGGTGATGTCAATTCTTTGTCTTTTTCCTGCCTATAAAAGTCATTGTGACTTAGATTTAGGTCCATCATATAAGTGATGAGACTCCCTTCTACTGCCTTGGCCCTGCTGTTACAGGGCATTGTGACACATAACTGGGTACTGCACCCAGGTGATGTGACTCTCTGTTTTGGGTTCTGCCAACAGGAAGCTTCATAACATATCACTTGGTTCACACCTAGATAATGTTTTTCTCTTTTGTCTTGCCGTGACCAGAGGGGAGATTGTGACATATTACTAAACCCAGCGCCGAAGTGAGGTCACTTTCATACCGTGGTTCTGCAGATAGTGAACATTGTGACATATATCTAGGCCAATTGCTTAGGTAAAGGGAGTGTCCTCACACTCCTAAGATTTCCTCACAGGGGGACTTTTGATATATCACTAAAACCAGCCTCCAGGTGATGTGAGTCTTCTTCCAGTGTCCTGCCCACAAGGAAGATTGTGGCATCTCACTGGACCAGCACCCATCCAGATGATGTGACCTTTCTGCTTGCTCTCTGCCCACAGGTGATATTGTGTCATATACCTAAGACTACTTAAGAGGACTAATCATGACTGTTAAACCTGGATCCAGGTCATATGCAAGACAGAGACTCCCATTCCTGGAATGTTCCACCAGTGTTATTGTGACATATACCTTTGCCCAGCTCCTGAGTGATTTAATACTCCTGCCTAGTTGTAGCCCGCAAATGAGATTTGGATGTGTACTTCAACTTATCACCATGATGATTTGACTCTCCTGTTTTAACAATATCTTCCAGAAGGATTGTAACATATTTCTGGACCCATGATCTAGTTACCTGACACTCCTCTCTTACCTGGACCCTGCTTCCACTAGAGATTGTAGCATTTCTTTCTTTTTTTTTTTCTTTTTTTTGATGGAGGCTTGCTCTGTTGCCCAGGTTGGAGTGCAGTTGTGCGATCTCAGCTCCCTGCAAGCTCTGCCTCCTGGGTTCACGCCCTTCTCCTGCCTCAGCCTCCCAAGCAGCTGGGCCTACAGGCACCAGCCACCAGGCCTGGCTAATTTTTTATTTTTTTTATTTTTTTAGTACAGATGGGGTTTCACCATGCTAGCCAGGATGGTCTCTATGTCCTGACTTCATGATCCACCCACCTCGGCCCCTCAAAGCGCTGGGATTACAAGCATGAGCCACCACGCCCCGCCGGGACTATAGCATTTCTAAGCACTACATCCAAATTACGTGACTCTCTTGCCTGATCCTTGCAAAAGGAGACTTTGTAAGATATCTCTGGGCCTATTGTTTAGGTGATACAAGTCTCCTCTTCTACCTGGACACAGCCCATAAGGTGTATTGTGTTATACATCTTGATGTAACCCCCAAGTTATGCAACTTTTCTGCCTGGAGCATGCCTGTAAGGAGAATATTGGAAATTTTCTGGCTCAGTATTTAGGTGCCTTGGCTGTCATGCCTGTTTCATTAACACAGACTAAGTTGTGATATATACCCAAGCACAGCTCATAGGCATGATAATGACTGTCTTATGTGGATCCCACAAATAGAATTTTAACTCTCATAAATTTCTTTAGAGACACGAGTAATTAAATCCCTATCTGGTAAAAAAACAAGGTCAAAGAAAATTATAACAGCCTCACATATTTTTTAAAGCCTTTGGCTTGTACCGAGTGTGTCATAACAGAAACCAGCAGAAAGATGAAACTGTGAGTCTCAAATGCACACCCAGCTGACAGTAAGTACTATCAACATCTCACATATATGAAGCTAACTGTCACTCATGAAAATGGGACATGTGCAATATTGTAAATCTCATCCTGGGAATTTTCTGCTAGTGTTATTGTGATACAAATCTTCACCAAACATCTGTGTGATTTAATCCACCATAATGGTTCTAGCCCGCATATCTTATTGCGGTATCTACCTGGGCCTACCTCTACATGATACTGATACAAGTGATATGTTACTGCCTGGGTCCTGCTCTCAGTAAGAATCGTGACATATTACTAGATCCAGCACCTTGGTCATGTTAAATTTTTGCCTTAGCCATGCCCACAGAGATTATTGTGACATATCACTGTGTCAACTACTTAGGTGATGTAACTCTCCTTGTTAGAATGGGCCCTGCACACAATTGGGGATTGTGACATATGGTTGGGCCAGGCACACTGGTGACAGTACTCTTTTGTTAGAGCCATGTCCTAAAGAATGCATTGTGACAAATCTCTGGGCTGATCACTTAGGTGATGTTGCTCTCCTGCTTGGGTCCTGCTTTCCTGAATAGTGACATATTACTACACTAGGCATATAAGTGATGGTACTCTTTTGCCAGGGTCATGTCTCAAGGAGAACATTGCAACATATCTCTGTGCCTATCGCCTGGGTAACGTAACTCCCTGCTTCAGCATGGCCCACAAAGAGCATTGTGACATAAAGGTAGAACCTACACCTATTTGTTGTAAATCTCTTGTCTGAGTCTTGTCCTAAGTGAAACTTGTGACATATCTCAGGAATCAGGATCAAGGCGGTGTGACTCTTCTGCCTGGCTTCACCTCACATGTTAGATTTTTTTCATATACCTAGGGAAGCACCTAGGTGATATGACTTTTCTCTTCTGCCTTAGCCTTGCTTATTTTGGACATTGGGTCATATATTTGAGCCAGTATCCTAACTGACGTAATTCTTTTCTTCTGTCTGAGCCTTTACAATGGGGTGATGTGACATATTGCTAAGCCAAATACTCAGGTTATATGGCTTTTCTTTTTTTTTTTCTCCCAAAAAGTGTCCAGGAAAAGGAATTTTGATTTACTGCAGGGCCCAGCACCCAGATGATGTTCCTCTTCATCCTGAGTCCTGCATAAAGAGAGAATTATGGCATATGGCTCCGCCCCCAACCCTGATGCTGTAACTCTCTTGCCTGTGCCAGAGCAACAGAAAGTATTTTTACAATTCTTGGGCACACCCAGTAGGAGTTTTTATTCTCATCATTTGTCTGTTTTTTTTTTCTTTTGGGGAGGTGGATTGTGTCATATTGCTAGGTCCAGCACCCAGTTAATGTAACCCTCATTTCTAGAACCCTACCTAGAGAAGGCATTGTGACATATTGCCTGGCAAAGCACCTACGTTGTGCTACTCTCCTGGCTAGTTTTTTCTTTTTTCCTACAAATGGGATTATGAAATTTACATGATTCAATTCAGAGGCATGATGATCAAAGTTATATTTGTTTTCCACCAATAGTAACATTTGCCTATCACCTCTCCACGCAGGGCAATACTTAAAGTTGTGAGTTGCATAGTGGCAGAAAGCTCACAGCAGCTTACAACGCTAACTCATATTCTAAAAACTGCTTGGGCCCAGCCAGAGATTAAGATCATGACTCTTGATTACACATACAGGTGAGTGCAAAACTTTTCAGCATCCCATATTTACAAAGTCAGCTGTTAAAGTCCTGAGTATAAGTAAATAAAGTACAAAGTTGAAATTTTGACTGTCATATGTGGATCTTGCTATAGGTGAGATGGTGACTATTTTCTGGACCCAGATCACAGGCATAATAATGGGTCTCCTGTCTGAACCCAGCCTATTAGAGAGGTGTTGGCAATCATAACTGGGTTTAAGGCAATATGTAAGATTGTGAGTGAATATAAGCATGTAGGCCTCAGAGTGGTTTGTAACTCTCATGCATGTTGCATAAAGCCTCTGGATGTTGTAGAGTGTGTCATATAATGATGTAGAACACGTGTAAGGTTGTGACTGTAATATACATATCAAGCTAAAAGTTAAAGGTGTCACCTAAAAGATGAGGAGATTGTGTCATATTACCAGACCTAGTACCCTGGTGTTGAGATTTCTGTCTTAAATTCTTTACCACGGGTGCGTTGTGAAATATTACTCTGTGTGTATGTGTTTATGTGTGTTTGTGTATATATATATAATGTGTGTGTGTGTGTGTGTGTGTGTGTGTGTATTATGCTCTCATAGTGCCAGGTAGACAGCCCTACTGTTGAACATGGACAAGTCACCAGGACATTCCAAAATAATAGTATGGGTGGTTTTTTTGATGTTTGAAGAATGACTCAGCAGACATGTAGTCCTTTGACTCTCCTACTGGAATACAATCTTCAAGTGGGAATGGGGCTTTTATACATGGACCTTGCCCACTGATGACATTGTGACTCCTATACTTCCACCCAACACATGGGAGATGTTCACTCTTATATCCAAAGGCAGGACTAGTACGGGACTGTGAAAATTTTTCTGAACATTTTTGAGTGTGTGATTGAGAAATGTGACTTTACCCAGCATCTGAGTGTTTGACTCTCCTTTCTAGGTGCAGAGCACAGTGGAAATTGTGACATACATGCAACAAGCACCTGAGCAATATGTAACACCTTGTTTACCAATGCAATACAGGAAAATTTACAAATCACAGAGACCAGCACCCAAGTTTTGTGACATTTCTGTTATATCCTGCCTACAAAGAGAATATTGGAATATTTCTGGCTGAAGAGTTATGTGATGTGGTTGTCCTGCTGGTCTAATAACCACAGAGGGGATGGTGACATATACCTAGACACAGCTAACAGGAATGATACTGACTCTCATATGCAGACTCAGCCAATAGGAGAAATTTTGACCCTTATAACTAGGTTGAGGTACATGAGTGATGTCCAGGGTCTAACTCTGGTAAAAATGTCACAGAAAATTACAGCACTCACACATATTTTATAAGACCCTTGGATTGTATAGAGAGTGTCATAACAGGGCCTAGCACAGAGAGGAAATTCTGAATCTTGTATGGACAGCCAGTTGGCAGTAAAGACTTTCACCATCACAGATGGATGAAGGCAACTGTCCTACATGCAAACATGATATGTGTGGCATTGTAAGTCTAATCCATAGACTTTTATTTCATTGTGACTGTGATATAAATCTTTGCCAAGCACCTGTGTGATTTCACTCTTCAGACTGGTTCCAGTCTACATGAGATTTGGATATCTACCTGGGCAAAACTTGAAGGGATGAGATTTTTCCGCCCAGCCACCCCTTCTCTCAGTAAGAATTGTGACATCACTGGATCCACCATCAAACTGTCTTTACATTTTGCCTGCACCATGCCTGAAGACATCATTGTTACATATCACTTTGTACATCAGTTAGAAGATGTAACTCTCCTCTCTGGAATGAGTCCTGCACACGGGGCAAAATAGTGACATATTTCTAGGGCAGGAACACAGGTGTTGATACTATTTTGCCAGGGCCTTGCACCGAAGAGGGCATTTTGGCATATCACAGGTCCTATCATGTAGGTGATATGGCTCTTCTACTCAGGAACTGCCTACTTGAATAGTGACATATTGCCAGGCCAGGTACAAAGGTGGTGGTGTTCTTTGGTCAGGGCCATGCTTTTGTGACATATCTCTCAGCCTATCACTTAGGTGATGGGCTTGGCCCTGGTCCTTGGTCCTGCTTGTTCCTGCCCACATGGAGAACTGTGAAAGAACCGTGGAACATGAACCTAGGCGATGTAACTAACTGGAGTCGGTTCTTTTCTAAGGGGGACTGAGTTGTGAGTATCTCAGGACACTGGAACAGAAGATGTGGCTCTTCACCAGGGTTTCTGCCCACATATTAAATTGTGACATATACTTTTTAAAAACATCCAGGTGATATGACTTTTTCTGCCTGAGCCTTGTCTACTGGTGACATTGGGCCATATCTCTGAACCCGTGACGTAAATGATGTGACTCTCTTCTTCTGTCTGGGCCTTAACAATAGGAACATTTTGACATATTGATGAGCCCAGCACTTAGGTAATGTGACTCTCGTCTTCTTGCTGAACAACGCCCACGAACAGGGCTTTTGCAATATTTCAGGGCCCAGCACCTGGATGATGCTACTTTTCTGCGTAAGTCATGCATAAGCAGGGAATTGTGGCATATTGCTTGGTCCAGCACCCTAATGACATGGCTCTCCTGCTTGTGACTAAGTTACAGAAAGTATTTTAGAATATCTCTGGCAAATTCTCTAGGTGCTTTGGCTCTCATCACTTTGCTTGGTTTCTTCCATCTGTGGTTGCATTAAACTGCTGGCTCCAACCCCTGGTAAATGTGACCCTTTTCCTTAGGCCCTGCCTAGAGAGGGCATTGTGACATATAGCTTGGCCCAGCAGCTAAGTGATGTTAACCTTCTGCCTTGTTATTAGCCCAGAAATAAGATTATGACATATACCTTCCTCCAGTTGAAAGCCATGATAATCAAGCTTATATTGGGATTCTGCCAATAGGAGATATTTTGCCACTCACCACTAGGTTTTCTTCAATAATTAAGGTCCTTTATTGCATATTTGTACAAATATCACAGAAGTTTACAATACCAACTCATATCATAAAAACTTCTTGGTTGGTAGAGAGAGTTTTATAACAGGGCCCAGCAAAAAATTAAGATTGTGACTCTTGACTGCACAGACGAAAGTAAAAGTTGTTACCATCCTGCATTTGCAAAGGGTATTGTTGATGTCCTGAGTCTAATGAGTGAATAAAGCACAAAGTTGGAATTGTGACTTTCATAAGTCAATCTGGCCACAGTTGGAATCATGACTCATTTCTGGATTCAGCTCGCAGCAATAATAGTGGCCTCATTCTTTAAGCCAACCTATGGGAGAGATATAGACTGTCATGCATAGTGTATACAGTTCTCAGATATTGTAGACAGTGTCATACAGTGGCCAGCACATACATGAGATCGTGACTGTCATATACACAACTAGTTAATGCTGTCACCTTTAAAGATGAGATTGAGTCATATCCCTAGTCCTAGTATCCTGGTGTTGAGACTTTTGGTTTGCATTCTTTTCCATAAGAGCATTGTTACATATCACTGGGTCAGAATCATGACAATATGACGCTTCTGCATGGGTCCTGCAAACAGCGTATATTTTCATGTATCTCTGGGCCTCTTGGTTAGTTGATATGGCTCTCCTGACAGTACCCTGCCCACAGGTGACATTGTGACATATTGCTAGATATAGCGTCTAGGAAATGTACTGTCCTCTGCTGATTGGATCCTGCCCACCGAAGAAAGTCTGACCACTGAGTCCAAAACCTAGGAGACATGAGTCTCCTCTTTATCCTGGATTCTGCCAAGAGTGGGGATTATTACATATTGCTAAGCTCGCCACTCAGGAGTTGTGATTCTCCCTTTTGTTTCCTTCAAACCTGTCCTTATGGGGATGGTGACATATTGCTTGATGTTGTACCCAGGTGATGCGGCTCTTCTGCTTGGTGTCTGCCCACATGTTAGAATGTGATATATAACCAAGAAAGTCCCTAGGTGATATGACTCACCTTTTCTGTCTGGGCTTTACCTGCTGGGGACAGTGGGATATATCTCTCTGCCCTTTGACCTAAGTGAAGTGACTCTCTTTTTCTCCCTGGTTTTTACAATGGGGAGATTGTGGCATATTGCTGAGTTCATCACTCAGGTTATTTGTCTCTACTTTTTTTCTAGAGCCATGCACACAAACAGAATTTTTGACCTATTGCAGGGCCCAGCCTCGAGATAATGTTACTCCTTTTTCTGGGCCCAGCAAATGGACAGAATTATGGCATATCACTGAGGCCAGCACGTTGACAATGTCCTTTCACAGCAGGGCATTATTTCATCTATCATGCCTGTCCCATAGCCACGAAGGTTTTAACATATTCTGGGCATATTATGTAGGTGTTTTGACTCTCATTCCTTGGCTGGGATTTTGCACATGTGGGATGGTTTCAGATTGCTGAGCCCAGCACCCAGTTAATGTGGCTCTAATTCTATATCCTGCCTAGAGAGGACATTGTGACATGCTACTTGGCACTGCAGCTAAACAATATTACCTGCCAACCAAGTTTTTTGCCCACAAATGGGACTATGACATACACTTCGCTTCAGCTTATAGGCATGATCTGGCCACAGGTGGCATGGTGACTCATTTCTGGGTCCAGCTCACAGGCATCCCTAATCCCAGCCTACAGAGATGTTGACCATTATACCTGGGTTAGGGCAGTATATATGATCGTGAATCCATATGAGCCTATAGGCCTCAGAGTGTTTTGCAACTCTCATGCATGCTGTATAAAGCCTTCAGATGTTGTAGAGTGTCATACAACAGCCCGGGAAATGTGAGACTGTGACTCTCATACACACACCCAGGTCGCAGTTAATGGTGTCACCCTCAAAGACCAAAGGTTTTGGCATGTTTTTAGGCCTGGTACCCAGGTGTTGAGACTTTTTGCTGAAATAACTTAACATGGGTGCATTGTGACATATTGCTGTGTTAGAATAATAATAATATGACTCTTCTGCCTGGACCCTGCCAACCTGGGATATTGTCACAGATCTCTGGGCCTATAAGCTGGGTAACATATCTCTCCTGCCTGTGCCCTGCCCCTAGAGAACATTGTGAAATATTCTTTGGCAAAATATTTATGTCATGTGACTCTCCTCCTGGCCAGGGTCCTGCTCACCAAAAAACTTGTGACATACTGCTGATTGCAAAACCTAGGTGATATGGCTGTCTTTCATATTCCAGACTCTGCCAATAGACACATTATTACATATTGCAGAGCCCAGCACCTACGTGGAGTAACTCTCCTCTTATGCTTCTTCCCTGTCTATAGCAGGCTTGGTGACATACTATTTCAGGGTGTATCCAGGTTGTGTGATTTTCCAAATAGGCCCAGCCTACAAATGAGATTATAATGTATCACTGGCTCAGCACCCAGATGATGTGACTCTTCTGCCTTGTCCCTGCTCACAGGTGAAACTATGACATATGTGTGGGTTAAGCACACATACACAATAATAACTCTCATAACTGGACCAACTCAGTAGAAATATGTTAACACTCTGGGTTAAGCACACACGCACAATAACTTTCATACCTGGACCCAGCCAGTAGAAATATTATGACTCTCATAGCAGTCTCAGGTCCATGTGTAAATTCCTGTGATTTTTACTTGTATAAAGTTCACAAATAATTACAAGACTCAGTTATATCATATAAACACTTAATGGTACAAAGAGTGTCATAAAAGAGATCAGCAACGAGGTAAGAATGTGACTCTTTTATGCATGCCTAAAAAGCAGTCGAAGGTTGAAATAATTACTCTTATACCTGCATGTTAATCACAAGTGGTTTGGTAATATTTGAACCATGATTCAGCACATTGCAGTGTTGTGAGTCCCCGACTGAAACACAATCTTCAAGTGGGATTCAGGCTGTTATACATGGATCCGTCTCATTGTTGAAATTATGACTCCTCTGTGTTGACTCAACTTTCATACAGAAAACCAGGACTTGTGTAGGACATGAAACTTATTTCTAAGCATTTCTGAGAGTGTGATTGGGACAGGTAAATTTCCCCAGCACATGAATAATTTGAATTTCTTTTCTAGGCCCACACCACAGATGAAATTGTGCCATATATGGAAGAAGCACCTAAGCAATATGTAACACCTTCGTTGGCTCTGCCTACAAAGGGCACTTTTGTATATCACTGGGACCACCACCCTGGTGAGGTGAATTATCTGCCTAAAGCCTGTCTACAATGAGTATTGTGTTTTATATCAAGGTCCATCACGTAAGTGATGTGACTCCTTTCTACTGCCTTGGCCCTGCACGTACAGTGCATTGTAACACACAACTTGGTACCGCACCCGGGAGATGTGATTCTCTCTTTTGGGTTCTGCCAACAGGAAGCAGTGTAACATATCATTTGGCTAAGCACCTAGATGATGTTTCTTTGCTTTTGTCTGTGCCCTGACCACAGGGAGATTGCGCATATTCCTGATTTCAGCAATAATGTGAGGTCACTCTCCAGCTTTGGTACTGAACGTTACAGACATTTTGACATATAGCAAGGCCAGTTGTTAGGTGAACTGTGTCTCCTCTCTGGCTAAATTTGTGCCCAAAGAAGGAGTTTTGATATGTCACTGAAATGATCATTCCAGTGATGTGACTCTTCTGCCAGGATCTTGCCCACAAGATGGATTGTGACATCTCACTAGACCCATACCCACATAAGTGATGTGACTTTCCTGCCTTCTCTCTTGCCACAAATA
The DNA here is from genome assembly GCF_000001405.40 of Homo sapiens. Taxonomy (NCBI): domain Eukaryota; kingdom Metazoa; phylum Chordata; class Mammalia; order Primates; family Hominidae; genus Homo; species Homo sapiens. The sequence goes on from NC_000024.10 coordinate 22,820,895, forward strand.
ATATTGTGCCATATATCTGAGACCACAAGAAAAGCCTAATAGCAACTCATATGTCTGAAGTCAGAACTTGTGCAGGATGGTGGGTCATATTCGTAAACCTTTTCTCAAGTGTAATGTGACGTATATTTTTGCCCAACTCTTGAATGATTTAGTAATTCTGCCTTGATATAGTCCACGAATGAGATTTTGACAAACACTTGGGCCAAGAACCTTGGCGAATAGATTGTGCTGTCTTAACAATGTCCTCAGGGGAAATGGTCACATATTTCTTGACCCATCATCTAGGTTACATTGCTCTCCTCTTTGGCCTGTACCCTGCTTCCTTTAGTAATTTTAGCATTTCTAAACACAGCATCCTAATGACATGATTCTCTTTCGTGGGCCCTGCCAACGTGAGACATTGTGACGCAGTTTTGGGCTCTGCTGTTACGTGACACGAATCTCCTATCCTTCCTGGACACTTCCCACGAGGAACAGTGTGCAGAAAGCTGAAATTAGCACACAAGTTATGTGACATTTCTGACTGGAACCTACCCACAATCAAGATATTGGAATATTTCTGGCCCAGCATTTAGGTGATGTGGCTCTTCTGCCTGCTTCATAACCACAGAGGGAATTGTAACATATACCTAAGCATGGATCACAGGCATGATAATGACTCTCTTATGTGGACTTATCCAATAAAGGATACATTGAGTCTTATAACTAGGTTTAGGGACATGTGTGATGTCCCGGATCACCTTCTCGTTCAAAGTTCACAAAAGACTGTAACACTCACACATATTTACAAAGTCTTTGGGTTACACACACAGAATCTAAGCAGGGCACAGCACACAGGTGAAATTGTGAGCCTTGTATGCACACCTAGCTCATCGTAATGACTGTCATCATCTAACATGTATGAAGCCAACTGTCACCCATGAAAACAGGACATGGGTGCTACTGTAAATCTCATCTTTGGAATTTTCTGACAGTGAGCTTGTGGTGTAAATCTTTGCCAAGCACCTGTGTAATTTGACTCACCAGAATTGTTTCAGCCTGTATATGAGATTGTGATATCTACCTAGGCCAACCTGGAGTTGATGTGACTCTCCTGCCTGGGACCTTTTCTCAGTAAGGATTGTGACATATCACTGGATCTAGCATCCAGGCGATGCTACATTCTTGCCTGCCCCATGCCCACCAAAATTGCTGTTACATACCATTGTGTCCACCTCTTAGGGGATGTAACTCTTCTCTCTGTAATGGGCCCTGCACAAAGGAAGAATAGTGATATATTGCTAGGCCAGGCACACAGGTGAGGGTACACTTAGGCCAGAGCCATGCCCAAAGGAGGGCATTGTGACATATCTCTGGGCTTATCACAGATTTCATGTGGCTCTGCTGCTTGGGTCTTGCCAACCTGGAGAGTGATATATTTCCAGGCCAGGCACACAGGTGATGATATTCTTTTGCCAGGACTATGCTTCATAGAGAACATTGTGACATATATGTGGGCCTATCACCATTGTGAAGTGACTCCCTGCTTTGGCCCTACCTACACGGTGCATTGTGGCATAAGCAGAGAATCTGCACCTAGGTGATGTAACTCTGTTTGCTGAGTGCTGTGTTAAGAGTCTTGTTAAATATCTCAGGACCCAGCACCCAAGTGATGTGCTCTTTTGCCTGCTTTCTGCCCACAGGTTACATTGTGACACATTCCTATGAAATCACCTAGGGGATGTGACTCTCCTCATCTCCCTGAGCCACGCCTGCTGTGGACATTGGGATGCAGGGGTTCAGTCAGCCTGGTGGGAAAAACTTTAAGATAAAGTTATAAAATGTAAACACAGAATCTCTTGGAAGGCCTGCAGGTTTCCATAATGTGTTTGGTTGAAGGCAGCCTTATTCTTTTTGAGCTATAGCAAGGGTATTTAACAAAGCAATGTAGAGAAGACTATTTAAATAGCTTATTTACTCATGTGGTTCTGAAACTAACCTTTGACCATTTGCGAGTGAATGAGTGTTCTGTACTGAGGGGGTCGGCAATGGTAATTACCTTCTAGTGGTGTTTACTTGAGATTTTTTGTCATTTAGTGTGTGCTGAATAAATTCCAGAAGAGCCAGAGACTTGAGGCCACAGCTGACAGCACTCTACTTGAAGCATGTAAGTGGCCTGGTCTCTCAGCCAGACTGATAATCATAATATGTGCATCAGTGTATGTTATTCATTTGTCACTGAGTCAGGGTTTCCCGGATGGACCTCGCATTGGGACGTATCTCTGAGCCCATGACCTAAGTGATGTGACTCTCTTTTTCTGCCTGGGCCTTCACAACAGGAGGATTTTGACACATTGCTGAGGCCAGCACTCAAGATACATAACTCTCCTCCTTTTTCAGAAAATGACTACAAAAAGGGAATTTTGACATATTGCAGGATGCATCACCAGGTGATGTTACTCTTCTGCCTGGGTTCAGCCTAAAGAGGAAATTATGACATATTGCATATTGCTGGGCCCAGCACCCTCGTGATGTGACTCCTGCCTGTGCTGGAGCCACTGAAGGTATATTGACATATCTTGGGCCTATTATTAGGTGTTTTGTCTCATTACCTGGCTGGATTTTTTCCACATGTGAGATGGTGTCATATTGCTAGGTCCAGCACCCAGTTTATGTGACCCAATTTTCTATACCCTGCCTAGAGAAGGCATTGTGGCATATTGGTTTGCACAGTACCTAAGTGATGTTACCCTCCTGCCTAGTTTTTTGTCCACAGATGGAATTATGACAGATACCTTGCTTCAGTTCAAAGGCATGATGATCAAACTTACATTGGGATTGACCTAATAGGGGATATTTTGCCTCTCATACTTAGGTTTAGGGCAATAGGGAAGCCCCAGGTTGCATATTTGTACCATGCTCACAGAAGCTTACACCACTATCTTATACTGTATAAACACATTCGTGGTAGAGAGTTTATTAACAGGAGCCAGCAAAAAGTTCAGATTGGGACTCTCAATTACACAACAAGGAGAAATTAAAAGTTGTCATTATCCCACACTTACAAATCCCACTGTTGAGATTCTCAGTGTAACCAGCGAATATAGTACAAAGTTGGAATTGTTATTTTATATATGCGTCTGGCCAAAGGTTGGATGGTGACTCATTTCTGCACCCAGCCCACAGGCATAATAGGTCTTCCTCCTTAACCCTGCCTGTAGGAGAGATGTTAACTAAAAAACCTGGATTTAGGGCAATATATAAGATTGTGAGTCCATACAAGCATGCAGACCTCAGAGAGGTTTGCATCCCTCATGAAGGTTTTGTAAGTTCCTCAGATGTTGTGGAGAGAGTCATACATTGGTCCAGCACACGCATGAGACTGTGACACTAATATACATGCTCAGCTAAAAGTTAGCTGTCACCCTCAAAGATGAGGAGATTGTGTCATATCATTGGGCCTAGTACCCAGGTTTTGAGACTTTGGGGCTCATATGCCTTTCCATGGGGTCATTGTTACATGTTGCTGGGTCAAAATCATAATAATGTGACTCTTTTGCCCGGGCCCTGTCAACAGGGGATATTATCACATATTTCTGAGCCTATTAGCTAGGTGATGTTTCTCCCCTGACAGTGCCCTGCCCACAGGAAACATTGTGACTTATTGCTAGATATAGAATCTATGTAATGTGACTCTCCTCTCCTGCCTGGATCCTGCCCACAGAAGAAATTGTGACATGCCGCTGGAAGCAAAATCTAGCTGAGTCATATCTCCAAACATTTAGGTGATGTGACTCTCCTCTTCTGCCTGAACATGGCCCGCAAGCGACATTGCGACACAGAGCTGGATCTGGCACACAATTTATGTCACATTTCACAAAGTATTCTACCTACAAAGAAAATATTGGAATATTTCTGGCTTGACATTCAGGTTATTTGGCTGTCGTGATGGTTTCATTACCACAAAGTAAACTTTGACATAAAACTGTGCTCTGTCCACAGGCATGGTAATGACTCTCATATGTGGACCCCCAAAACAGGAGTACTTTTGATGCTCATAGCTTTTTTTTTTTTTTAGAAACAGGAGTGATTATGTCTCGCTAAGGACAAAGTCACAGGTTATAACAACCTCAGATATTTTATAAAGCCTTTGGCTTGTACACAGAGTGTCATAAGAGAACCCAGCAGAAAGGTAAAATTGTAGTGTTACATGCACACCCAGCAGTCAGTAACGACTATCACTGTCTCACATATATGAAGCCAACAGTCACTCATGAAAATAGGACATGCATGGAATTGTAAATCTCATCTCAAGAAATTTCTGCCAGTGTGACTGTGATGTAAATTTTCCTGAGAACCTGTGTGATCTGACTCTGCATACTGGCTCCCACCCCCATATGTTGTTGTGTTATCTACCTGGGCCATCCTCTAGGTGATGTGACTCTCCTGCCTGGGCTTTGCTCTCAGTAAGAATTGTGACTTATCACTAGATCCCACAACCAGGTCATGTTACATTTATTTCTGAGCCATACCCACATAAATCATTGTGACATATCACTGTGTCAACCACTTGGGTGACATAACTCTTCTCATTAGAATGCACACAGTGGAAGATAGTGACATATGGCTGGATGAGGCACACAAGTGATGGTCGTCTTTTGCTAGAGCCTTGTCCTAAAGAGGACATTGTGACAAATCTCTGGGCCTATCATTTAGGTGATGTTGATCTCCAGCATGGTTCCTACTTTCCTGGATAGTGACATATTGCTAGGCTAGGCATGCAGGTGATGGTACACTTTCTACAGGGCCAGACTTCAAGGAGGACTTTGTGACATATCTCTGGGTCTATCATCTAGGTGATGTGACTCCTGGCTTGCATGCTGACCACATAGAATATTGTGACATAAGGGTAGAACCTGCACCTATTTGTTGTAACTCTCTTGTCTGGGTCCTGTCTTAAGGGAGCCATGTGACATATTTCAGGACCCAGCATCAAGGTGATGTGGCTATTCTGCTTGGCTTCACCTCATATACTAGATCGTGTCATATACCTAGGGAATCACCTAGGTGACGTGACTCTACTCTTCTACCTGACCCCTGCCTACTTTTGATATTTGGCCAATTATCTGAGCCTGGGTCCCAAGTGATATGACCCTTTTCTTCTGCTTGCTCCTTTAAAGTGTGGTGATGTGACATATTGCTGAGCCCAATACTTAGCAATATGATTCTACTTTTTATCCCAAGCTATGCACATGAAAAGGAATTTGGACAGATTGCCGGGCCCTGTCCAAATTTTATTCCACTTTTTATCCAAAACTATGCACGTGAAAAGGAATTTGGACGGATTCAGGGGCTCAGCTCCCAGATGATGTTCCTCTTCTGTCTGGGTCCTGCATAAAGAAAGAATTATGGTATATTGCTGGGACCCCCATCCTGATGATGTAACCTTCCTGCTTGTGCCAGAGCAACAGAAAGTATTTTTATTTATCTTGGAGCTATTCTCTAGGTGTTTTTGTTTCCGTTATTTTTCATTTTTGTTTTTTCGCATTTGGGATTGTGTTATATTGCTGGGTCTAGCATCCAGTTAATGTAACCCTCATTTCTAGAACATGCCTAAAAATGTCATTGTGACATATTGCTTGGCACAGCGACATATTGCTTGGCACAGCATCTTCGTTGTGCTATCCTCCTGCCAAGTTTTTTTCCTACAAATGGGATTATGAAATTTACCTTGCTTCATTTCACAGGCAAGATGATCAAACAAATTGAGATTCCACTAATAGTGATATTTTGCTTTTCATCACTACATTTCAAGCAATAAGTAAGGTTATGAGTTGCATATTTTTACAAAACTCACATAAGTTTTCAACACCAACTCATATTCTATAAGCTCCTTGGGTGATACACAGAGTTTTATAACAGGGCCCAGCAAAAGGGTAAGATCGTGACTCTTGATTACATGTGTAGGTGAGAGCAAATGTTGTCACCACACCACATTACAAAGCCCAGTGTGGAAGTCCTGATTTTAAAAAGTAAATAAAGTACAAAGATGGAGTTGTGAGTTTCATATGTGGATCTTGCTATAGGTGAGATGGTGAATCATTTCTGGACCCAGATTACAGGCATAATAATGGGTCTCTTGTCTGAACCCAGACGGGGTTTAGGGCAATATATAAGATTCTGAGTCAATACGAGTATGTAGCCCTCAGAGACATTTGCAACTCTCATGCATATTGCATAAAGCCTCCAGATGTTGCAGAGTGTGTCATGCAATGAACCAAAACACGTGAGAGATTGTGACCCTTATATACACACCAAGCTAACTGTTAAAGGTGTTATATCAAATGATGAGAAGATTGTGTCATATCACTAGGCCTAGTACCCTGGTGTTGAAAGTTTTTGACTTAAATTCTTTACCATGGGTGCATTGTAAAATATGGCTGAGTTAGAGTCGTAATAATGTGGCCAGGTGTGGTGGCTCACGCCTATAATCCTAACGCTTTGGGAGGCTGAGGTGGGCAGATTAGGAGGTCTGGAGATCAAGACCATCCTGGCTAACATGGGGAAATCCTGTCTCTACTAAAAATACAAAAAAAGTTAGCCGGGCCTGGTGGCAGGCACCTCTGTTCCCAGCTACTCAGGAGGCTGAGGTAGGAGAATGGCGTCCACATGGGAGGCAAAACTTGCAGTGAGCCTGGTAAGCCTAGATCATGTCACTGAACTCCAGCCTGTGTGACGGGGGAGACTCTGTCTTAAAAACAAAAACAAAAAAAATTATAGCAATGTAACTTTTCAGCTTGGACCCAACCAACAGGGGACACTGTCAAACACTGTCACATATTTTTGGGCTAATCAGCTAGGTGATGGGTTTCTCCTCCTGGTTTTCTGACCACAGAAGACACTCTGACATATTGCTAAATATAGCATATAGGTAACGTAACTCTCCTCTCTTCCCTGGATCCTGCCCACTGAAGAAATTGTGACATACCACTGAGTGCAAAACCTGGGTGATGTGACTCTCCTCTTTCTCCTGGACTCTGCCAAGAGAGGGAGTTATCAGATATTACTGCACACAGCATTTAGGGAATGTGACTATTCACTATTTTTTCAACCCCGTATACACTGAGCATGATGACATATTTGAGATTGTACCCAGGTGATATGACTCTTCTGACGTTGTCCTGCCTACAAAGGAGATTATAATATATCCCTGGCTCGACACCCTGATTACATAACACTTCTCTCTTGTCTCTGTCCAAAGTTGAAACGGTGACATATACCTGGATTCAGCTCATATGCACAATAATAACCCTCATACCTAGACCTAGCCAGGAGAGATATTTCAACTCTCATAGCCAGTCATTGTGATTCTCAGATCCACACCCAGCTGACGTAATTGTCATTCTCACACATTAACAGAGCCTACAAATGAGGTGCTAAATCTCTCACACCTGAGTAGTTGATATTGTTACTCTCATACATGAATCTGCTCCACAGGTGATTTGATGACGTTTGAACCATTATTCAGTAGAACTGTGGTGCTTTGACTCTCTTACTGGAACACAATTATTAACTGGGATTGGGGCTTTTATACATGGATCTGTCCCCTTGTTGAGACTGTAATGCCTGTACTTCATAGGGGGTGCTGACTCTCATACCTGAAGCCAGGAATTTTGTGGGACTGTGAAACTTATTTCTGAACATTTTCAAGTTTGTGATTGAGAAGTATGACTTTGTTCAGCATCTGAGTGTTTTGACCCTCCTTTCTGGTCCCAGAGCACAGTTGAAATTGTAAAATACATGCACCAAGCACCTTTGGCAATGTGACAAAGGGCACTTTTTCATATCCCTGGGACCAGCACCAAGTTGATATGAACTCTTGGCCTGAACTCTGCCTGTGAAGAGCATTGTGGCTTTTATCTAGGCCTGTCACATAAGTTATGTGATTTTCTTCTACTGCCTTGGCCCTGCACTTACAGTGCATTGTGACACATCACTGTGTACTGCACTCAGGTGTTGTGACTCTTTTTTGGGGAGAGGTTTGCCAATAGGAAACTTTGGAACATATCACTTGTCTCAGTATCTAGGTGAGGTTTCTACTCTTTTGCCTGGGCCCTGACCACCAGAAAGATTGTGAAATATTGCTGAACCCAGCACCAAGTCAGGTCCCTCTCCTGCATGGTCCTGCACACGGGGGAAATTATGACAAATATCCAGGCTAATTTCCTAGGTGAAGTTTGTCTCCTATACTGCCTAAGCCCCGGCAGGCCCTGCCCATGGTGAGGAGAGGGGTTCAGATATCTCACTGAAACCAGCATTTATGTGATGTGACTCTTCTTCCAGAATCCTGCCCACAAGGAGGATTGTGACATTTCAGTGGAGCAGATCCCACTCAGGTGGTGTGACTTTCCTTTCTTCTCCCTGTCCACAGGTGATGTTGTGGAATATACCTGAGACTAGATGAAAGGTCTATCAGTGACTTTTGTACCTGGAGCCAGGACATGTGCAGGATGGTGACTCGTATCCCTAAACTTTTCCACCAGTGTTATTGTGACATATTCCTTTGCCCAGCCCCTGAGTGATTTAATAATCTTGCCTGGTTATAGCTCACTGATGACATTTTGACATATACCTGAGACACGAACCTTGGTGATTTATCAGGGGAACCAACCCCCAATATTTTAACATAGGTTCTTTTCTATTTTCCCTAAGTGTCAGTGGGTCTGAGAAATAAAGAGAAAGAGTACAAAAGAGATAAATTTTAAAGCTGAGTGTCTTGTTGGTCATGTCAGCAGGTTCTGTGATGCCCCCTGAGCTGCAAAACCAGCAAGATTTAATTAGCAATTTTCAAAGGGGAGGGAATGTACAAATAGGGTGTCGGTCACAGAGATCACATGCTTCCCATTTTAAGGGAAAGAAAAAGCTGAACCTCTTATTCAAAGTAGAATGATGATTCTCATTCTCCTGATAAGAAACAAAATAAGTAGCCTCCAGGCATTCCCTTCCACCAGAGGAGCAGTTGTTTTTTAAATAGCCCTTTGGTGCCCAGTCTATTACTAAACCATATGAGCCTTTTTTTCATATTACTGCATGTGAGTTAACACAATCATCCCAAACTAAAGTTTTAGATGGGCCCTCAAAATTTTTAGGGCATGCTTTTCCTGCAGGTTTATATTGAAAGTATGAGGCATCTCCCATTACTCCCCCTTTCATTTGTTTTAAAGGAGAAAGGGAGAGGCCAGAGACCAAATGCCCCGGTTCCTCTGTAGCTGATCTCTCCAGAAGATAAGCAGCCCAGACTAGAGTTTCTAGATGTATACAACCAGCTGCCTGTCTGAGGCACAGAGATGGGCATCTATAACTACAACCCATAGTAACATTAAATGCAGTGGCTTCTTCTCCTGGTTGAGTGGGGCAACAGTCATCTGTAGGTCCAGGCATCCATGCACTGTCATTAGTGTAGATTTCCACAGGAGCATCCATCCAGGTGAGAGGTCAAATAAGTGGAGGAAAAGACACATAAGCCCACTAAGAATAATTTTGTGTAGCAGGTAAATCAGTGTGAGAGGAAACTGGTGAGACAGAATGTATAAGGAGGAGAATCATTAAACAAAACCTATTGTAAGTAAGATTCAGTGCTGAGATTCAGGGAGGAAGAGAAGAACAGAGGGATGTTATTTTCAGGTTAATATGAACGGTGAGATTTTTAGGTCTGTAAGGGGAAAAAGAAAGGTAATTAGGTGAAGTGGGATTGGTTAGATGGGTCTCCATTGCCATCAAGGACGATTGAACCAGACCCATCTTGATTTGGTGGGCCAGCTTCTGAGGAGTTGGCACAGATCTCACCATGGCTGAGGTCCGTCTCTGATGCGGACCTCTGTTCCCTGTGGTTTTTGTCATCAATATTCACATGAAGCTTGATTCTCCTAGTGGATATTCAGAGAGGGGATTGATGATCTCCTGGTGAAATGCAAGCATATCCTCATTTCCACATTAAGTAGAATCAGAGACAATATTTAAAGGTTTAGGGAAATCCTGTAAGACAGTAATTACAGCAATTAAATCTGCCTTTTGAGCAGAGGTATAAAGGGTAGAAATAAGCTTGTCTGTAGGACCCACATAGCCAGCATTTCCATTACTGGAGCCATCAGTGAACACTGTAATGGCCTCAGGAATGGGCTGGTCTTTGGTTAAGCAAGAGACCACCGAAGATGTCATTTTTATAAAATTAAACAATTTGTTTTTTGGATAATGATTGTCAATAACGCCAATAAAATCAGCCAAGTGAATTTGCCACAGTACAGAATGTTGAAAGGTGGCTTGAATTTTGAGCCAATTTAAAGGAACTACAATTAAATTTGGATCAAATCCAGAAATTTCAAGTATTTTACACCAAGCTTGTTCAATTAAGATGGCCAGTTGGGCCAGATAAACAGACAAAGCTTTTGACACAGAATGGGGAAGAAAACACCACTCTATTAAATCATTATGTTGAACTATTAGCCCAGTAGAGGAGTGCAAGGAAGCAAAAACTAGAAGCTGAAAAGGCTGAAATGGCTGTACTCTAGATAGCTGGGCAGTCTGGATTCTTCCCTCTATGAATTCCAGTCCTGGTGAAGCCTCATGTGTCAAACTCCTGGAACTGCAGAGATTGGAATCTCCCCACAGTGTAGAAAACAAGTTAGACAGTGCATAGGTCAGAATGCCTAAAGTAGGTCTTAAATAATTAATGTTACCCAAAGGTTTCAGAAGTCTTTAAAGTTTTCAAAGAATCTCTCCTAATTTGAACTTTTTGAGGTTGAATACGTTGTTTATCAACCACCATTCCTAAATATCAAACAGGAGTGGTCTGCTGAATTTTATTCTGAGTGATGTGCAATCCAGCCTCTGTAACACAATGGCTCAAAATTTGATAACAGTCAATTAATTCTTTATGAAGGGGGGTGGCAACTAAAATATCATCAATATAATGAAGAATATAGGCCTGGGGAATTGGGCTCAAACTGGTGAAAGCACTTGTCTAACATAAAGCTGGCAGATTGTAGGGCTATTCAGCATTCCCTGAGGAAGTGCTTTCATTGATAACGAGCTGCAGGCTCCTGATTATTGATAGATGGTAAAGTACAAGCAAATTTTTCACAATTCAATTCATGTAAAGCAATATAAAAAATGATCTTTAAGATCAAATGAGAGGTCAAAACTTAGATATTAAAGCAGGGGCAGGCATGCCAGGTTGGATGACTCCCATAGGTTTAATTACAGTATTAGTGGCCCTTAAATGAGTTACCATCTGCAACTTTCCTGATTTCTTTTTTTACTAGAAACACAGTAGAATTCCAGGGGAAAAGGGAAAATTCTGCATTACCAAGTTGTAACTGTTCAGAAACTAATTGAGTTAAACCCTCCAGTTTTCTTTAGAAGCCACTGCAGGTGTTTAATCCTCACAGGTGTGTCAGATTAAACTTTAATGTATGCAGGCAACATCTCGTGATCCAGTAAATTTTGTCATTGGATGGAATGCATGGCCATCTTACACTCATGGTTCACATTTTCAAAAGCTAACATACAAAGGAGAACACCTTGAACATGATAATTAGAGACAGATTTTTCAACAGCATCTTGTAATTTAGCTAAAAAATCAGGGTATAATTCAGTGTGACCTTGTTTAACAGTAGTAAAAGAAGCAGGAGCTTGGCCTAGGGTGCGTAATTTATCCCAAGCTCTCATACACACCTTTGCTACTTGTTCTGTGGTAAGAGCATCAAAGTTTAATTGGGCATAAGTATCAGAGAAATTATCAGACCCTGTGAGCTGAGCCTGAGTAGTTAGAATGCCATTAGTCAAATTTAGCTGAGCCTGCAAATAGGCCTTCTCTGACCACCAGGTACAAAACTGTAAATGCTGAGATGGGTTAGAACAGCTATTGCCAAAAGGTCCCAGTCTAAAGGAAGGAAAATGACCTCTGTACAAAAGTTTGTAATACCATTTTAACATAAGGAGAAGTAGGGTCATACTGAGTACAAGCATCCTTAAATTCTTTTAAAAAGGTAAGATTGAGAGGTACACAATGATGCAGACCGGTTGAGGAACTGAAATGACAGGAGGGTGCGGGGATGCGATGGATGGGGGAGTGCTTGGAGAATTAAAGGTAAATTGTAGTTTGGTTCCAGAGCCATTAGCTGACACCAGAGGTTTGAAGAGAGAAGAATTACCACATATATGGAAATGGGCTGTAGGAGTTGGGGCCACGGGAGTTACAAGTACTGGCTTTTCATGAAAAGAAATAAGGTCAGCAGGGGGTAACATTAAGCCAAAGTTACTGGAGTTAGACACTGAATTTTCAGCATCGTTAGGTGGGGGGAGGAGTAGGTGAAGGGAGAGGCTGAGCAGATAACAAAGGCGGTATGGGAAAGGAAAGTTGAGGAGGTATTAGGACAGCATGTACCAAGGCCCAATCACCCCACACAGCGATGGGAACATAATTCCCTGTCGAGACCAGTTCCCAGAATATTGAACCAACATGATCCCATAATTTTACATATAAGTTTCCTTTTTCAGGAAACCAAGGACAGTATTTTTCCACTGCCCTGAATACAGTCACCATATTTTCCATGGTTACTTAGACCCTTCCCCGTTTTAACAGGTCTACATCTAAGTTTCCTTTTTCAGGAAACCAAGGACAGTATTTTCCCACTCTCTTGAATAGAGTGATCATATTTTTCCATGGGCACTCAAACCCTTTCCTCTTTTAACTGGAGTTTAATATAGAAGAGATAAGTATAATTTTTAGACTCTGTATGACCCATAGTTAACCCAGACAAATTCACAGACTACTCACAAATCATCAGGGAGTTGAACAAGTGTTTCTGTGGACCAAACCGATGATGTTTCTCCACACCTACCTACCAAAGGGAATTGGATTCCCACATGCACTTAGGAAAAAGAAAAAAACACATTGGTGCACCAGATATCAGGGGAACCAGCCCCCAATATTTCAATATAGACTCTTTTCTATTTTCCCTAAGTGCAGGCATGTCTGAGAAATAAAGGGAAAGAGTACAAAAGAGAGAAATTTTAAAGCTGGTTGTCTGGGGAAGACATCACATGTCAGCAGGTTCCATGATGCCCCCTGAGCTGCAAAACCAGAAAGTTTTTAATTAGCAAATTTCAAAGGGGTGGGAGTGTACACATTGGGTGTGGGTCACAGAGATCACATGCTTCAAAGGCAATAAAACATCACAAGGCGAATGGGTGGGGCAGGGTCACAAGGCCAGGGTGAAACTAGAATTGCTGATGGAGTTTCATGTCCCACTGTGCATGCATTGTCATTGACAAATGTCTTAACAGAAACAGGGTTCAAGAGCAGAGAACCAGTCTGACTAGAATTCACCAGGCTGGAATTTCCTAATCCTAGCAAGCCTGTGGACACTGCCAGAGACTAGGGCATGTTTCATCCCTATCTACAACTGCATAAGGCAGACACTCCCAGAGTGGCCGTTTTAGAGGCTCCCCTCCCCCGAGGAGTGTATTCTTTTCCCAGGGCTGTTAATTATTAGTATTCCTTACTGAGGAAAGAATTCAGCAATATTTCTCTTACCCATTTTCAGTAATAAGAGAAATATGACTCTGTCCTGCCTGGTTCCCAGGCAGTCAGACCTAATGATTATCTCCATTGTTCCCTGAACATTGGTGTTATCCTGTTCTTTTTTCAAGGTGCCAAGATTTCGTATTGTTCAAACACACATGCTTTATGAACAAGTTTTTCAGTTAACACAATCATCACAGGGTCCTGGGGTGACACACATCCTCAGCTTATGAAGATACTGGGATTAAGAGATTAAGGTAAAGACAGGTATAGGAAATTATAAGAGTATTGATTGGGGAAGTGATAAATGTCCATGAAATCTTCACAATTTATGTTCTTCTGCCATGGCTTCAGCCAGCCCCTCTGTTCGGGTTCCCTGACTTCCCACAACAGTGATTTGAATTTTGTGTCTTAACACTATCCTCAGAAGAAATCATAACATATTTCTAGACTTATCGTCTAGCTTATGTGACTCTCCTCTCCTGTCTGAACCCTGCTTCCTGTGAAGAGTGTAGCATTTTTAAGCACTGCATCCAAATGACATAACCCTCTTGCCTAACCTTTTCAATAGTAGGTATTGTGACATATTTCTGTGCCATCATTTAGGTGGTATGACTCTCCTTTCCTGCCTGGACAATCTCCATAGGAGGCATTATGCCATAGAGTTGGGTTAACACCCCATATTTGTGAGATTTCTGTTCGTGTTTTGCCTACAAAGAGAATATTGGAATATTTCTGGCTTAGGATTTAGGTGACATGGTTTTCCTGCCTGTTTAATAACCACAAAGGGGATGGTGACATATACTTAGGCACAGCTAAAAGGCATAATAATGACTCTCATAGGTGGACCAAGCCAATAGGAGAAATTTTGACTCTTCTAGGTTCATGTACCTGAGTGATTTCCAGGATCTTCTTCTGTAAAATGTCACAGAAGATTACAAAACTCACGCATATCTTATAACACCCTTGGGTTGTATAGAGAGTGTCATAACAGGGCCTAGCACACAAAAGGGATTCTGGGTCTCCAATGCTGAGACCCAGCTGACAGTAAGGACTTTCACTATTACAGATGGATGGAGGCAACTGTCCTACATGAAAACAGCACATGTGTGGTATTTTATTCCATCATAATTGTGATATAAATCTTTGTCAGGTATCTGTGTGATTTTACTCTTCTGACTCGTTCCAGCCAACATATGGGATTTTGACATCTACCTAAGCCAATTTTAAAGTGCTGTGACTCTTCTGCCTGGATCATGCTCAGTAAGAATGGTGACATCGCTGGATCCAGCTCCCAGGTTACTTTACATTAGTGTCTGCACCATGCCCAGAAACATCTTAACAACATCACTGTGTCCATCACTTAGGAGATGTAACTCTCCTCTCTGGAATGAGCCCTGCACACAGGGATGGATGATGACACATTCCTAGGCCAGGCACATCACTGATGATACTATTTTTCCAGGGCCATTCCTCAAAGAGGACATTTTGCCATATCACAGGGCCTATCATGTAGGTTATAGGACCTGCCCACTTGAAGAGTGACATACTGCTAGGCCAGGCACAAAGGTGATGATGCTCTTTTGCCAGAGCCATGCTTTAGGGAAGACTTTTTGACATATCTCTGTGGCTATCACCTAATTAATGTGACTTCCTGCTTGGTCCTGCCCACATGGGGCATTGTGACATAAGGGTGGAATCTGGACCTAGGTGATGTATCTCCCTTGCCTGGGTCCTTTTCTAAGGGTGACAAGTGATGTGAATACATCAGGACCAAGAATCAGGTGATGTGTTTCCTCAGCCTGGTTTCTGCCCACATATTAAATTATGACATATACCTAAGGAAACAACTGGGTTATATGACTCTCTTTTTCTGCTTGAGCCCAGCTTACTGGTGACACTGAGACACATCTCTGAGCCCATGACCTAAGTCATTTGACTCTTCCTCTGTCTGTGCTTCTCTGATGGGAATATTCTGACATATTAATGAGTCCAGCACTTAGGTAATGTGTCTTTTGTTTTCTTGCTGAACAATGCCCACAAACAGGACTTTTCCTGTGCTTCAGGGCCCAGCACCCAGATTATGTCACTCTTCTGCCTAGGTCATGCATAAATGGAAACATTATAGCATATTGCTCAGCCCAGTACTCCAATGATGTAACTCTCCTCCTTCTGCCAGAGCTCCAGAAGGTATTTTGACATATTATTGGCCCATTCTTTAGGTGTTTTGACCTCATCACTTTTCTGGGTTTCTTCAACATGAGTTTGTATCATATTGGTGGCTCCAGCCCCCAGTTCATGTGACCCTCTTTTCTAGGCCCTGCCTAGAGATGACACTGTGACATGTTGTGTGGCACATCAGTTAAGTGATTTTAACTTTTTGCCTAATTTTCTTGCCCACAAATGGGATTAGGATATATACCTTGCTTCAGTTCAAAGGTAAGATGATCAAGCTTATATTGGGATTCAGCCAACAGGGGATATCTTGCCTCAAGCAACTATGTTTATGTCAATAGTTAAGGTCCTTCATTGCATACTTGTGCAGAACTCACTGAAATTTACAATACTAAATCATATCAGAGAAACTTCTTGGCTGGTATAGAGAGTTTGATAATAGGGCCCAGCAAAAAGTTAAGATTGTGACTCTTGACTACATATTCTCAATTTACAAAGCCCATTGTTGAGGTCCTCAGTCTAACAAGTAAATACAGCAGAAAGTTGGAATTGTGACATTCATAAGTGAATGTGGCCACATATAGGATGGTGATTCATTTTTGGCTCCAGGTAACAGGCATAATTGTGGTCTCATTCCTGAGTCCAGTGTATAGGAAATCTGTATTCTGTCATGCCTGGGTTTATGGCTATATATAAGATCATGAGTCCATATAAACATGTAAGCCTCAGAAAGTTTAGCAACTCTGATGCATGCTGAACAAAGTTCCCTGATGTTATAGAGAGTGCCATACAATGGCCAGTACATATGTGAGACTGTGGCTCTCATATACACAACTAGCTAACAGTTAATATTTTCGCCCTTAAAAATGAAAAGATGTGTCATATCCATTTGCTTAGTACCCAGGTGTTGAGACTTTTTGGTTTAAATTCCTTTCTATAAGCACTTTGTTACATATCACTGGTTCAGAATCATGATAATGTGATTCTTCTGGCTGGACCTTTTAATCAGGGAATATTTTTAGATATCTCTGGGCCTATTGGCTACCTGATATGTCTCCCTGCCAGTGTCCTGCCCACAGGGGCACTATGACATATCGTGAGATATAGCATCTAGGTAATGTGACTCTCCCCTCCTGCCTGGATTCTGCCGGCTGAAGAAATTGTGACATATTACTGAGTGAAATACCTTGGTGACGTGACTTTCCTTTTTTTCCTAAACTCTGCCAGGCTTTATTTCATAATTCTGAGCTTAGCACCCAGCCAGTGTGATTCTCTTTTTCTTCTTCAAAACTGTCTACATTGGGGATCTGGCATATTATTACAGGCTGTACCCAAGTGATATGTCTCTTCTGTCTAATTTCTGCCCAAATGTTGGATTGTGATGTATAACTAGGGAAGTACCTAGGTGATATGACTCTCCTTTTCTGCCTGGGCCCTGCAGATATTTGTCTGCAGTGGGGAACATCTATGAGCCCTTGGCCTAAGTGAAGAGACTGCTTCTTCTCCCTGGCTTTTATAACAGTGGTTTATGCCATATTGCTGAGCCCAGCCCTCAGGTTATTTTACTTTTTTCTTTTTTCTTGAACCATGATCACACAATAAATTTTGACCTATTGCAGGACCCCAACACACAGATGATGTTAGTCTTTTACCTGGGTCCTGCATATAGAGATAATTATTGCAGATTTCTGGGCCCAGCACCCTGTTAATGTGACTTTCATGCTTGTCCCAGAGCCAAAGAAAGTATTTTGACCTCTCCTGGGCCCATTATGTATGTGTTTTGTCTGTCGTAACTTGGCTTTTTTATTTTTTTATTTTTATTTTATTTGTTTGTTTGTTTGTTTTTGGTGGGGGGATGGAATCTTGCTCTGTCACCCAGCCTGGAGCTCTGGAGTACAATGGTGTGATCTCGGCTCAGTGCAACCTCCGCCTCCTAGGTTCAAGCTGTTCTCCTGCCTCAGCCTCCTGAGTGGCTGGGATTACAGGCATGTGCCACCATGCTCGGCTCATCTTTGTATTTTTAGTAGAGACGGGGTTTCATTATGTTGGTCAGGCTGGTCTAGAACTCTTGTCCTCGTGATTTGCCTGCCTTGGCCACCCAAAGTGCTGGGATTACAGGCGTGTGGCATGGTGCCCAGCCTGGATTTTTTCCCACATTTGAGATGGGGGCATATTGCTGAGTCCAGCATCTAGTTAATGTGACTCTAATTCCTATACACTCCCTAGAGAGGACATTGGGACATGTTACTTGGCACAGCACCTAAGTAACGTTACCCTCCTGCCTAGTTTTTTGCCCACAAATGGGACTATGACATATACCTTATTTCAGTTTACAGGCATAATGGTCAAACTTAAACTTGGATACAGACAATAGGAGATATTTTGCCTTTCATCACTAGGCATAGGGCAATAAGTAAGGTCCTTGGTTGCATATTTGTAGAACGCTCACAGAACTTTACAACACTAACTCATAATGTATAAGTTGCTTGATTGGTACAGAGAGTTTCATGACAGGGACCAGCAGAAAATTCAGATTGGGACCTTCAATTACATGCCCAGGTAAAAGCAAATGTTGTCACCATCCCACATGTCCAAAGCCCACTGTTAACATCGTGAGTCTAACAAGTGAATACAGTACCAGGTTGGAATTTTGACCTTCATATGTGGATCTGGCCACAGGTGGGATGGTGACTTATTTCTGTTTCCAGCTCATAGGCATAATAATGGGTCTCATACCTAAAACCATCCCACATAAAAGATGTTTACTATTATCCATGGGTTTAGGGATATAGGTAAGCTCATGAATCCCTCTGAGCACATAGGCTTCAGAGTAGTTTGCAACCCTGATGCATGCTGTATAAAGCCTTCAAATGTTGTAGAGTGTCATACAATAGCCCAAAGAACACATGATATTGTGAATCTCATATACACACCCAGCTCAATTTAATGATATCACCCACAAAAACAAAAGATTTGACCTATTACTAGGCCTAGTACCCAGGTGTTGAGACTTTTTGGCTTAATTTTTTCCCCATAGATGCATTTTGACATATTGCAGGGTTAGAATCATAATCTTGTTACTTCTGCCTGGACCCTGCAAACAAGGGATATTATCACATATCTCTGGGCCTAAGAGATAGGTGATTTGTCTCTCCTGCCTGTACCCACCCCCAGAGTACATGGTGAAATATCATTTGACCAAACATCTAGGTCATGTGACTCTCTTCTCCTGACGGGGTCCTGCTTACCACAGATGTGGTGACATACCACTGATTACAAAACATAGGTGATGTGACTCTCCTTCATATCCTAAACTCTGTCAAGAGAGGGAATTATTACATTTTGCAGAGCCCAACATCTACTGATTTGACCCTTCTGACTAGGCCCAGCCTACAAATGAGACCATATTGTGTCAGTGGCTCAGTACCCAGGTTATGTGACTCTCCCACATTGTCCCAGCTCATAGGTGAAAGTGTGACATATAACTGGGATAAGCACACATGTGCAATAATGACTCTCATTCCTGGACCCAGCCAGTAGGGATGGTGTGACTCTCATAGCCAGTTGCACTGCCATGGGTAAGGTCCTGGGTTTTTCACTTGCATAATATTCATGAAGGATTATAACGCTGTGGTATATCATATAAAGCCTTATTGGTACATAACAGCGTCATAACAGTGTCATAACAGAGAACAGCAACCAGGTGAGAACGTGACTCTTGTATGCACACCTAGCTGACACGGTAGTCATTCTGACACATAAACAGGGCCTAGGAATGTGATACTAAATCTCACTCATAAAAAGCAGTCAAAGCTTGAAATAATTACTATAGTACATGGATCTGATTCACAGGTAGTTTGGTAATATTTGAAACATGATTCAGCACACTTGTGATGCTCTGACTCTCCTACTGGAACATGATATTCAAGTAGGATTGAGGCTACTATACATGGATCTTGCCCATGGTTGGGATTGTGACTCCTCTACTTCGACCCAACTCATAGAAAGAGTTAACTCAAATACACAAAACCAGGATTCATGTGCGATAAAAAACATATTTCTCAATGTTTCTAAGAGTATGATTGAGACAGGTAAATTTGCCCAGCATATGAATAATTTGACAGTCTCTTCTAGGCCAAAGCCTAGAATGAAATTGTGCCATACGTGGAACAGACACGTAAGCCATGTATAACACCTTCTTTGGCTATGCCTACAAAATGACACTTTTATATATTCCTGGACCATCACCTGGGTAAAGTGAATTATCTGCCTGAAACCTGCCTGCAAATAGAATTGTGTCTCGTATCTCGGTCCATCATGTATGTGATGTGACAACCTTATACTGCCTTGGACAAGCACTTACAGTACATTGTGACACATAAGTGTGCAATGCACCCAGGTGATGTGATTCTCCTTCCTGGGATCTGCCAACAGGAAGCATTGTAATGTATCACTTGGCTCAACACCTAAGTTGTGTTTCTTTTTTGCTTTAGCCTTTGTCTTGATTACAGGGAGATTGTGACATATTGTTGGGTCCAGCACCAATGTGTGATCATGCTCCAGGTTTGGTACTGTACAGAAAAGACACTATGAAATATACCTAGGCCAGTTGCCTAAGTGAATTGTGTCTCCTCTTTTTCCAAAGTCCTGCCCACAGAGGAGTTTTTGATATGTCACTGAAACCAGCAGCCAGGTGATGTGACTTTCCCACAAAGACCTTCACACAAGGGGTATTGTGACATCTCGCAGGACCCACACCCAAGTAGGTGATTTGACTTTCTTGCCTTCTCTGTGTCCACAGGTGATATTGTGCCATATATCTGACACCATAATAAAAGCCTTATAACAACTCATATACCTGGAGCCAGAACATGTGCAAGATAATGACTCTTATTTCTAAACCTCCCCACAAGTATAATTGTGACATAAACCTTTTCCCAGCTCCAGAATGATTTAATAATTTGCCAGGTATAGCCCACAAAAGAGATTTTGACATATACCTGGGCCAAGCACCTTGGTGATTTGACTGTGCTAGTACAATCCTCAGCGGGGATTGTGATAGATTTCTGGACCCATCAACTAGGTTACGGGACTCTCCTCTACCCTCTACTGCCTGTATTCTGCTTCCTTTGGTAATTGTAGCATTTCTAAACACTGCACCCAAGTGATATGACTACTGTGCTTGGGCCCTGTTAACAGGAGGCATTGTTACAAATTTTTGGGCCCACCATTTAGGTGAAATGTCTCTACTCTCCTGCTCTGACACCTCACACAAAGGACACTGTGCAACATATTTGGACCTAGCACAAAAGTTTGGTGGCATTTCTGACAAAGCTTTGCCTACAAAGAGAATATTGGAATAATTCTGGCCCGGCATTTCAATAATATGGCTGTTCCACCTGCTTCATAGCCATACAGAGGATTGTAATATGTACCTAGGCATGGTTCAAAGGAATGATGATGATTGTCATATGGGGATTCAGCTAACAGAGGTTATTTTGACTCTTATAACCAAGTTTAGGTACATGCATGATATCCTGAATAACGTTCTTATACAAATGCCACAAAAGATTACAACATTCGCATATATTTTACAAAGTCTTTGGGTTATAGAGACAGAGTTGTAGCAGGGCTCAGAACACAGGTTAAATTGTGAGTCTTGCATGCACACCCAGCTGACAGTAAAGGCTGTCATCATCTCACACGGATAAAGCCAAATGTCACACATGAAAAAAAGGATATGTGGGGTACTGTAAATCTCACCTTTGCAATTATCTGACACTGTGATTGTGATATAAATCTTTGCCAAGCACCTGTATAATTTGACTCTGCAGACTTATTCCGGCCCAAATATGGTATTGTGCTATCTAGCTAGGCCAACCTCAAGGTGATGTTATTCTCCTGCCTGGGCCCTTCTCTAAGTAAGGATGGTGACATACATCTGAATCTAGCACCCAGCTGATGTTACATTCTTGCCTGTGCCATGTCCACCAAAATTATTGCATATATTTCTATGCCCCCATTATAGGTGATGTATCTCTGCTCTCTGGAATGGGCCATACACAAAGGATGGATAATGACATATTGCAAGGCCAGGCACACAGTTGAGGGTACTATTTTGCCAAAGCCATGTTCAAGGGAGGGCACTGTGATTTATATCCAGGCCTGTCACCTGGGTTATATGGCTCTCCTGCTTGGGCCTTGCCAACCTGGAGTAATATATTTCTAGGCCAGGCACACAGTTGATGGTACTCTTTTGCCAGGACTATACTTCATAGAGGACATTGTGACATACCTTGGGGTCTACCGCCTAGATGAAGTGGCTCCCTCCTTTAGACCTACCCAAATAAAACATTGTGGAATAAGCAGAAAATCTACACCTAGATGATGTAACTCTTTGCTGGGTGCTGTCCTAAGAGAGCCTTGTGACATATCTCAGGACCCAGCACCCAAGTGATGTGGCTCCCCTACCTGGTTTCTGTCTATGTGTTACATTGTGACATATTTCTAGGGAAGCACGTAGATGATATGACTCTCCTCATCTACCTGAGCCTCGCCTACTGGAGATATTGGACATATCTCTGAGCCCATGACCTAAGTGATATGATGTTCTTTGTCTGCCTGGACCTTCACAATAGAAGGATTTTGGCACATTGCTGAGCCCAGCACTCAGGATAGGTGACTCACCTCTTTTTCCTAATCCATGCCCACAAAATAACAAATTTTGACTTATTGCATGGCCCAGCACCCAGATGATGTTACTCTTTAGTGTGGGTTCTGCATAAAGAAAAATTGATGGCATATTGCATATTGCTGGGCCCAGCACCCTTACAATGTGTCTCTCCTGCCTATACTGGAGCCACCGAAGGTTTTTGTTTGTTTGTTTGTTTGTTTGTTTTGACATATCTTGGGCCCACTATGTAGGTGTTTTGGCTCTCATAACTTGGCTGGATTTTTTCCACAAGTGGGACGGTATCATATTGCTGGGTTGAGTACCCAGCTAATGTGACCCAATTTATCATACCCTGCCTAGAGAAGGCATTGTGACACAGCATCACAAGGCACTGTGACACAGTATCTAAGTGATGTTACCCTCCTGCCTAGTTTTATGCCCACAAATAGGATTATGACATATACCTTGCTTCAATTCACAGGCATGATGATCAAACTTATATTTGGATTCAGCCAATAGGAGATATTTTGCCTCTCATTGCTAAGCTTAGGGCAATAGATAAACTCTGGGGTTGCATATATATTCAAAGCTGACAGAAGCTTACAACACTAACTTATATTGTATAACCTCTTTGTTGGTAGGGAGTTTCACAACAGGACCCCACAAAAAGATTAGATTGGGACTTTCAGTTATGCACCCAGGTGAAATTACAAGTTTTCACCATCCCACATTTACAAAGCCCACTTTTGAAGTCCTGAGTGTAACAAGGAAATACAGCAGAGGTGGAATTGTGACTTTTATATGTTGATCTGGCCACATGTGGAAAGATGACTCATTTCTGGACCCAGCCCACAGACATAATAATGGGTCTTCTCCCTTAACCCTGACTATAGGAGAGATGTTGACTATCAAACTTAGGCTTAGGACAATATGTAAGATTGTAAGTCCATATGAGCACCTAGGCCTCAGAGAGGTTTACAATCTTCATGGAGGTTTTTTTCTTTTTTTTCTTTTTTTTTTCTTTTTTTTTTTTTTTCTTGAGATGAACTCTCACTCTGTCACCCAGGCTGGAGTGCAGTGATGTGATCTCAGCTTACTGTGACATCTTTCCTATGAGTTCAAGCGATTCTTTTGCCTCAGCTTCCAAAGTAGCTGGGATTAAAGGTGCCTGCCACCACATCTGGCCAATTTTTTGTATTTTTAGTAGATACGGGGTTTCACCATCTTGGTCAGATGGGTCTTGAACTCCTGACCTCGTGATCTACCCACCTCAGCCTCCCAAAGTGCTGGGATTACAGGCATGAGCCACCATACCTTGCCTCTTCCTGCAGGTTTTATAAAGCCCTGAGATGTTGTACAGAGTTTCATATATTGACCCAGCTCACATGTTTCTAATATACACCCTCACCTAAAAGTTAAAAGTGTCAACCTCAAAAATCATGAGATTGTGTCATGTCACTGGGCCTAATATCGAGGTGTTGTGAGATTGTGGCTTAATTTTTTTTTCCATGGGCGCATTCTTACATATCACTTGGTCAGAATAATAATAATGTTACTCTTTTGCAGGAGCCTTGTCAACAGGGGATATTATCACATATCGCTGGGCCTATCAGCTAGGTGATATGCCTCTCCAGCCCGTGCTCAACCCCCTGAGGACATTTAGAAATATCGCTGAAACTAGCATCTAGGAAGTGTAATTCTCTTCCCCTGCCTGAGTATTGCTTGTCAAAGGAATTGTGACATATGATTGATTACAAAACCTAGGTGGTATTTCTCTCTTCTCCATTCAAGGGTTTATTTCCGTGCTGCATTCTGTTTCATTACTTTAGTGTTCTACTTTTATACCAGTACCAAAATTCTTTGGTTACTGTAGGTTTTTGTGCGTGTTTGAAAATTGTTAAATGTAAGGCTTCGAATATTTTTCTTCTTTTTCAAGATTGTCAGGCTTTTTATAGTCCTTTGAGATCTTACAGGTTTTTTTTTTCTATTTTTGAAAAATATAATTAAAATTAAAAAGAGGTGTGTTGAGTATTGGGTCACTAAGCAGCATGGACATCTTCACAATATTATGTCTTCCAACCCTTGAAATAAAGCCTACTCAAAGTTGTGTTGTTGGCTGAGGATGGTGGCTTGTGCCTGTAATCCCAGTACTTTGGGAGTCCGAAGAGGTTGCATGGAGAAGTCAGCAGAGTGAGAAAATTCTTGGCAAAATGGCAAAACCCAATCTCTACTAAAATACAAAAAACTTAGCTGGGCCTGGTGGTACATGTCTGTAGTTGCAGCTACTTGAGAGGCTGAAGCAGAAGAATCCTTTGTCCCCAGAAACTGGAGGTTGCAGTGAACCAAGATTGTGCCACTGCACTCCAGCCTAGTGACAGAGTGATACTCCATCAAAAAAGAAATTTAAAAAAGAAAAAAAAAACTGTGTATTTTAATATTTTTATTTTTTGAATTGTTCAGCTTTTCTTCTTTTACTAATTTCTAGTTTCATTCCATTTGGGCTGTAAATAATTGTAAAATTTCAATTAAAAAATCGTAAAGGCTTCTTTTCTGGTGTTACAGGTTGTCTGTGTAGAAAAATGTTTTATAAGCTATTGAAAAGAATGTGTATTCTGTTGTCTGTATACATTTATTAAGTGTAATGATTGTATAGTGCATTCAATTATTTTGTTTCCTTATTGATATTCTGTCTTGTTTATTTTTTACTGAAAGTGAGATATTGATGTATGCATCCATTATTATATTGCTGTCTATTTTTGCATCAATTCTGTCAATGTTTGCTTCATGTGTTTGGGAAAAGTTTCATATATTTGCAGGTTGTCTGTTAATGAAACCTTTTACTATAATTGAATGTACTACTTTGTTTCTTGTGAAATTTGACTAAAAGTAACTTTTGTTAAATATTACAGTTGTCAACTTAATATATTTTTGCCTCTTCTCCTCTCATTTGGTGAACATTTGCATGGAATGTATTTTTCATCCTGGCATTTTCAGTTTATGTTTTTATTGGCTCTGAAGTGAGTCTCTTGAAGCCATGACAGAGATCTTGATATAGATCTTGATGTAGTTAGATTTTTTTTTATTTTGAAGGATACAGTATTCTTGCTTAGACTCTTTTTCCTATGTTTTGACTATGTCATTCTCCTCTCTTCTTGCCTGAAATATTTATGTTCATAAATTTTCTGGTAATCTTGCAGAACCATGCATACAAATAACACATCTCTTTGCTTCGTGCATTTCAGATTCTCTTCAAGTCTTTGACTTACAAAAACTGGTTATGTTTTGTCTTGTTAGAAATCTCTTTTTGTTAAACTTAGTTAAAATTTTCTAAGATTCTTGATTTTCTTATTTTTTTACTAATGTCGAAGTGCATATTACTTTTTGGACTTATATGCCAAAATTTTTATTTCTTTCTGTGCTTTCCATTTTTTGTTGGCTTCATTTTTGTTCTTTTATTTTGTTTTCTTTATTTCCACTTTACTCACTGAGCATCTTTGAGATGATAATTTTGATTGTTAAGGTAATTTATTTTTTCTTTTCAAAAATAGATCTAGAATTTAAATCAAATTTTCTCGGGTAATTTTTCCATCTTCATTTCATAATAATTGATTCCTGAATGTTTATTTTTAGTTTTGGTTTAATCATATTATCTGACGATTTGTATGTCTTGTAATCTTAGGTTACAATTTGTATAACAAAAAGCTATATGTCAAAATCTTTACTAAGTGTCCTTTGTCTTAAAAACATGTTGCCAATTTTTTAGACTAGAGATTCTTGGAGTCTCTCAGTCTGTTCTATGAATGTTTTCTCTGTGCTTGAGTGTTTTTTAGTTAAAAAAGTTTCCCTACGTTTTTTCTTTTAAAATTTTTTATATTTATTTATTTATTTATTTTATAATACAACAGTATTTTTCTCTTTTTTTAATTACACTTTAAGTTTTAGGGTACATGTGTACAACATGCAGGTTAGTTATATATGTATATGTGTGCCATGTTGGTGTGCTGCATCCATTATCTCGTCATTTAACATTAGGTATATCTATCTCCTAATGCTATCCCTCCCCCCTCGCCCCACGCCACAACAGGCCATGGTGTGTGATGTTCCTCTTCCTGCGTCCATGTGTTCTCATTGTTCAATTCCCACCTATGAGTGAGAACTTGCGGTGTTTGGTTCAGTTCCCATCTATGAGTGAGAACTTGAGATAGTTTGCTGAGAATGATGGTTTCCAGTTTCATCCATGTCCCTGCAAAGGACATGAACTCATCCTGTTTTATGGCTGCGTAGTATTCCATGGGATATATGTGCCACACTTTCTTAATCCAGTCTATCATTGTTGGACATTTGGGTTGGTTCCCAGTCTTTGCTATTGTGCATAGTGCCTCAATAAGCATATGTGTGCATGTGTCTTTATAGCAGCATGATTTATAGTCCTTTGGGTATATACGCAGTAATGGGATGGCTGGGTCAAATGGTATTTCTAGTTCTAGTTCCCTGAGGAATCACCACACTGACTTCCACAATGGTTGAACTATATTATGTCCCACCAACAGTGTAAAAGTGTTCCTATTCTCCACAACCTCTCCAGCATCTGTTGTTTCCTGACTTTTTAATGATCGCCATTCTAACTGGTGTGAGGTGGTATCTCATTGTGGTTTTGATTTGCATTTCTCTGATGGCCAGTGATGATGAGCATTTTTTCATGGTTTTTTGGCTGCGTAAATGTCTTCTTTTGAGAAGTGTCTGTTCATATTCTTCGCCCACATTTTGATGGGGTTGTTTGTTTTTTTCTTGTAAATTTGTTTGAGCTCATTGTAGATTCTGGATATTAGTCCTTTTTCAGATGAGTAGATTGCAAAAATTTTCTCCCATTCTGTAGGTTGCCTGTTCTCTCTGATGGTAGTTTCTTTTGCTGTGCAGAAGCTCTTCAGTTTAATTAGATCCCATTTGTCAATTTTGTCTTTTGTTGCCATTGCTTTTGGTGTTTTAGACATGAAGTCCTTGCCCTTGCCTAGGTCCTGAATGGTATTGCCTAGGTTTTCTTCTAGGGATTTTATGGTTTTTGGTCTAACATTTAAGTCTTTAATCCATCTTAACTTAATTTTTGTATAAGGTGTAAGGAAGGAATCCAGTTTCAGCTTTCTACATATGGCTAGCCAGTTTTCCCAGCACCATTTATTGAATGCGGAATCCTTTCCCCATTTCTTGTCTTTGTCAGGTTTGTCAAAGATCAGATAGTTGTGGATGTGTGGTATTATTTCTGAGGGCTCTGATCTGTTCCAATGGCCTAGATCTCTGTTTTGGTACCAGTACCATGCTGCTTTGGTTACTGTAGCCTTGTAGTATAGTTTGAAGACAGGTAGCATGATGTCTCCAGCTTTGTTCTTTTGGCTTAGGATTGACTGGGCAATGCAGTCTCTTTTATGGTTCCATATGAACTTTAAAGTAGTTTTTTCCAATTCTGTGCAGGAAGTCATTGGTAGCTTCATGGGGATGGCATTGAATCTACAAATTACCTTGGGCAGTATGGCCATTGTCACGATATTGATTCTTCCTATCCATGAGCATGGAATGTTCTTCCATTTGTTTGTGTCCTCTTTTATTTCACTGAGCAGTGGTTTGTAGTTCTACTTGAAGACGTCCTTCACATCCCTTGTAAGTTGGATTCCTAGGTATTTTATTCTCTTTGAAGCAATTGTGAATGACAGTTCACTCATGATTTGGCTCTCTGTTTGTCTCTTATTGGTGTATAAGAATGCTTGTGATTTTTGCACATTTCTTTTGTGTCCTGAGACTTTGCTGAAGTTGCTGATCAGCTTAAGGAGATTTTGGGCTGAGATAATGGGGTTTTCTAGATATACAATCATGTCATCTGCACACAGGGACAATTTGACTTCCTCTTTTCCTAATTGAAAATCCTTTATTTCCTTCTCCTGCCTAATTGCCCTGGCCAGAACTTCCAACACCATGTTGAATAGGAGTGGTGAGAGAGGGCATCCCTTTCTTGTGCCAGTTTTCAAAGGGAATGCTTCCAGTTTTTGCCCATTGAGTATAAGATTGGCTGTGGGTTTTTCATAATTAGCTCTTATTATTTTTAGATACGTCCTGTCAATACCTAATTTATTGAGAGTTTTTAGCATGAAGTGCTGTTGAATTTTGTCAAAGACCTTTTCTGCATCTATTGAGATAATCATGTGGTTTTTGCCTTTGTTTCTTTTCTGTTTATATGCCGGATTACGTGTATTGATTTTCATATGTTGAAACAGCCTTGCATCCCAGGGATGAAGCCCACTTGATCATTGTGGATAAGCTTTTTGATGTGCTGTTGGATATGGTTTGCCAGTATTTTATTGAGGATTTTTGCATAGATATTCATCAGGGATATTGTTCTAAAATTCTCTTTTTTGGTTGTGTCTCTGCCAGGCTTTGGTGTTAGGGTGATGTTGGCCTCATAAAATGAGTTAGGGAGGATTTCCTCTTTTTCTATTGATTGGACTAGTTTCAGAAGGAATGGTACCAGCTCCTCCTTGCACCTCTGGTAGAATTCGGCTGTGAATCCATCTGGTCCTGGACTTTTTTTTGTTGGTAAGCTGTTAATTATTGCCTCAAATTCAGAGCCTATTATTGGTCTATTCAGAGATTCAACTTCTTCCCGGTTTAGTCTTGGGAGGGTGTATGTGTCAAGGAATTTATCAATTTCTTCTAGATTTTCTAGTTTATTTGCCTAGAGGTGTTTGTAGTATTCTCTGAAGGTAGTTTGTATTTCTGTGGGATCAGTTGTGATATCCCCTTTATCATTTTTTATTGCATCTATTTGATTCTTCTCTCTTTTCTTCTTTATTAGTCTTGCTAGTGGTCTATCAGTTTTGTTGATCTTTTCAGAAAACCAGCTCCTGGAATCATTGGTTTTTTGAAAGGCTTTTTATGTCTCTATCTCCTTCAATTCTGCTCTGACCTTAGTTATTTCTTGCCTTCTGCTAGCTTTTGAATGTGTTTGCTCTTGCTTCTCTAGTTCTTTTAATTGTGATGTTAGGGTGTCAATTTTAGATCTTTCCTGCTTTCTCTTGTGGGCATATAGTGCTATAAATATCCATCTACACACTGCTTTAAATGTGTCCCAGAGATTCTGGTATGTTGTGTGTTTGTTCTCATTAGTCTCAAGGTACAACTTTATTTCTGACTTCATTTCGTTAGGTACCCAGTAGTCATTCAGGAGCAGGTTGTTCAGTTTCCATGTAATTGAGAGGTTTTGAGTGAGTTTCTTAATCCTGAGTTCTAGTTTGATTGCACTGTGGTCTGAGAGACATTTTGTTATAATTTCTGTTTTTTTACATTTGCTGAGGTGTGCTTTACTTCCAACTATATGGTTGATTTTGGAATGGTTGGGGTGTGGTTCTGAGAAGAACGTATATTCTGTTGATTTGGGGTGGAGAGTTCTGTAGACATCTATTAGGTCCGCCTGGTGCAGAGCTGAATTCAATTCCTACAATAATAACAGGAGACTTTAACACCCCACTGTCAACATTAGGCAGATCAATGAGACAGAAAGTTAACAAGGATACCTTCAATTTCTTTAATGATTTTATGGAATTGCTATTTTACATTCTCCTGTCTTTATCTCTACATGTTCAATTAGAAAATCCTCAGTGAATACTTTTCAGTATGATAGAGAAAATATTGTGCAATTAATTACTGATAGATACACAGTGAAGTAATTTCTGGTTTTCATTTGGTGCTCTCACACTGAGGATAGAAAAGTCTTGGTTGTAATCTTACATGATGAGGAGTTCTACTATGCTGTTTTCTTTTGCTCTGTGATCTACTGTCACAGTTGTTTGAACTTGCCACTGAAAAAAGTGGGAAATTGTTTCCCTCATGTCTACTCATCTCCCTTTCATAGGTTTTCTGGTGGTGCATTGTCTAGATGGCTTAGTAGCTCATGATCACAGAGGTCATATTTGACAAGAGAAAGCTTTGTTGCTCCAGGACTAAGTGAAGGTGTTTACCACCTAGTGCCTAAGGTTTCTCCAGAGCCACGATGGAGCTTAAAAACCATTACTGAAACCAGAAAGTGATGGCAGACATTGAGGGCTGCCCAGAGTAGAAAGCAAAATGCTCCCTTTTGCTTTACAAGTGGTCACTGCTTATTTGGTCATTAATGTTGCTTCTGACCATGACGTGTTTCTTGTTCATCTTTCTTGGTATTCCACTGAAGGTGCATCTAAGGAAACGAGCCCTGTGTGATAGTGGTAAAGAGAACAACTGCATCCTTCTGTAGCTGATGCCTTGTTGAGCTTTGAAGCACATTGAGAAGAATCTGAAATCCTTCCTCATTATGGGGTAAGTTGTGTCAAATTTGACTCCCATGTAAATGGCAGCAGGTTCACGATGTCAAAGAAGAAACTCAGAATCAGTAAATAGGATATGGAGTTTTACTGGCGACTTACATAGAGGGGAGAAAGTCCAGTGTCAGTGGGCTTAGCAGGATAACCACGTCCACTTGGAAAAAGCATGCAGTGTGCATAGCATATTTATTAAGCACATTTTTTCTGAACAATCTTTTATCTGTTGTCCTTCATTTAACAAAAAATAAGGGCCTCAGTCCCCTGTGTGGCCTACTCCATACCACAGCATGGGAGAGAGCAAAGGCTCAGACTTTCCTCATAGATAAAGAGTAATCTCCAGGTTGGCCACTACTAGATTTTTTTTTTTTTTTTTTTTGAAATGAAGTTTCACTCTTGTTGCCCAGGCTGGAGGGTGTTTGCACAATCTCAGCTCACCGAAACCTCCGCCTCACAGGTTCAAGTGATTCCTCTGCCTCAGCCTTCTGAGTAGCTAGGATGACAAGCATTTGCCATGATACCTGGCTAATTTTGTATTTTTAGTAGAGACCAGGATTCTTCATGTTGATAAGGTGGTTCTTGAACTCCTGACCTCAGATGATCCATCTGATTTGGCCTCCCAAACTGCTGGGAGTACAGGCCTGACCCACTGCAGCTGGCCAGGCCACTAGTAGATTTTTAGCTTGAAACTCTGAACACTCAGAAACATTTTTTATATAAGATCAGTCTTCAGGTATGTGCAAGACAAGTTACCACTGTCAGTTGCATCCATCATACAGGCTGGTCCAGGCAGTGGAGGTTCTTCTTCCTGAGAATCTAGATTCAAACTTTTTTTTTCCTTTTTCTTGAATCCTTGGATTAACAGGAGTTTATCTAAAAAGCCTGATGTGTGTGCACATTGCTGGTATGGTTTTCTAAGTAAATGAGATGGCTTCTTACTTGGTAGGGTTTGTTCCTGTTACAGGTGTGTTCAGGCTGCTGAGGTGCCCATTCTCAAGATTTTCACTGGACATTCTGGGGTCCCAGTTCAAGTATTTTCCAATGTGAGTCAAGGTGAACCAGAGCCTGAAATTTTGGTTCAGTGTGGCCAGGCTGAGGCTGCCCTTTTAAAGGGAGAAATGTCAGGTTTGTGTCTTATTTTCCTTGTCATTTTAACATATCTTTTGGAATGGAGACCAGAAAAGAATCTGGATATTTGACAGCCCTCCTCCTAGATCTGGTACTATCTATACATGACTCTTAAGTGTCAACGTAGTTTGAGAGATCTCTCTTCCTGGAATAGCCTGAGTAGCCTAAAGAACAATGATCCTTGATGCTTGGCTCATGTGGTCTTCAGAGGAATTTCAAAAACCATAGAATTTGGAGGGTAGAGAAAGAGCTGTTACAAGTGATATGTTGCAGATGAAATAACTGGAGGCACGAAGTAAATGGGACCTGCTTGGAATGGTACACACACTGCCTGAGTGCAGTTGAACAGTCAAGCCAGTTCTCTGATTTGGGCCTACACTCACAATGAAGAGGAATATTTTTCCTCAAGGGAAGCCCAGGGGTTCTGAGGATTATGGGTGCCAGTGAAGAAAAAATGTGATGCCTCAGCCTAGTGCTTTTGCTGCTCCTGGCTTGTGACTTTGGGGATTCAATTTTCTCATTAGAGACATGGGCAATGGAAGTCACTCAGTGACTGGCTGCTCACCCAAGTTTTACCAGGCCACTACCCAGTGCGCACCCTGGAGTTCCAGGTACAGCTTGTGGTTCAAAAGGCTGGGGGATCTCTTGGGTGAGTTGAGGGCTTTGAGGGGGTTCTCCCACTCAGGGACCACTCATACCTACCCTTGTGTGCCCATCTGACAGCTCAGCATGTCTGCTGTATGCCACCCTTACTTTCTGCTCTGGCCAAGCCCATGTCTCCCCGGATTGGCTAGGGGCACTTGCTCACTAAGTCCCAGGTGACCTGTCCGTCCTTCCTCCAATGCACATCTTCAGGCAGGTGTCACCCAAATTTCCTCCTAGAGTGTGATCTCTGTGGGTTAGAGCAGCACATTCTGCTACAGCTTATTGACGAGTTACTAAATCACTGAATTTTCCAAGAAGAATGTGATCCTTGACACTCTTGATCTCCTTCTAGGGGGGCTGCACTTGTGGTTGCCATCCTGATTTCTTTGTGGAAATACCTAGTGGGTGAGGAAGGACTCAAGGACCGGGAACATGACAGAGCACCTAGGCTGACCTACCACGTGGCCCTCTGAGATCACTGCTGGCAGGAGTGTTTCATGGAGCTCCAGGCCCCTATTCTAAGATGCTTGCCCATAGCCCCTTCCGTGACTTCCAGGAAAGGTCTACTCTTTTAGCAAGCTGCACCCACTGGTCTCTAGGAGACAAGTATTCATTTACCTTTGTGTAAGTCACCTTCTGCTTCATTTCTATTAAATGTTCTCCTGGAAAAAAATGCCTAAGGAATGCTGGGTCTGTGCTGGAGCTTCTCTAAGTGCCAAAATCAGTAAGACGGTCTCAAAGATATAATTAATAGCACTTTCTACACAATATCTCAGGTTACTTTTGACCAATAATGTGTAAAACTAATACTATCCTTTCATTCTTCATATTACTTTATTTAGGTCATCATACAAACATTTCATTTTCTTGAAATTTTTTATGCCAATTATTGTATTTTCTCTACTTTGTTCTAATTGCTACCATTTTAGATGCAAAATTTTAGTAATATAATATGCTGCATAAAGGCTAATAGGTGATCACAACTTATTTAAACTGTAATTAGATTTCTTAAGTAAATAATTTCAGAAAACTGAGTTTATATTATTTGTATGAATTATTTTACATCTTATCCTCTATCTTAAGAAAATTTTAGCTGCATATGCAATTCAAAATTGGCAGATTTTTTAAATAGGCAACTTTAAAACATTTCATTGAATATGTTTGGTAATACAATTCTAAAATATTTTATTTTAGAAACCAACACACTTGACAGTTGATATTCATATTATCTATGAAAGTAACATTATGAACATGCTTTTATAGTTTCCCAAAAGAAGAAAAAAGTCTATTCTGGTCTTCAGTAGTAAAACTTAAAGATTATGGAAATGAGATTAAATTTATTCACTAAAATACTTACAAAAACTGAGATTCATTAACTTGTTCTTTATTATTTACTATATGATAATGAACAGATTATAAGATGTTCAGAATTTGCTTCATTATAGAAATAAAGCCAAACATCTCTTTGAAAGAATCATTACAATTAAACAGAAGAAACCTATCATTTATATTATTTTAAAAATCACTGGAGGAGCCAAGATGGCCGAATAGGAACAGCTCCGGTCTACAGCTCCCAGGGTGAGTGAAGCAGAAGATGGTGATTTCTGCATTTCCATCTGAGGTACCCAGTTCATCTCACTAGGGAGTGCCAGACAGTGGGCGCAGGTCAGTGGGTGCGCGCACCATGTGCAAGCCGAAGCAGGGCCAGGCATTGCCTCACTTGGGAAGTACAAGGGGTCAGGGAGTTCTCTTTCTGAGTCAAAGAAAGGGGTGATGGACGCACCTGAAAACTCGGGTTACTCCCACCAGAATACTGCTCTTTTCTGACCGGCTTAAGAAACGGCACACCACGAGATTATATCCCACACCTGGCTCAGAGGGTCCTATGCCCACGGAGTCTTGCTGATTGCTAGCACAGCAGTCTGAGATCAAACTGCAAGGTGGCAGCGAGGCTGGAGGAGGGGCGCCCGACATTGCCCAGGCTTGCTTAGGTAAACAAAGCAGCAGGGAAGCTCGAACTGGGTGGAGCCCACCACAGCTCAAGGAGGCCTGCCTGCCTCTGTAGGCTCCACCTCTAGGGGCAGGGCACAGACAAACAAAAAGACAGCAGTAACCTCTGCAGACTTAAATGTCCCTGTCTGACAGCTTTGAAGAGAGCAGTGGTTCTCCCAGCAAGCAGCTGGAGATCTGAGAAGGGGCAGACTGCCTCCTCAAGTGGGTCCCTGACCCCTGACCCCTGAGCAGCCTAACTGGGAGGCACCCCCCAGCAGGGGCACACTGACACCTCACACGGCAGGGTATTCCAACAGAACTGCAGCTGAGGGTCCTGTCTGTTAGAAGGAAAACTAACAAACAGAAAGGACATCCACACCAAAAACCCATCTGTACATCACCATCATCAAAGACCAAAAGTAGATAAAACCACAAAGATGGGGAAAAAACAGAACAGAAAAACTGGAAACTCTAAAAAGCAGAGCGCCTCTCCTCCTCCAAAGGAACGCAGTTCCTCACCAGCAACGGAACAAAGCTGGATGGAGAATGACTTTGACGAGCTGAGAGAAGAAGGCTTCAGACGATCAAATTAATCTGAGCTACAGGAGGACATTCAAACCAAAGGCAAAGAAGTTGAAAACTTGAAAAAAAATTAGGAGAATGTATAACTAGAATAACCAATACAGAGAAGTGCTTAAAGGAGCTGATGGAGCTGAAAACCAAGGCTCAAGAACTACATGAAGAATGCAGAAGCCTCAGGAGCCGGTGCGATCAACTGAAAGAAAGGGTATCAGCGATGGAAGATGAAATGACTGAAATGAAGTGAGAAGGGAAGTTTAGAGAAAAAAGAATAAAAAGAAATGAACAAAGCCTCCAAGAAATATGCGACTATATGAAAAGACCAAATCTATGTCTGATTGGTGTACCTGAAAGTGACAGGGAGAATGGAACCAAGCTGGAAAACACTCTGCAGGATATTATCCAGGAGAACTTCCCCAATCTAGCAAGGCAGGCCAATGTTCAGATTCAGGAAATACAGAGAACACCACAAAGATACTCCTCAAGAAGAGCAAGACACATAATTGTCAGATTCACCAAAGTTGAAACAAAGGAAAAAATGTTAAGGGCAGCCAGAGAGAAAGGTCGGGTTACCCTCAAAGGGAAGCCCATCAGACCAAGAGTGGATCTCTCGGCAGAAACCCTACAAGCCAGAAGATAGTGAGGGCCAATATTCAACATTCTTAAAGAAAAGAATTTACAAACCAGAATTTCATATCCAGCCAAACTAAGCTTCATAAGCGAAGGAGAAATAAAATACTTTACAGACAAGCAAATGCTGAAAGATTTTGTCACCACTAGACCTGCCCTAAAAGAGCTCCTGAAGGAAGCGCTAAACATTCAAAGGAACAACAAGAACCAGCCACTGGAAAATCATGTCAAAATGTAAAGACCATCAAGACTAGGAAGAAACTGTATCGACTAACGAGCAAAATAACCAGCTAACATCATAATGACAGGATCAAATTCACACATAACAATATTAACTTTAAAAGTAAATGGACTAAATGTTCCAATTAAAAGACACAGACTGGCAAATTGGATAAAGAGTCAACACCCATCAGTGTGCAGTATTCAGGAAACCCATCTCACGTGCAGAGACACACATAGGCTCAAAATAAAAGGATGGAGGAAGATCTACCAAGCAAATGGAAAACAAAAAAAGGCAGGGGTTGCAATCCTAGTCTCTGATAAAACAGACGTTAAACCAACAAAGACCAAAAGAGACAAAGAAGGCCACTACATAATGGTAAAGGGATCAATTCAACAAGAAGAGCTAACTATCTTAAATATATATGCACCCAATACAGGAGCACCAAGATTCATAAAGCAAGTCCTGAGTGACCTACAAAGAGACTTAGACTCCCACACAATAATAATGGGAGACTTTAACACCCCACTGTCAACATTAGACAGATCAAAGAGACAGAAGGTTAACAAGGATACCCAGGAATTGAACTCAGCTCTGCACCAAGCGGACCTAATAGACATCTGCAGAACTCTCCACCCCAAATCAACAGAATATACATTTTTTTTCAGCACCAAACCACACTTATTCCAAAATTGACCACATACTTGGAAGTAAAGCTCTCCTCAGCAAATGTAAAAGAACAGAAATTATAACAAACTATGTCTCAGACCACAGTGCAATCAAACTAGAACTCAGGATTAAGAATCGCACTCAAAACCACTCAACTACATGGAAACTGAACAACCTGCTCCTGAAGGACTACTGGGTACATAACGAAATGAAGGCAGAAATAAAGATGTTCTTTGAAACCAACGAGAACAAAGACACAACATACCAGAATCTCTGGGACGCATTCAAAGCAGTGTGTAGAGGGAAATTTATAGCACTAAATGCCCACAAGAGAAAGCAGGAAAGATCCAAAATTGACACCGTAACATCACAATTAAAAGAACTAGAAAAGCAAGAGCAAACACAGTCAAAAGCTAGCAGAAGGCAATAAATAACTAAAATCAGAGCAGAACTGAAGGAAATAGAGACACAAAAAACCCTTCAAAAAATTAATGAATCCAGGAGCTGGTTTTTTGAAAGGATCAACAAAATGATAGACCGCTAGCAAGACTAATAAAGAAAAAAAGAGAGAAGAATCAAATAGATGCAATAAAAAATGATAAAGGGGATATCACCACCGATCCCACAGAAATACAAACTACCATCAGAGAATACTAAAAAC
Organism: Homo sapiens; assembly: GCF_000001405.40. Lineage (NCBI taxonomy): Eukaryota > Metazoa > Chordata > Mammalia > Primates > Hominidae > Homo > Homo sapiens. The sequence goes on from NC_000024.10 coordinate 22,858,170, forward strand.
ACCTCTATGCAAATAAACTAGAAAATCTAGAAGAAATGGATAAATTCCTGGACACATACACTCTCCCAAGACTAAACCAGGAAGAAGTTGAATCTCTGAATAGACCAATAACAGGATCTGAAATTGTGGCAATAATCAATAGCTTACCAACCAAAAAGAGTCCAGGACCAGATGGAATCACAGCCAAATTCTACCAGAGGTACAAGGAGGAACTGGTACCATTCCTTCTGAAACTATTCCAATTAATAGAAAAAGAGGGAATCCTCCCTAACTCTTTTCCCGAGGCCAGCGTCATTCCGATACCAAAGCCAGGCAGAGACACAACAAAAAAAGAGAATTTTAGACCAATACCCTAGATGAACACTGATGCAAAAATCCTCAATAAAATAATGGCAAAACGAATCCAGCAACACATCAAAAAGCTTATTCACCATGATCAACTGGGCTTCATTCCTGAGATGCAAGGCTGGTTGAATATATGCAAATCAATAAATGTAATCCAGCATATAAACAGAGCCAAAGACAAAAACCACACGATTCTCTCAATAGATGCAGTAAAAGCCCTTGACAAAATTCAACAACCCTTCTGCTAAAAACTCTCAATAAATTAGGTATTGATGGGACGTATTTCAAAATAATAAGAGCTATCTATGACAAACCCACAGCCAATATCATACTGAATGGGCAAAAACTGGAAGCATTCTCTTTGAAAACTGGCACAAGACAGGGATGCCCTCTCTCACCACTCCTATTCAACATAGTGTTGGAAGTTCTGGCCAGGGCAATTAGGCAGGAGAAGGAAATAAAATGTATTCAATTAGGAGAAGAGGAAGTCAAATTGTCCCTGTTTGCAGACGACATGATTGTATATCTAGAAAACCCCATCGTCTCAGCTCAAAATCTCCTTAAGCTGATAAGCAACTTTAGCAAAGTCTCAGGATACAAAATCGATGTACAAAATACACAAGCATTCTTATACACCAACAACAAACAAACGGAGAGCCAAATCATGAGTGAACTCTCATTCACAATTGCTTCAAAGAGAATAAAAAACCTAGGAATCCAACTTACAAGGGATGTGAATGACCTCTTCAAGGAGAACTACAAACCACTGCTCAAGGAAATAAAAGAGGATACAAACAAATGGAAGAACATTCCATGCTCATGGATAGGAAGAATTAATATCGTGTAAATGGCCATACTGCCCAAGGTCAGTTACAGATTCAATGCCATCCCCATCAAGCTACCAATGCCTTTCTTCACAGAATTGGAAAAAAAAACTTTAAAGTTCATATGGATCCAAAAAAGAGCCCACATTGCCAAGTCAATCCTAAACCAAAAGAACAAAGCTGGAGGCGTCACACTACCTGACTTCAAACTATACTACAAGTCTACAGTAACCAAAACAGCATGGTACTGTTACCAAAACAGAGATATAGATCAATGGAACAGAACAGAGCCCTCAGAAATAACGCCGCATATCTACAACTATCTGATCTTTGACAAACCTGAGAAAAACAAGCAATGGGGAAAGGATTCCCTATTTAATAAATGGTGCTGGGAAAACTGGTAGCCATATGTAGAAAGCTGAAACTGGATCCCTTCCTTACACCTTATACAAAAATCAATTCAAGATGGATTAAAGACTTAAACGTTAGGCCTAAAACCATAAAAACCCTAGAAGAAAACCTAGGCTTTACCCTTCAGGACATAGGCATAGGCAAGGACTTCATGTCTAAAACACCAAAAGCAATGGCAACAAAAGACAAAATTGACAAACGGGATCTAATTTAACTAAAGAGCTTCTGCACAGCAAAAGAAACTACTGTCAGAGTGAACAGGCAACCTACAAAATGGGAGAAAATTTTCACAACCTACTCATCTGACAAAGGGCTAATATCCAGAATCTACAATGAGCTAAAACAAATTTACAAGAAAAGAACAAACAACCCCATCAAAAAGTGGGTGAAGGACATGAACAGACACTTCTCAAAAGAAAACATTTATGCAGCCAAAAAACACATGAAAAAATGCTCATCATCACTGGCCATCAGAGAAATGCAAATTAAAACCACAATGAGATATCATCTCACACCAGTTAGAATGGCAATCATTAAAAAGTCAGGAAACAACAGGTGCTGGAGAGGATGTGGAGAAACAGGAACACTTTTACACTGTTGGCGGGACTGTAAACTAGTTCAACCATTGTAGAAGTCAGTGTGGCGATTCCTCAGGGATCTAGAACTGGAAATAGCATTTGACCCAGCCATCCCATTACTGGGTATATACCCAAAGGACTATAAATCATTCTGCTATAAAGACACATGCACACGTATGTTTATTGCAGCATTATTCACAATAGCAAAGACTTGGAACCAACCCAAATGTCCAACAATGATAGACTGGATTAAGAAAATGTGGCACATATACACCATGGAATACTATGCAGCCATTAAAAATGATGAGTTCATGTCCTTTGTAGGGACATGGGTGAAATTGGAAATCATCGTTCTCAGTAAACTATCTCAAGAACAAAAAACCAAACACCGCATATTCTCACTCATAGGTGGGAATTGAACAATGAGATCACATGGACACAGGAAGGGGAATATCACAGTCTGGGGACTGTGGTGGGGTGGGGGGAGGGGGGAGGGATAGCATTGGGAGATATACCTAATGCTAGATGACGAGTTAGTGGGTGCAGTGCACCAGCATGGCATATGTATACATATGTAACTAACCTGCACAATGTGCACATGGACCCTAAAACTTAAAGTATAATAAAAAAAAATCACCAATTTATATTAAAAAAAAAAAAACTTACTGGATTTTACTTCTGGCAGAAGCAGGTTTTCTTAGTACCTGGTGCAATGAAACCAGCCTTCATATGTCACATAATTGCCCAAAATTTACCCTGAACAGAAGGCTGATTCTGCCAGTTTCTAAGAAGAGCTATGATTCTAAGAGGCCAGGACAGCAGGGCAGAAATAAAATATCCTTTGTTTATAACAAATGTTTGGTATTATTATTCCATATCACACAGTTTTTCTATCCTCAGAGAAATTAAGTTGAGGATAGGATGTGTCAAGATCTAGAATCAAGGCTTGGCGTGGTGGCTGACACGTGTAATCCCAGCAGTTTGGGAGGCTGAGATGGGCAAATCAGAAGGTCAGGAGATCAACCATTTTGTCTAACAATGGTGAAACCCCGTCTCTACTAAAAACACAAAAAAATTAGCCAGGCATGGCAGTGGGCACATGTAGTCCCATCTACTTAGGAGGCTGATGCAGAAGAATCAATTTAACCCAGGAGGTGGAGGTTGTAGTGCACTGAGATCACACCACTGTACTCCAGTGTGGGTGGCAGAGCAAGACTCCATTAAAAAAAAAAATCCAGAATCAAATGTAAAAAAAATGGCCTAGTAATTTTGTCTAAGACACAATATAGAGTTGGGAGATTAAAATCATATTTTGCTAATCTAAAGGGAAAGGGTTTCGGGAATTTTAGGTTTTGATACCTGTGGTGCACAGTATTGACATGTATTAGCCATTCCAGGTTTGATTAAATAGACATGCCCTCTACCTCACTCAGTAGATGTTTAAAGGTAGAAATGCAATTTAAAAATTTTACAAGATTTTAACTTAGTTTTTATAGTATGTCCAACTCTATAATTTGTTTCAATTGTGAGAGTCAACTGTGCAGCAGTGGTACAATTTTGTTCACTTCATATGCAGAATTCATGTCATACTATAGACATTTTTATTTTCATCTGAGTCTACTGGCTAATTTCAAGAAGAATATTTATTTCTAATTATGTAGCTTCTATTATATAGCTAGTATTATCTTGTTTACTTCATGTATATGCCAAAAGGACCTCATGACTTAATAAATGTTCAACTATTAATTTGAATAAATTGGCCTAATAAGTTTAATAAACTCAATTATATCAAGTTCATAATGTAAAATGAACAATAAATAAAAATTGGATTAAATAGCATTCTCAAATTGAAATAAAATAAAAAATGTACTAAATAAATAGCATACAATAATACACACACCATGAAATTACATGTAAAAATTATTTTGTGAAGATCATTAAATTTTATCAAAGTCACATTCATCATCTCTGAGAAAATTATACAAGGAATGCTTTATGAAATTAGACTAAAATAAATGTATATATTATGTCTATAGTGAGCAACAAGCAAACAGACAAAAAAAGGAGAATGTGCACAAGATGTTTCTAAGACAAGAGCAATAACATTTTTGGTAAACGGGATTAATACAAGGCAGAGAAAATAGATTTGCTTTCAAAATCTTTGAAGTTTCCGGTTTGCTGGTAAGTTATCAAGACATGTAAAATTATGTGTTTTATTCTAATATTTTTCTTTGCTTCTCAAAGTAGGTACACAATCACAAACAAATATGAGTATTCTCTATAGAGCTGTTACATACAAAGTTTATTTTACAGTGATTTGTCTGTATATTTACATCCATTTAAATAAAAAATAAAGGTATGAATATGTTTAGCAGACCAGAGAAGTCATCAGTTAAAAAAAAGAAGTAGGATAAAATTTTGCAAATAGTTGTTCAGAATTCAGAATTAAAGCATATAGGTCTATTATATTCCAAATCTTCATAACAACCATCACAATAATCTGTAGTTACAAGAAAAACAAAAATATAAATTGTAGGAACCATATTCTTCAAATTATTTTAAGTTAAAGACCACTGACAAAGGAATCATGAGAGATATTATTTCAGTGTAATTCTATAGAATATAGTTACCATCTGTTACCTACAACCATGGGTAAAATGGGATAAGTAACATCAGTGGCAAGATAAAAATTCAATGTAAAGTAGCATTATTACATTCACAAATATTTTCTTCAATTAAAAAAATTAAGTTTACACATTGCCATTAAAAAGGCATTTTGAAATTCACTGTATTTTAATTATCTTAATCTGCAAATGGTAAAGCAATTTCCTTCTAAAATCCAAATTGTTTCTCTTACTATGCAGAATATTATTCTGGTTACTTTTCACACTCCTATCATCCTGTCACTTATGATACTGCACTTATGATACCCAACCACTAAGTAGACTTTCCACTTAGAATTTCTTCATGTATCTTAGATTTCAGTTTTCTTAATCTTCCATATGAAAGTATATAAATCTGTCAATCTAATATAGAAGAACCTCTCTTAAATCTAGTGCAGGGACCATTGACCATGCTCTTTCACATAAATTCTAGAAATGAACACACAGCTTCAAATATAAGACTTAAATTCCATCAATAGTTGCTTTTGAAAAAATATTAAATTTTTATTTGTTTGTTATGAGAGAAAGTTTCACCCTGTTGCCATGCTGGACTGCAGTGTGTGATCTTGGCTCACTGCAACCTCCACTTCCTGCATTCAAGCAATCCTCCTGCCTTAGACTCCTGAGTACCTGGAACTACAGGTGTGCACCACCATGCTCAAAAGTTTTTTTTGTTTTGTTTTGTTTTTGTTTGTTTTTTGTAGATATGGGGTTTCACCATGTTGGCCAGAATGGTTTTGATTTCTTGACCTCATGATCTATCCACCTTGACCTCCCCAAATCCTGGGATTACACACATGAGCCTCTGTGCCCAGCTTAAATTATTTTCATATAAAAAAGTAGGTTTCTTTTAGAGGAAAGAGACCAACATTGCAGATTAGGAGCAGCTAGACCCTGTAGTTCTCACAGAGAAAAATGCAAGGCGTGCATAAATACAGCACCTTCAAATGAAATATCCAGGTATTTGCCTTCAGAATAATCAAATAAACAACTTGTGGAGAGTAGAGCAAGGCCGAACAATGGGCCACCCAGAAAAGACATAGAGCCAAGAGAACCTCCCCATCCAGTAAAGCAGTAAGTGCATGTGTGACCCTGGGAACCTACAATTCTCCCACACATCTTTTTAATCCTCAGATGGGGAGACTCCCTGAGGAACCTACTTTACCAAGGCCTTTAGTCTAACACATAGAGCTACTTGGAGTCTCAGCATAGCAACTGCACTGGCGTGTTGCAGAGCCACAGATACTCTGGCTTTCCAGGATTCCCAGAAAAAGTAGCTGCAACGCCAGCAAAGCAGGAGGTTATACCCATATACATACCTATAGGAAATAGGCAGAATCCAGGGACCTGAGCAGTGACAGTCTGTAGGACCCACTTCCACAGTGCCTCATAGAGTAAGATCTACTGGCTTAGAATTCCAGCCAATCATTGGCAGCAGCGCTGTATCTCTCTGAATTGGAGCTACCAGAAACAGGAGTGGACCTCCATCTTTGCTGTTTCAACAACATAGCCATCCCAGCCTTCAGGCTTTGAAAAGCCTAAGCTGACTGGGGCAGCAAGGATCTATAGCACCGTACAGGTGCTCTAAAATGACACCACCAGTCTGCCTGGTAAAGCACGTCCCCAAACTCTTCCTCCTCACTGAAAAGAACTTCCCAAACAGGGTGTCCAGCTACCACCACCAGTGTTATTTGATTTATGGAATTTTGAAACCTCTTCGGGGTATAGTTCCTAGAGTGAAGAGTGAGCTGCCACTTTTGCTGTTTTTGTGACTTAGCTGTTCCAGCTTTCTGGCTTTGGAGAATCCAAATAAACAAGGGATGAAAGTGATACCTCTGCACAGCAGAGCTCTCCTACAAAAATGTGGCTAGACTGCTATCTTAAGTGGGTCCCGAATTATGTTTTCCTCACTGGGTAAGACATTTGAAGAGGGGTTCCAGCTATCTCCTTCAGGTGCTTTTGGGCTGGAAACAGGTCTATACCTGCCTGGGATGGAGCTTCCAGAGAATGGGGCATACTGCCTTTGTTGCTGTTTTTCAGCATTCAGTGGGACAGCTTCAGATTCTGTAAAACCTGAGGTGACCAGAAACTGCAGTGGACACAAAACATACTGCAGCAGCCCTTTAGAAAAGTGGCCATACTGTTACATGAGCACCTGTTCTCACACATTCTCACTGTGCAGACTCTCCAGGTCTCGGCCATTAGCCAATCATTGGCAGGGATATTGAGCCTGCAGCAACCTAGCAACTTCCTGGACACAGCCTCTAGGAGTAACTGAAAATATTTCTGCCACTATCTCTGTGTTAGAACTGTCCTTGCTATGCTTCTCAGACTAATGAAAAATTCAAAACCCAGGTACCTTATTTACACCTCAAACAAGCTGCATTTTACCCAAAGAGTGAGGGCCAGTCCACCCTCCATGGGTTCCACAAGCTACCTATTGCTCCTCACAAGACAGTAAACACCAAACTTGGCCAAAAGCAGAGATCCTCCATCCTGGGCTGTCTGTAGTAAGGGATTGCTGACCTACATCTCTCTGAGATGCAGCCCCTAGAAGCCAAGCAAAGAAGGGGCAGCAAGCCACCTCATGTGGTGTCAAGAGTGTTGGTGCAAGAGCATCTGTAGTAATATGTTGCCAGTGATGGCCACTTCTCTAGGTTCAACTTTCTCCCATAAGAGGCTTTAGCCCTAGAAAAATTGTTGGACCTAATTTTTGCAGGATGGTCTTGCAAATCAGAAGAAATTGTTCCAATTGAATACCCCTTGGTCTCCTGGCCTCTTATAGGGACCTATTCTGGCCACAGGTTCTTACAGGGCAGTCTCAGTTACCCTGGGATCCCATACCATAGCATCGGTACTGGTGGGCCATGCCTGATCCCTGAAGAGCTTCAGCAATACAGCCCCTATGACTCCACCAGTCCACATGTTTCTTCCCCATACTGCAGCTTCCCACGAGACCAAAGTAAGCTTATATCCAACCAAAGGGAGCTTCAGAAGTGAAAAAAATTAATATGATCCTATTCACATAAGCAAACGCTGAAGAAATCTGTTACCCAAGACCTGTCTTACAAGGGCTTCTGAAGAAAACACTAAATAAAAAAAAACCCTGTAATTAGTCACTTCAAAAACACACCAAAGTAAATAAACTGCTGACACTCTAAAGCGACCACAAAACAAATGTGCAAAATAGCCAGCTAAAATCGTGGTGGCAGAATCAAATCAACACATATGAATACTAACCATAACTGTAAATGGGCTAAATGCCCCAATTAAAAAACAGTGTGGCAAGTTGAGTAAAGAATCAAGATCTAATGGTATTCTGTAATCTAGACACTCATCTCAATTAAGCTAAATATAAAGAAAAAAGAGAAATCTACCAAATAGATGGAAAACAGAAAAAAGGAGGTGATGCAATCCTAGTTTCTAGCAAAGCAAACTTAAAATCCACGTAGTTTTTTTTTAAGAGAAAGAAGGCATTCCATAATAGTAAAATGCAATAGACAAACCCAACCCAAAAGCACTGAGTATAAAGCGAGTTCTTAGTGATGCTGCAAGATGTTAAGTTAAATCTTCTTCAACAGTCATTACCTTTATGTGGCATTTGTTCAGTATTAAGTCTCTGATGTTGGACATAAAATGAGGATGCTTTAAAAGCTTTTCCACATTTTTAACACTTGTGAAGCTTCTCTCTACTATGAGTTCTATTATTTCTAATGAAGTGTGAGAATGAACTTAATGTTTCACCACATTCTTCACATTTGTAGGCTTTTCCTGCAGTGTGAATTCTCTTATGATTAGCAAAGTCTGAAAAGCACTTAAAGGTTTTGCCACATGCTTCAGATTTGTAAGGGCTGTCTTCTATATGAATTATCTTGTGGTTAATAAGGATTGAAAAGCAGGTAAAGGCTTTGACTTTTTTTTTTCTACAGGTGTAGGGTTTCCCTCCAGTATAAATTCTCTTATGTTTACTAACGGCTGAGAACCACTTAAAAGCTTCTCCACATTAGTTATATATGTAGGGTTTCTCTTCAGTATGAGTTATCTTATGTTTATTAAGGTCTGAGAACCCCCCATAGGCTCTGTGACATTCTTCACATTTGTATGATGGTTTCTCTCCAGTATAAATTATTTTATTTTTAGCAAGTTCTGAGAATTCTCTTAGAATTAGTAAGGTCTGAGAAACATTTAAAGGCTTTTACACATTCTTTGCAATTGTAGGATCTATTTCCAAAATGATTTATCTTGTGTTTAATAAGGGTTGAGGAGCAGGTTAAAATTTTGTCACATTCTTCACATTTGTAGGTTTTTCCTCCAGTATGAACTCTCTTATGTTCAGTAAGGTTTGAGAACTTTTTAAAGGCTTTGCCGCATTCTTCATATCTGTAGCATCTCTCTGCAGTAAGTATTCCATTTTTTATAGTAAAATCTGAGAACTACCTACAGTTTCTGCCATATTCTTTGCATTTGTAGTATTTCTCTCTGCTAAAGGTTTTCTTCTGTTCACTGAAGATTGGGTACACCTGGAAAGCTTTCCAAATTTATAACATTGACAAGTTTTTCTCTGGGTAGTTGATAAACATTGAAGAAAGAAATTATAACTGCTTTTCTTTCTGTCCCTTGTAGTAATTCACACTTTGCTAGTCTTTTTTAAATGTAAATGGTTAAGGTCACAGGTTCCATATTTTCTCAGAATCACTTTTTGAAATGAATGTTTTATAATATGTTCCCACCATATGTCTGCAGTAATATGAAAAGAGCCAGCTGAAAAACAAAAACAAAAGGAACAACAAAATTTCTCCCACATTAGGCTCATGTGAATACATTTTACAAATATTAGTTACACAAAGCACATTAACAAGGTGACAATAAAATACCACAGGCTGTAATTCCTTTATAGACATGTAAACTTAACACAATTATAATGAACAAAATTCCTGTGTGAGAAGACTAAGAATCAGTTAAGAATTTATAGCACTTCAAGGGAGCAAAATGTCAAGAACTACATAGAAGTGTAATAAAAGTGTTTTATATTTACCCACCGCAGCCATTCTTCATCCTATGATGACTTCAAATATAGACTCCCAACTCATGTCTTCCCCCTTCAAAAATAAATAAAATAGTGGCACCTGTGTTCAGGCTTCTTGTTTTGTGAGACCTTACTAAAGACTAATTTCTATATTATATGACAGTGTTTAAAGGAAAAGTGGTATTCTTTGACAGTTTGGGGCTGGTGAGACCAAAGGTAAATGACTGTTACAAAAAAAGACTTCAGTGTCATAGACAGAAAATGGGTATAGCAATTGACTGTAGTCAGAATCTCAATAGGAAACATAGGGAATGTCCATGAGTGGTGGCCCACACCTGTAATCCCAGCACTTTGGGAGTCTGAGGCAGGCTGTTCACCTGTGGTCAAAAGTTCAACACCAGCCGGGTCAACATGGTGAAACCCCATCTCTACTAAAAATACAACAATTACACAGGCATGGTGGCGGGCACCTCTAATCTCAGCTACTCTGGTGACTGAGCCAGGAGAATCACTGGAAAGTAGGAGTTGATTCTTGCAGTGAGCCAAGACCATGCCATCACATTGCAGCATGGACAACAAGAGTAAAATGTTCACTCAAAATAAAATAAAATAAAATAAATATAAAATAAAATAAAATATAATAAATAATTGGAAATATTTTTTAATGAAAAAACACAAGCCCAGATAAAACTTGTATAGAACAGAAGTGAGAGACGTCAAGAATCTCTAGCCCAAAAGTTGGTTCATATTTCCCAAGAAAAAATCACTTAATAAGCATTTTCACATGTGGTGATTTATTATACAAATTGCAACATAAGACTACAACATATACAAAACATTAAGATAATATGTCTCACTCAAAGATAAAAATAAATATTCAGAAATCAATGATACAAAACAGAGATGTAAAACTTACCTAAGAAAATTTCAATTAAAGTCTGCATTTATTTTTGAAAGAAAAAATAAATTGACCTGAGAAATTAACTTACCATCTGAATGATGCTTAATGAGTTAAATGGAAATAAATAAAACAAAATGAAATAACAAAAATGAAATTAAGAAAACGATAAAAAGCACAAAAAAGTGTAGAAGTACAAAAAAGTCTCATACGCACTTCAATATTATTTAAAAATATGAGAAAATCAAGAAGCTCAGTAAATTTCAACTAACACAAATAAATTTCTAACAAGACCCCAAATAAGCAATGTTTTGAAAGTCACACACAAAAAGAGAATCTGGAATGCAGGAAGAAAAAAGAGTTATGTTATTTATATGCATGCTTCTGTAAGATTACCAGTAAGTTTATGAACATAAACCTTTCAGGAAAAAAGGAGTAGGATAACATACTTAAAACACCGAAAAAAAAATTATGTTAGAAAATCCTATTCCTCAGAGCCAAAAAATAGAACTAATACTCAGACAAGGAATCTTCTCAGCAAGGCAATTTTACTTTCTGCAGAAAGGGTGCTGCTCATCAGCAATCCTACCCTGAGAGCACAATGAAAAAGAAAGGCAGGAATATTTACCCGTATGCATTGAGTCCTTACTTCTGTGTCCTATCTCCATTAGTTGGAACTAGGCATCACAGTCTAAGCTAAACCTGATTGGCTAACAACCTGAAACTTCCCTAAATAGGTAAAGGCAATGGAGAACAAAGAAAAAGGGAAAGTTTTTGCAAAAATACTTAGAGAAGTAATAAGATTTCCAAATAAGAAAGGGGACATAAGCTGCAACCTGGGACATGCCTGAGCATGTACAGAAGAAATGTTCTGGTGAAAGTACAAGGCCATAGAATGTACTTATTCCCTTATGTATAACAGCTACATAGAGTAGGGCTTAACAAAGAGTTATTAGCACAAAACAAGAAGGCTTTGAAGAAATTTTATCTTTAAAAGAAAATCTTATTTCTAACATTTAGTATTTTTCTTTAAAAGAAGGGAAACTTGATGAGAAACATTTTACAAAGTCTAAGTGAGAATACAATATCCAGCAAAAGTATCCTTCAACAGGAAAAAGAATAAAACTAACTATATTATGACCTGTATCAAGATGTATCGATGTCATGTCTTCAAGAGACTCACTTCAGACCTAATTTAAAAAAATAGACTGAAAATGGCAGGATAAAAAATACATGCCATGCAAGTGTTAACCAAATCATAAGAGAAAAGGCAACAATTTATTAAGTTGAAAACTGTCATATTTTATGAAGTTTGCTTTAAGTCAAAATTCACAAGAGACAAAGTAGGACATTCAATTATATTAAGAGAGTTCATTCACTGAAATTCCGTGAATATGTGAGAGTTTTCCCAAACACATAAAACAAACATTGACAGAATTGAAGCAAAAATAGATAGCAATACAATAATGGAAGGATACATTTGTATCCCACTTTCAGTAATAAATAAAGACAGAATATCAACAAGGGAACAAAAAGTTTGAATACACTATACAATATATTTACCTAACAAATGTATACCGGTAAAAGAATACACTTTTTTTTTTTTTTTTGCAATAGCTCATAAAACATTTTCCTAGGTGGATTACCTGTGATGCCATGAAAGAAGTCTTAATAGTTTTTTTAATTGAAATTTAGCAGACAATTTTTTATAGCACAAATGAAATGAAACTAGAAATCAGTAATGGGAGAAAAGCTGAAAAAATATATGAAAATTAACTGTTAACATAGTTTTACTTTTTTTCTTTCCTTTTTTTTTAGATACAGCCTCACTCTGTCACTAGGAGGAAATACAGTGGCACAATCTCGGCTCACTGTAACCTTAACTTCCACGTACAAGCAATTCCCCTGACTCAGCTTCTCCAGTAGCTGGCATTACAGGCATGCCCAACCACACTTAGCTAATTTTGTGCATTTTAGTAGAGATGGGATTTCATCATGTTGGCCAAAATGGTCTTGATCTCCTGATCTGGCTATGTACCCTCCTCAGCCTTCCAAAGTGCTGGGATTACAGGTATGAGTCACCATGCCTGGCCAGTAACACACTTTTGAGCATGCTGTTTATCAAGGGTTGGAAGACATAGTATTGTAAAGTTGTCCATGCTGCTTGAAGTGATCCACACATTTGACAAACCAATTTTATTTCTCTTTTATTATTATTATTATTTCTTGAGATGGAGTATCGCTGTGTCACCCAGGCTGGAATGCAGTGGCACAATCTTGGCTCACTGCAAGCTCTACCTCCCAGGTTCATGCCATTCTCCTGCCTCAGCATCCCGAGTAGCTGGGACTACAGGCGCCCACCACAATGCCAGGCTAATTTTTTTGTATTTTTGAAGAGATGGGGTTTCACCGTGTTAGCTAGGTTGGTCTCAATCACCTGGCCTCGTGATCCACCTGCCTCAGCCTCCCAAAGTGCTGGGATTACAGGCTTGAACCACCGTGCCCAGCCACCAATTTTCAATTTTAAATTAAACTTTCCCAAAAATAGAAATTACAAAACCCACAAATTACATGAAAATCCTGGCAATCTTTAAAAACAAGAAAAATATTAGAAGCATTTTTCCAAGTTTTTAACTTCTTTCCCATTGGTTTGAATTTCCTCCTGTAGCTCAGAGTAGTTTGATCATCTGAAGTCTTCTCTCAACTCGTCAAAGTCATTCTTGGTCCAGTTTGTTCCATTGCTGGAAACTTTGAAAAAAATTAGATGAATGGATAATTAGAATAAACAATGCAGAGAAGTCCTTAAAGGAGCTGATGGAGCTGAAAGCCAAGGCTCGAGAACAACGTGAAGAATGCAGAAGCCTCAGGAGCCAACGCAATCAACTGGAAGAAAGGGTATCAGTGATGGAAAATGAAATGAATGAAATGAAGTGAGAAGGGAAGTTTAGAGAAAAAAGAATAAAAAGAAATGAACAAAGCCTCCAAGAAATATGGGACTTTGTGAAAAGACAAAATCTACGTCTGATTGGTGTACCTGAAAGTGACAGAGAGAATGGAACCAAGTTGGAAAACACTCTGCAGGATATTATTCAGGAGAACTTCCCCAATCTAGTAAGGCAGGCCAACATTCAGATTCAGAAAATACAGAGAACTTCACAAAGATACTCCTCGAGAAGAGCAACTCCAAGACACTTAATTGTCAGATTCACCAAAGTTGAAATGAAGGGAAAATTGTTAAGGGCAGCCAGAGAAAGTTCGGGTTACCCACAAAGGGAAGCTCATCAGACTAACTAACAGCAGACCTCTTGGCAGAAACTCTGCAAGTCAGAAGACATTGGGGGCCAATATTCAATGTTCTTAAAGAAAAGAATTTTCAACTCAGAATTTCATATCCATAAGTGAAGGAGAAATAAAATACTTTACAGACAAGCAAATGCTGAGAGATTTTGTCACCACCAGGCCTGCCGTAAAAGAGCTCCCGAAGGAAGCACTAAACATGGAGAGGAACAACCAGTACCAGCCACTCCAAAAACACGCCAAAATGTAAAGACCATCAAGCCTAGAAAGAAACTGCATCAACTAACGAGCAAAATAACCAGCTAACATCATGATGACAGGACCAAATTCACAAATAACAATATTAACTTTAAATGTAAACGGGCTAAATGCTCCAATTAACAGACACAGACTGGCAAATTGGATAAAGAGTCAAGACCCATCAGTGTGCTGTATTCAGGAAACCCATCTCAAGTGCAGAGACACACATAGGCTCAAAATAAAGGGATGGAGGAAGATCTACCAAGCAAATAGAACACCAAAAAAAGGCAAGGGTTGCAATCCTAGTCTCTGATAAAACAGACGTTAAACCAACAAAGATCAAAAGACACAAAGAATGGCATTACATAATGGTAAAGGGATCAATTCAACAAGAAGAGCTAACTATCCTAAATATATATGCACCCAATACAGGAGCACCAAGATTCATAAAGCAAGTCCTGAGTGACCTACAAAGAGACTTAGACTCCCACACAATAATAATGGGACACTTTAACACCGCACTGTCAACATTAGACAGATCAACAAGACAGAAAGTTAAAAAGGATACCCAGGAATTGAACTCAGCTCTGCACCAAGCGGACCTAATAGACATCTACAGAACTCTCCACCCCAAATCAACAGGATATACATTTTTTTCAGCACCACACCACACCTATTCCAAAATTGACCACATAGTTGGAAGTAAAGCACTCCTCAGCAAGTGTAAAAGAAAAGAAATTACAACAAACTGTCTCTCAGACCACAGTGCGGTCACACTAGAACTCAGGATTGAGAAACTCACTCAAAACCTCTCAACTACATGGAAACTGGACAACCTGGTCCTGAATGACTACTCAGTACATAACAAAATGAAGGCAGATATAAAGATGTTCTTTGAAACCAATGGGAATAAAGACACAACACACCATAATCTCTGGGACACATTCAAAGCAGTGTGTAGAGGGAAATTTATAGCACTAAATGCCCACAGGAGAAAGCTGGAAAGATCTGAAATTGACACCCTAACATCACAATTAAAAGAACTAGAAAAGCAAGAGCAAACACATTCAAAAGCTAGCAGAAGGCAAGAAATAACTAAAATCTGAGCGGAACTGAAGGAAATAGAGACACAAAAAAACCCTTCAAAAAATTAATGAATCCAGGAGCTGGTTTTTTGAAATGATCAACAAAATTGATAGACTGCTAGCAAGACTAATAAAGAAGAAAAGAGAGACGAATCAAATAGACGCAATAAAAAAATGATAAAGGGGTTATCAACACCGATCCCACAGAAATACAAACTACCATCAGAGAAGACTACAAACACCTCTATGCAAATAAACTAGAAAACCTAGAAGAAATGGATAAATTCCTTGACACATACACTCTCCCAAGACTAAACCAGGAAGAAATTGAATCTCTGAATAGACCAATAACAGGATCTGAAATTGTGGCAATAATCAGTAGCTTACTGACCAAAAAAATTCCAGGACCAGATGGATTCACAGCTGAATTCTACCAGAGGTACAAGGATAAGCTAGTACCATTCCATCTGAAACTATTCCAATCAATAGAAAAAGAGGGAATCCTCCCTAACTCATTTTATGAGGCCAGCATCATCCTGATACCAAAGCCTGGTAGAGATACAACAAAAAAGAGAATTTTAGACCAATACCCTAGATGAACACTGATGCAAAAATCCTCAATAAAATAATGGCAAAACGAATCCAGCAGTACATCAAAAAGCTTATCCACCATGATCAAGTGGGCTTCATCCCTGGGATGCAAGCCTGGTTGAACATATGTAAATGAATGAATGTAATCCAGCATATAAACAGAACCAAAGACAAAAACCACCTGATTATCTCAATAGATGAAGAAAAGGCCTTTGACAAAATTCAACAACCCTTCATGCTAAAAATTCTCAATACATTAGGTATTGATGGGATGTATCTCAAAATAATAATAGCTATCTATGACAAACCCACAGCCAATATCATACTGAATGGGCAAAAACTGGAAGCATTCCCTTTGAAAACTGGCACAAGAAAGGGATGCCCTCTATCACCACTCCTATTCAACATAGTGTTGGAAGTTCTGGCCAGGGCAATTAGGCAGGAGAAGGAAATAAAGGGTATTCAATTAGGACAAAACGAAGTCAAATTGTCCCTGTTTGCAGATGACATGATTGTATATTTAGAAAACCCATTGTCTGAGCCCAAAATCTCCTTAAGCTGATAAGCAACTTCAGCAAAGTCTCAGGACACAAAATCAGTGTACAAAAATCACAAGCATTCTTATACACCAATAACAGACAAACAGACAGCCAAATCATGAGTGAACTCCCATTCACAATTGCTTCAAAGAGAATAAAATACCTAGGAATCCAACTTACAAGGGATGTGAAGGACCTCTTCAAGTAGAACCACAAACCACTGTTCAATGAATGAAAAGAGGACACAAACAAATAGAAAAACCTTCCATGCTCATGGGTAGGAAGAATCAATATCATGAAAATGGTCATACTGCCAAAGGTAATTTATAGATTCAATGCTATCCCCATCAAGCCACCAATGACTTTCTTCACAGAATTGGAAAAAAACGACTTTAAAGTTCATACAGAACCAAAAAAGAGCCTGCATCGCCAAGTCAATCCTAAGCCAAAAGAACAAAGCCAGAGGCATCGTGCTACCTGACTTCAAACTATACTACAAAAAAGCATGGTACCGGTACCAAAACAGAGACATAGATCAATGGAACAGAACAGAGCCCTCAGAAATAATGCATCATATCTACAACCATCTGATCTTTGACAAATCTGACAAAAACAAGCAATGAGTAAAGGGTTCCCTATTTAATAAATGGTGCTGGGAAAACTGGCTAGCCATATGTAGACAGCTGAAACTGGATCACTTCTTTACACTTTATACAAAAATTAATTCAAGATGGATTAAAGACTTAAACGTTAGACCTAGAACCATAAAAATCCTACAAGAAAACCTAGGCAATACCATCAGAACATAGGCATGGGCAAGGACATCATGTCTAAAACACCAAAAGCAATGACAATAAAAGCCAAAATTGACAAATGGGATCTCATTAAACTAAAGAGCTTCTGCACAGCAAAAGAAACTACCGTCAGAGTGAACAGGCAACCTACAAAATGGAAGCAAATGTTCACAACCTACTCATCTGACAAAGGGCTAATATCCAGAATCTATAATGAACTCAAACAAAATTTACAAGAAAAAAACAAACAACCTGAATCAAAAAGTGGGCAAAGGATATGAACAGACACTTCTCAAAAGAAGACATTTACGCAGCCAAAAAACACATGAAAAAATGCTCATCATCACTGGCCATCAGAGAAATGCAAATCAAAACCACAATGAGACACCATCTCACACCAATTAGAATGGCGATCATTAAAAAGTCAGGAAACAACAGGTGCTGGAGAGGATGTGGAGAAATAGGCACACTTTTACACTGTTGGCGGGACTGTAAACTAGTTCAACCATTGTGGAAGTCAGTGTGGTGATTCCTCAGGGATCTAGAACTGGAAATACCATTTGACCCAGCCATCCCATTACTGGGTATATACCCAAAGGATTATGAATCATGCTGCTATAAAGATTCATGCACACGTATGTTTATTCAGGCACTATTCACAATAGCACAGACTTGGAACCAACCCAAATGTCCAACAATGATAGACTGGATTAAGAAAATGTGGCGCATATACACCATGGAATACTATGCAGCCATAAAAAATGATGAGTTCATGTCCGTTGTGGGGACATGGATGAAACTGGAAACCATCAGTCTCAGCAAACTATCACAAGGACAAAAAAACAAACACCACATGTTCTCACTCATAGGTGGGAATTGAACAATGAGAACACATGGACGCAGGAAGGGGAACATCACACTCTTGAGACTGTTGTGGGTTGGGGGGAGGCGGGAGGGGGGAGGGAAAAAAGAAAAAAAAGAGAAAAAAATAAATAATAAAAAAAAGAAAAATTTTGGAAGCATTACACTTAACAATTTCCAAATACAAAATAAACCTAAAGTAATCAAAGCACTTTGGTACCAGTATAAAAGTAGAAAAAGAAATTAATGAAGCTGAATGCAGCACAGAAATAAACTTTTGAATAGAGAGGAGAGACATACCACCTAGATTTTTCATTCAACTATATGTCATAATTCCTTTGGTAAGCAGGACCCACGCAGGAGAGGAGAGTTACACCATTTAGATGCTAATTTCTGTGATATTTCAAATTTTTTCTGGATGCAGAGAACAATCTGGAGAGACACATAACCTAGCTGATAGGCCAAGAGATATGTGATATTATACCCTCTTGATAGAGCTCAAGCAGAAAAATCACATTATTTTGATTCTAACCCAGTGATAAGTAGCAATGCACCCATGGAAAGAAATTTGAGCCAAAAAGTCTCAACACCTGGGTACTAGACCCAGGGATACGACACAATCTCATCATCTTTGAGGGTGACAACTTTAACTTTTAGCTAAACTTGTATATTAGAGTGACAATCTCACATGTTTGCTGGGACAATGCATGACCCTCTGCAACATCCAAGTGATTTATAAAACCTGCATAAGAGTTGCAAAGCTGTGTGAGGCCTATGTGGTGGTATGGGCTCACAATCTTACATATTAACCTAAACCCAGGTTTGATAGTCAAGATCTCTCCTTTAGGCAGGGTTAAGGAAGAAGACCCATTATTATTCCTGTGGGCTGGGTCTAGAAATGAGTGACCATCCCACTTGTGGCCAGGACCACATATAAATGTCACAATTCCAACTTTGTGCTGCATTCCCTTATTAGACTCATGATCTCGACAGTGGCATTGTAAATGTGGGATGGTGATAACTTTTAATTTCACCTGGGTATGTAACATAGAGTCCCAATCTGAAGGTTTGGCTGGGCCCTGTTATGAAATTTTATATCAACAAAGAGTTTATATACTACAGGTTAGTGTTGGAAGCTTCTGTGAGGTTGTTACATATTTGCAACCGAGGACATTGTCTATTGCCCCAAGCCTAACAGTGAAAGGCAAAATATCTTCTATTGGCTGAATCCCAATATAAGTTTGAACATCATGTCTGTGAACTGAAGCAGGGTATATGTTATAATCCCATATGTGGACAAAAAGCTAGGCAGGAGGGTAACATCACTTAGATGTTGTGCCAAGCAATATTTCACAATGTCTTCTCTAGGCAGGGCATAGGGAATTTGGTCATATTAACTGCATGCTGGACCCAGCAATATGACAACATCCCACATGTGGAAAAAACCCAGCCAAGTTATGAGAACCAAAACACCTGCATGAAGAGACCAAGATATGTCAAAATACGTTAGGTGGCTGCAGCACAGGAGGAAAGTCACATAACAATGGTCCTGGGCCGAGCAATATGCAATATTCCATAAGTTCCTCTATATGCAGAAGCAAGGCAGAAGAGTAACATCATCTGGGTGCCGGGCCCTGCTGTAGGCCAAAATTCCTGTTTTGCAGGAATGGCTTGGGAAAATGAGGAGAGTCACATAACCTGAGTGCTGGGCTCAGTAATGTGCCAAAATCCTCCTATTGTGAAGGTCCAGGCTGAAAAAGAGAGTCACATCATTTAGGTCATGGGCTCAGAGATACGTCCCAATGTCCCCAGTAGTCAGGGCTTAGGCAAACAAGGAGAGTCATATCACCTATGTGCTTCCCTAGAAATATGTCACAGGGTAAAATATGGGCAGAACTTATGCAGAAGAGCCACAACCCCAGAGTGCTGGGTTCTGAGATATTTCACAAGGTTCTCTTAGGGCAGCACCCAGCAAAGATTGTTAGGTGCGGGTTCTCTGTTTATGCCACAATGCTCCGTGTGGCCTCCATGTACACAGGGCCCAAGGAGGGAGTCACTTCACCTAGATGATAGGCCCAGAGATATGTCACAATGACCTCTATGAAGCATAGCCCTGGCAAAAGTGTACCATCACCTGTGTGTATGGCCTAAAATATATCATTGTCAAGGTTGGCAGGGCCCAAGCAGAAAAGCCACATAACCCAAAGATAGACCCAGAGACATGTCACAATATCCTTTTGTGGACATGTCTCAGACAAAAGAGTACCCTTCCCTGTGTCCGTGGCCTTGCAATGTGTCACTATCTTTCCTTTGTTCAGGGCTCATTTTAGAGAAGAGAGTTACATAACTTATGAGATGGACACAGAAATATGTTACAATATGTTATTATTCAAGTGGGCGGATCCCGGGAGAGGAGCCATATCATCTCCATAATAGGCCTTTATGGTATGTCAAAATTCCCTCTTTTGGGCATGGCCCTGGAAAAAAACTCATCACTTCTGTGCCTGGCCTAGGAATAAGTCACTATTCTGCCCTGTGTGCAGGGTCCATAAAAAAGAGGAGAGTATTGTCTTCTAAGTGATAGGCACAGAGATATGTCACAAGAATATGACATCACCTGGGTGGGGATTCAGTGATGTCACAATCTTACTGAGAGCAGGGCCTCAGTACAATAGTGTGTACAATAGTCACATTACTTCAAGTTTGACTCAGGTAGATATTAAAATTCCATATGTAGGCTGGAAACTGTCTGAAGAGTGAAATCACACAGGTGCTTGGCAAGATTATATGCCAGAATAACGATGGAATTAAATTCTAGGGATGAGATGTAAAATAACACACGTGTCCTGTTTACCTGTAGGAGAGCTGCTTTCATCCATCTGTTATGATGATAGTCCTTACTGTCAACTGAGGGTGCATACAAGATTCACAATTTTCTCTGTGGGCTAGGACCTGTTATGACACTCTTTATACAAACCAAAGGTGGGATATCATGTGTGGGTGTTGTCATGATCTGTGACCTTTTTACCAGAAGGTAAACCTGAACAACACTCATGTCCCAAAAATAGTTATTAGAGTCAAAATTTCTCCTATTGTTTCCATTCACATATGAGAGTCATTATCATGCCTGTTAGCTGTGCCTAGGTATAGGTCACAATCCTCTCTCTGGTTATTAAACTGGCAGGACAAACACCTCACCTAAATCCTGAGCCAGAAATATTTCAATATTTTCTTTAAAGGTAAGACCCTAACAGAAACTTCACAAAACTTGGGTGCTAGGCAAAGTTCTATGGCAAAATGGCCCTTGAGGAAAAAGTCCAGGCAGGAGAGGAGAGTCATATAACAAATGATTGACCCAATGATATGTCACAATGCCTCCTGTTGAAAGGCCCAGGCCAGAGAGTCATGTCATTTGGATGCCATGTTTAGAAATTCTACAGTCTTCACTGGATGCAGGGTTCAGGCAGGAGAGGAGAGTCACATAACCTGGATGATGGGTACAGATATATGTTACAATCCCCTCTGAGGTCACTTTTAGACAGGGGAATCAAATCACCAAGGTTCTTGGCATAGGTTTACGTCAAAATGTAATCTGTGGGCTATAAGTAGGCATGGTTATTAAATCACATAGGAGCTGGACAATGGCATATGTCACAAAAACAACTGTGGAAAGGTTAAGAAATGAAAGTCACCACCTTGCATGTGTCCTGGCTCCAGGTACAATTGTCATTATTAGGGTTTCGGTCTGGTCTCAGGTATATGGAACAGTATCACCTCTGGCAGGGAGAAGAAAGGAAAGTCACATCATTTGTGTGGGTGCTGGTCCAGTGAAATGTCACAATCCTACCTGTGGGCAGGACTGTGGGAGAAGAGTCTCTTCACCTGGATGCTGGTTTCAGTGATATATGCAAATCCCCCTTGTGGGCAAGGCTTAGGAAGAACAGTAGACAAACTTCACCTTGGTAATTGGCATGAATATGTGTCACAGTGGCCACTATGTGAAGAACCAAGGCAGAAGTGTCACCTAATCTTGGTGCTGCATTCAGCAATATGTCACAATCTCTTTGGTGTTCAGGGCCCAGGCAAGAGAGAAGAAACATTACCCAGGTGCTGAGCCATGGGATATGTTAAAAAGCCCCCACAAAAAAGAGTCACATCACCTGGGTGCAGTGCCCAGTTATGTTTCACAATGCATTGCGAGTTCAGGGCCAAGGTAGTAGAAGGAAGTTACATCACTTATGCAATGCACCTAGGCAGGCAGATCACGAGGTCAGGAAATCGAGGCCATCCTGGCTAACACAGTGAAACCCCATCTCCATTAAAATACAAAACAAAACAAAAAAATAGCCAGGTGTGGTTGTGGGCACCTGTAGTCCCAGCTACTTGGGAGGCTGAGGCAGGAGAATGACGTGAACCTGGGAGGCAGAGCTTTCAGTGAGCTGAGATCGCTCCACCGTGCTCCAGCCTGGGCAGCAGAGTGAGACTCCATCTCAAAAAAAAATAAGCAAAACATAAAAGAAAACAAAAAAGCCACAGTACTCTTCTTAGGCAGGGGTCAGGATAAGATCTCACATCAGCTGTGTGATGGTCGCAGTGACATGTAAAAGTGCCTTTGTCACATGGCCAAAGAAAGTGTCATCCATTGCATAAGTGTGTGCTGCATGTGTGTCACAATTTCAACCGTGCCCTGGATGTAGAAAGTCAGAACACTCAGATATTGACAAAAGTCCACCCTTCTTATCAGTTGGGTCTAAGTACAAGAGTCATAATCTCAACAATGAGCAAGATCCATGTATAAGAGCCCCAGTCCCACTTGAAGATGGTGTTCCAGTAGGAGACTCACAGCACCACAGTTCACTGAATCATGGTTCAAAAGTCACCAAACAACCTGTGGATCAGATTCATGTATGGAAGTAACAATTTCAAGCTTCCATTGATTATATCTGTGAGATTTAGTACCTCATATGTAGATGCTGTTAATGTGTGAGAATAACAATCATGTCAGCTGGGTGTGAATCCAAGAGTCACAGTAACACCTGGTTTCTGGGGACTGTTATCACACCCTTTGTACCACTCAGGCTTTATGTGATATGCCTAAATAACATACTTTCCTGTGAATTATTACAGGTGGGTGATCTTGGACTTTACCTTTGTTGATAAGACTGGCTATGAGAGTTGAAACACCTCCCATGGCTGTGTCTAGTTATAAGAGTTATTATTGGGCATATGAGCTGAATCCAGGTGTATGTCCCAATTTCACCTTTGGACAGAGACAAGACAGAAGAGTCTCATCATCTGGGTTCTGATCCAGGGACTCAGTGGTACGTCACAATTTCTTCAGAGAGCAGGATCCAGACAGGAGAGGAGATTCACATTACCTAATGCAATATCAAGAGCTATGTCCCAGTATTCCCAGTGGACAGGGAACTGGCAGGAGAGACACATGACCTAGCTGATAGAACTAAAGATATGTGACAATATCTGCTGTTTGGCAGGGTCCAAGCAGAAGAGTGACATTATTATAAATCTAACCCAGAGATATTTCACAATGCACCCATGGAAAAGAATGTAAGCCAAAAGTTCTCAACACCTAGAGGTACTAGGCCTAGTGATATGACACAATCTCTTCATGTGTTAGGGTGACACCTTTGACTGTTAGCTAGGTGTGTGTATATAAGAGTCACAATGTCACGTGTGTTCCGGGTCATCATATGACACACTCTATCATATCTGAAGGCTTGGTATGCATGAGACTTGCAATCTACTATGAGAACTACATGCTGATATTAACTCACAATTTTACATATTGCTTTAAATCCAGTTATGATAGTCCACATCTCTCTTATTAGCTGGATTTAGACAGGGGACCCATTATTATGCCCCTGATCTGGGTCCAGAAATAAGTCACCATCTCACCTGTAACAACATCCACATATGAAACTCACGATTCCATCTTTTTACTTTATTTACATTTTAAACTCAGGGCTTCAGCAGTGGGATTTGTAAACATGAGATGGGGACAACATTGGCTCCACCTGCATGTGTAATCAAGAATCATGATTTTAACCATCTCCTGGGCCCTTTTATAAAGCTCTGTGTACCACGCAAGGATTTTATAGAATATGAGTCAGTGTTTTACACTTCTGTTAGCTTTGTTCAGATTTGCAACTCTTAATTGTAATTTAATAGGTAAATAGTAATTTACCTATTACTCTAAGTGTAGAAATGAGAGGCAAAATATCTGCTATTGGTGGAATTCCAATTTCAGTTTGATAGTCACACTTCTGAATTGAAGCAATGTAAATTTCATAATCTCATTTGTAGAAAAAAATTAGCAGCAGAGTAGCACAACTTACATTCTGTGCCAAGCAATAAGTCACATTGCCCTCTCTACACAGGGTCTGAAATGCGGGTTACAATATCTGGGTGCTGAACCCAGCAACATGACACAATCCCAAACGTGGATAAATCAAACCCAGACAAATGATGAGAGCAAATCACCTACAGAATTGGCCCAAGATATGTAAAAATACTTTCTGTTGCTCCAGCAGAGGCAGGAGAGTTACATCATCAGAGTGTGTGTCCTAGCAATATGCCATAATTATATCTTTATGCAGAACCCAGTCAGAAAAGGAACACCATCTCAGTGCTGGGCCCAGCAATAGGTCAAAATTCCTTTTTACGGTCATGGTTCGGGAAAAAAAAGAAGAGTCATATTACATAATTATTGGGCTTAGCAATAGGTCACATTGACCAATTGTAAAAAAAAATAAAAATAAAAAAAATAAAACCTGCAGAAGAAAAGAGTCACATTACATAAGACACAGGCTCAGATATATGGTCCAATGTCCCAGGTAGGTAGGACTCAGGCATAAGAGAAGAGTCATATCACGTAGATGCTTCCCTAGGTTTATGAAATAATCTAACGTGTTAGGTGAAACCATGCAGAAGAGTCACATCACTTTGATGCTGGTCTAGAGATATGTCACAAGCCTCCCTTAAGACAGGACCCTAGCTAGAGAATTACAACAAATGAGTTCAGGTTCTACCCTTATGTTCAATGTGGGCAGAACCCAAGCAGGGAGTCACATTATCTAGCTGATAGGTGCAGAGCTATGTCACAATGTCCTCCTTAAGTTATGGTCCTAGTGAAAGGGCACCATCACCTGTGTGACTGGCCTAGCAATATGTCACTATTTGAGTAAGCAGGACCCAAGCAGGAGAGCAAATTCACCTAGGTGATAGGTCCAGAGATTTGTCAAATGTCATCTTAAGGACAGGGCCCTCGCAAAAGAGTGCTGTCACCTCTTTGCCTGACACAGCCATATGTTACTATCCCCCACTGTGTGCAGGGTCCATTCTAGTGTGTAGAGTTATGTCACCTAAGTGGTTGACACAGTGATAAGTGCCAGTGATATCTGTGCACATGACTCAGGCAAAAATGTAACATGACCTGAGTGCTGGATCCAGTGATACGTCACAATTCTTACTGAGAGCAGGTATTGAGCAAAAACATCGCATCACCTAGAGGTTGGCCCAGGTAGATTTCACAATAACATATTGATCTGGAGCAAGTCTGAAGAGTCAAATCACACAAGTGCTTGGCCAGCAAGCACAAGATTTATATCACAGACACAGTGGCAGAAAATTACCAGGATGAGATTTAAAATACCACACATGTCCTATTTTCATGAGTGACATTTGACTTCAGATATGTGAGACAGTGACAGTCCTTACTGTCAGCTGGGTGTGCATATGAGACTCACACTTTCACCTTCCTACTGGGTTCCATTATATATACACTCTCAGTACAAGCCAAGGGCTGTTAAAGTCTTCTTTGTCCTTTTTTAAAAGAAAGTGATTTATTCACTCCTGTTTCTGAACGAAGTTATGAAACTTAAAATTACTCCAATTTCTGGGGTCCACATATGAGGGTTATTATCATGCCTGTGAGTTGTGCCTAGGTATGTGTAACAATTTAATCAGTGGCAATGAAATAGGCACAACAGTCAAGTACAACAAATGCTGAGCCAGAAATATTCCAATATTCTCCTTGTTGGCAAGTTTCTGTCAGCAAAGTTGCATAACTTGGGAGTTACACCCAGATGTATGGCACAATGCCCCTTGTTGGCAGTGTCCAGACACAAAAAGAGACTCATATCACTTAAATGCTAGGCCCAGAGATATGACACAATGTCGCATGTTGAAAGGACCAGGCAAAAGAGTCAGATCACTTGGATGCAGTGCTTAGAAATGGTACAATCCCCATTGGAAGCAGTATCCAGGCAGGAAAGGAGAATTAGATAACTAGATGATGGGTCCAGAGCCATGTTACAATCCTTCTTGAGGATACCGTAAATATAGGAGAGTCAAATCACCAAGGTGCTCAGCCAAGGTATATATCCAAATCTAATTTGTGGGCCACACGTAGGCAGGATTATTTAGTCTCTTGGGAACTGGGAAATAGTTTATGTCACAATGACACAGGTGGAAAGTTTCAGGAATGAGAATCACCCTCTTGTATATGACCTGGCTTAAGGTTTAAGAGTCATGATTAGTACTCTTATTTGGCCTCAGGTATATGGCACAGTATCATCTGTGGGCAGAGAGCAAGCAAAAATATCGCATCACCTGGATGGGTGCTGATCCAGTGAGATGTCACAATCTTTCTTGTGTCCAGGACTCTGGAAGAAGAGTCACTTCACCTGGCTACTGGTTTTAGTGATATATCAAAATTCCTTGTGTGAGCAGGCCTTAAGAAGTTGAGGAGACTTATTTCACCTAGGCAATTGGCTATATATATGTGTCTCAATGGCTGCTGGTGCAAAACCAAGGTATGAAACTGACCTCACTTTGGTGCTGGGTTTATTAATATGTCACAATCTCCCCTGCTGTCAGGGTGAGGCAAGAGAGGAGAAACATGACCTATGTGCTGAGCCAAGTGATACTTTACAAAGCTTCCTGTTGACAGAACCCAAAATGGAGAGTCACATCACCTGGGTACAGTACCCAGTTTTGTGTCACAATGCACCATAAGTGGAGGGCCAAGGAAGTAGAAGTGACATCACTTACATGATAGACCTAGATATGAGCCACAATGCCTTTTATAGGCAGAGATAAGGCAAATAATTTACCTCACCTGGGTGCTGGTCCCAGTGATAAGTAAATGTGCAATTTGTAGGCAGGTCCAGGCACCTTTGCTTAGTTGTATGTTCCACATATGTCACAAGTTCATCCGTCCTCATGGCCAAAAAAGGAGAGTTAAATTATTCAGGAGTGGGGATAACTTTTATGTCCTAATCACACACTAGGAAATATTCAGAAATACATTTCCCAGTCCCACACAAGTCTTGGCTTTGCGTGTGTGAGTCAACACATCCAGTGGCTTGGATCAAAACAGAGGAGTCACAATCTCAACAATGCACAAGATCCATGTATAAGATGCCAATTCCACTTGAAGATTGTGTTCTAAGAGGAGAGTCACAGCTTCACAGGTCTGCTGATTCATGCATCACAAAAGGATCCTTGGGTCAGATTTATTTATGAGAGAAAAAATTTCAAACTTCGACTGCTTTTTTTCATGAGATCTAGTACGTTATTTGTAGGCCCTATTCTTGTGAGAGAATGACAATCAGGTCATCTGGGTGTGCATCCAATAGTGACAATAGCATCTGATTGTTGTTCCCTGTTATGACACTCTTTGTACCACTCACGCTTTACATGATATGCCTGAGTGTCATAATCCTCTGTGAAATGTACACAATTAGGAGACTGATTACTTTACTTATGGCCATAAGACTGGCTATGAGAATCAAAATGTCTCCCTTTCTGGGTCGAGGTATGATAGTTATATTTGTGCATGGTAGCTGAATGCAGCTATATGTCACAATTTCACCTGTGGGCAGAAATATCACAGGAGAGTCTCAACACATGGATGCCAAGCTCAGGAAACATTATAATCTCCTTTGCAAGCAGGGCCAAGTCAGAAAAGTCACATCACCTGGGTACAGCCACAAGTAATATGGTCCCATGTCCACTGTAGACAGGGTTGAAGAAAAAGAGGATAGTAACACCATCTTGGTGCTGGGCTCAGCAATATGTAACAATCCCCTGTTTTGGCCAACTTCAGAATACAGAGAAGAGTTGCACTGCCTAGGTTTTCCACTCATCGGTATGTCACAATTCCTTTAGTGGGTAGGACGTAGGCAGGAGAGAAGAGTGACATTTCCTAGATGTTACCCCGATGATGTCACAATGTTCCCTGGGGGCAAATCAGAGGCAAAATAGAAAAATCACCTATCAGATAGGCTCAGAGATATGTGATATTATCCCTACTTGGCAGGACCCCAGCAGAAGAGTCACATTATTATGATTCTGTCCCAATGATATGTCACAATGCACACATGGAAAACAATTGGAGCCAAAGTTTTAACACCTGGGTACTAGGCCTAATGATATGACAAAATCTCCTCATATTTTAGGGTGACACCTTGAACAGTGATCTTGGTGTGTATATGAGTCACATTGTCATGTGTGTGCTGCATCATTTTATGATGCCCTCTACAACATCGGAGGGCCTTACATAGTATGCATGAGAGTTGCAAACTACACTGAGGCCCACACACTCATATAGACTCTCAAACTTATATAGTGCCTTAAACTCAGGTGTGATAGTCAACATCTCTCATTTAGGCTGAGCTCAGGAATGAGACTTATTTTTATGCTTTGAGCTGGCTCTGAAAATGAGACACGATCGAACCTGTGGCCAGATCCACAAATAAGAGTCACAATTCCATATTTGAAGTGTTTTTACCTGTTGAACTCAGTTCCTCAACAATGGGCTTTGTAAAAGTGGGATGGTGACAACTTTTACTTTCACCTGGGTGTCTAATTGAGAGTTACAATCTTAACTTTTTGCTAGGCCTTGTTATGAAACTCTCTGTACCACCAAAGGAGTTTGTACAATACTAATTAGTGTTGTAAACTACTCTGAGTTTGGTACAAATATGCAAACCAGGATTTTACCTATTGCTCTAAGCCTTGTGATTAGAGGCAAAATATCTTCTATTGGTTGAATCCCAATATAAGTTTGACCATCATGCCTGCGAAGTGGAGCAAAGTATATGTCATAATCTCATTTGTGGACAAAAAAATTAGGAAAAATAATAACATCACTTAGGTTATGTGGTAAGCAACTTGTCACAATGCCTTCCCTAGGAAGAATATAGGGGGAGGGTCATATTAACTGGGAGCTGGGCCCAACAATATTACACAATTTTTCTTGAGAAAAAGATTAACCAAGGGATGAGAGCCAAAACACCTAGAGAATAAGCTGAAGACCTGTAAAAATTGTGTCTGTGGCTCTGGAACCAGCAGGACAGTAGCATCATCAGGGTTCTGGGGCCACCATTCTGCAATAATTCTCATTTTATTCAGGACAGTAGCAGAAGAGTAACATCACCTGAGTGCAATAGGTCAAAATTGCTCTTTGTGTGCATGGTTCAGAATAAAGAGTAGAATCATATGACCTAAATGCTGGTCTCAGCAATATGTTCACAACCACCACCACCCCCACCATTTTGAAGGGTGACAGGAGAAGAGAGTCATATCACTTAGGTCATGGGGTCAGAGATAGGTCCCAAAGTCCTCAGTAGGCAGAACTAAGAAAGAAAAGGAGAGTAGTATCTCCTATGTGCTTCTTTATGTATAAGTCACAATCTAACACATGGGCAGAAACCAGGCAGAAGAGCCACATTACCTAGGTGCTGGGTGCTAAGATGTGTCACAGGTCCCCCTTAGAAGAGAAACAAAGTGAAAGAGTTACATCACCTTGGTGCAGGTTTCACTTTCGTATCACAATGCTCTCTGTGGGTGAGGCCCAAACATTGAGTCATATCAACTAGGTGATAGGGCCAGAGATATGTCACAATGTCCTTTTTGAAGCATAGCCCTGGGGAAAGAGTACCATCATCTGTGTGCCTGGCCTAGAAATATGTCACTCTCCAGGTTGGCAGGGACCAAGTAGAAGAGCGGCATAACCTAAGTGATACTACCAGAGATATGTCACAATACCCTCCTTTGGGCATGGCTCTGGCAAAAAAATATCCCCACCTGTGTGCCTGGCTTTGCAATATGTCACTATCCTTCCTTTGTGCAAGACCTATACCAGAAAGGAGAGTTACATCACCCAATGTGGTTGACCTAAAAGCTAAACCCAAAAATATGTCAAAATTCCTCTTGTTGAGAAGGTTCAGAAGAGAGTGTCATGTCATTTGGATGCAATGTTTAGAAATGCTACAATTACTAAAGTAAGCTGGGTACATGCCAAAAAGGAGAGTCATATACCCCAGATAATGGGTCCAGAAATATGTGGCTAGTCCCCCTGAAAACATTGGTAAGGTAGCACCGTCAAATCACCAATGTCCGTGACCCAAGTTTTGTCAAAATCTCATTTGTGGGACGTACCTAGGTGGAAGTGTTAAATTTCACAGGCACTAGACAAAGGTGTACATACAATTACACTTGTGGAAAGGTTTGAAAATAAGGCTCACCATCCTATACATGTCCTGGCTCCAGACATATGAGTTTTTATTAGTCTTTTATTATGGTCTCAGGTATATGACACCATATCTCCTGTAGTAAGAGAGAAGGCAAGAAAGTCACACCACCTATGTGGGTGCAGTTCCAGTGAGATGTGACAATCCACCTGGTGGTCAGGACCCTGGAAGAAGAGTCACATCACCTGGAAGTTCCTTTTAGTGACATATGAAAAACCCGCCTGTGAGGGTTTTAAACTCAGAACCTCAACAGTGGGTTTTCTAAATGTGGGATGGTTGCAACTTCTAATTTCACCCGGGGGTGTAGTAGAGACTTCCAATCTGAACTTTTTGCTGGCTCATGTTATGAAAATTTCTACCACAAAAGAGTTTATACAATGTAATTTAGTGGTGTAAGCTTCCTTGAGCTTGGTATAAACATGCAACCCAGGACCTTACCTATTTCCACAAGCCTAACAATGAAAGGCAAAATATTTTCTATT
The DNA here is from genome assembly GCF_000001405.40 of Homo sapiens. Lineage (NCBI taxonomy): Eukaryota > Metazoa > Chordata > Mammalia > Primates > Hominidae > Homo > Homo sapiens. The sequence continues at coordinate 22,889,361 of NC_000024.10, forward strand.
GGCTGAATCCCAATATAAGTTTGATCATCATGGCTGTGAACTGAAGCAGTTATATATTATAATTACATACGTGTGAAAAACACTAGGCAGGAGGGTAATGACATTTTGATGCTGTGCCAGGAAATACTTCACAATGTCTTCTCTAGGCAGGGTATAGGAAATTGAGTCACATTAGCTGAATGCTGGACCCAGCAATATGATACAATCCTGCATATGGGAAAAGACTCAGCCAAGTTATGAGAGCCAAAATACCAGCACAGTATGCCCAAGATACATCAACATATCTTAGTAGCTCCAGCACAAGCAGGAAAGTCACATCATAAGGGTACTGGGACCAGCAATATGTAATATATCATAATTAGCTCTTTATGCAGATTCCAGGTAGATGGTTAACATCATCTGGGTGCTGGGCAATGCAATAAGTCAAACTTTCTTTCCTGTGGGCATGGTTTGGGTAAAAGGAGAGAGTCACATATCCTAAGTACTGGGCTCAGCCATGTGCCAAAATCCTCCTATTGTGAATGATCGGGCAGAAAAGGAGAGTCACATCACTTAGGTCATGGGTTCAGAGATATGTCCTAATGTCCCCAGTAGGCAGGGCTCATGTAGAAGAGGAGAGGCCCATCACCTACGTGCTTCCCTAGGAATATGTCACTTTGTGACTTGTGGGCAAAAACCAGGCAGAATAGCCACATCACTTGGGTGGTGGGTCCCGAGATACATCAAAGGCTCTCTTAATGCAGCACCCAGCCAAGAGAGAAACATCATACTAGGTGTATGTTTTCTGATTATACCACAATGCTCCATACGTGTAGGGCTCAAGGAGGGGATCATTTCACCTAGGTGATAGGCCCAGAGATAGGTCACCATGTCCACTATGAGGCAGAGCCCTGGCAAAAGAATACCATCACCTGTGTGCCTTGCCTAGAAATATGTAACTCTCAAGTTTGGAAGGGCCCAAGCAGTAAAGCCACATAACCTAGATGATAGGCCCAGAGATATGTCACAATGCCCTCCTTTGGGGATCCTCTGCAAAGGAATATCCTTGCCTGTGTGCCTGTTCTTGCAGTGTGTCACTATCCTTCTGTTGTACAGTGCCCATTTCAGAGAGAAGACTTACATCAACTATGAAGTGCACAGAGAAATATGTCACAATAATTTTAGTGAGCCTGGCACAGGCAACTATGTAACATCACCAGGGTGCTAGATCCAGTGATATCTCACAATCTTTACTGAGAGATATGACCAGGTAGGAGAGTCATATCACCTCGATGTTGGCCTCGGTAGGAATCATAATCCCATATATGGGCTGGAACAAGTCTGGTGAGTCAAATTACACAAGTGCTTGGCAAACATTTATATCACAATCACACTGTCATAAAATTCCAAAGATGAGATTTACAATACCACACATGTCCTGTTTTCATGTGTGACAGTTGCCTTCATCCATGTGAGATGATAACAGTCCTTACCTTCAGCTGGGTGGGTATACAAGACTCAAAATTTCACCTGGGTGCTTAGCTCCAATTTGACTCTGACTGTATAGTCCAAAGACTTTGTAAAATGTATGTGAGTGTTGTAATATTTTGTGACCTTTGTACAAGGAGGAGATCCAGGACATCAAACGTGTCCCTAAACTTAGTTATAAGGGTGAAAATATTCTCTATTTTCTGAGTCCACATATGAGAGTCATTATCATGCCTGTGAGCCATGCCTAGGTATATGTTACAATTCCCTCTGTGGTTATGAAGCAGGCAGAACAACCACATCACCTAAATGCTGGGCTAGAATTATTTCAAAAATTTTTTTTGTATTCTGTGCCCTATCAGAAATCTCACAAAACTTGTGTGATAGATCCAGCTGTGTGGCACAATGTGCCTTGTGGGCAGTGTCCAGGCAGGAGAGGAGAGTAATATCACCTAAATGATGGGCACAAAAATATGTCAAAATGCCTATTGTTGACAGGGCCCAGGCAAGGGGTCATATCATTTGGATGCAGTGTTTAGAAGAGCTACAATTACCAAAGGAAGCAGGGTACAGGCAAAAGAGGAGAGTCATGTAGATGAAGCATCCAAGAATCAGTTACAATCTCCCCTGAGGACATTTCTAAGGTACCTCAGTCAAACTACCAAAGTGCTTGGCCAATGTGTTTGTCAAAATCCCATTTATGGGCTATACTTTGGCAGAATTATTAAATAAGTCAGTAGTTGGGCAAAGGTATATGTCACAATTACACCTGTGGAAAGGCTTAATAGTAACAGCCACCATCCTGCACAAGTCCTAGGCTCCAGGCATATTAATTGTTATTAGGTTTCTGTTATAATCATTGCTTTATGACACAATACCACTTGTGGCAAGAGAAAAAAAAAAAGCAAGCTTCATCACCTACGTGGGTGCAGTTCCAGTGAGATGTCACAATCCACCTTGTGGGAAGGACCTGGTGGAAGAGTCACATCACCTGGATGCTAATTTCACGGACATATCAAAACCCCCTCTCTTGGCAGGACTTTGGTAAGAGAGGAGCCTCACTTCACCAAGGCCATTGGCCTAGATATATGTCACAATGTCTGTTCAGTGCAGTACAGAAGCCAGAGAGTGGCCTCACATTAGTGCTGGGCCCAGCTTTATGTCACAATCTCCCTGTGGTCAAGGTACAGGCAAAAGCCAAGAAACACCACCTAGGTTCTGATCCAAGTGACATGTTACAATGCTTCCTGTTAGCAGAACCCAAAAAGAAGAATTACATCAACTGGGTACAGTACATGGTTATGTGTCACAATGCACTGTAAGTGAAGGGCCAAAACAGTAGCAGGGAGCCACAACACTTATGTGATGGATCTAGATATAAAACACAATTTTTTTGTAGGTAGTTTTATGAGTTTTATGCAGATAATGCACATCACCTGGGTGATGGTCCCAATGATATATAACAGTTCCCATTGTAGGCAGAGCCATGAAACAAGGGATCTATTGCTTAGTCGCTTGTTCCACATATGGCCCAATTTCTTCCATGGTCTGGGCCTAGAAAAGAGTCATATTAGTCATGTGTTGGGAAAGTTATCTTGTTCCAATCACACTATCAGAAAGGTTCAGAAATAAATTTCACATCCCACACAAGTCCTGGTTTTGTTTATGTGAGTCAACTGTTCCTATGCATTGGGTTGAAGTAGAAGAGTCACAGTCTCAGCCTGGAACCAGATCCATGTATAAGATCCCCAATCCCACTTGAACACTGTGTTCCAGCAGGGGAGTCAGAGCACCACAGTGTGCTGAATCATGGTTCAAATGTTACAAAACCACCAGTGAATCAGATTCCTGAATTAGAGTAATTATTTCAACCTTCAACTGCTTTTTATGTGTGAGATTTAGTGCCTCATTCCTAGGCCCTGTTCTGTGTGAGAATGACAATCATGCCAGCTAGATGTGCATACAAGAGTCCCATCTGCCCCTTGTTTCTGTTCTCTGTTTGACACTTTTTGTCATTAAGACTTCATATGATATATCTGAGTGTTATAATCCTTCATGAAGTTTATAAAAGTGAAAAATCCAGGACTTTACCCATGGCTCTGAGAGTCAAAATATTTCTACTGTGTGAGTCCAAGTATGAGGGTTATTATTTTGTGCACGTGTGCTTAACTAAGATATATGTTAAAATTTCACCTGAGAGCAGGGAAAAGGTGTAGGGGTGGGTTGCCCCTACACACCTGTGGGTGTTTCTCGTAAGGTGGGACGAGAGATTTGGAAAAGAAAAAGACACAGAGACAAAGTATAGAGAAAGAAATAAGGGGACCCGGGGAACCAGCGTTCAGCATATGGAGGATCCCGCCAGCCTCTGAGTTCCCTTAGTATTTATTGATCATCTGTGGGTGTTTCTCAAAGAGGGGGATGTGTCAGGGTCACAAGACAATTGTGGGGAGAGGGTCAGCAGACAAACACGTGAACAAAGGTCTTGGCATCATAGACAATGTAAAGGATTAAGTGCTGTGCTTTTAGATATGCATACACATAAACATCTCAGTGCTTTACAAAGCAGTATTGCTGCCCGCAGGTCCCACCTCCAGCCCTAAGGCGGTTTTTCCCTATCTCAGTAGATGGAGCATACAATCGGGTTTTATACCGAGACATTCCATTGCCCAGGGACAGGCAGGAGACAGATGCCTTCCTCTTGTCTCAACTGCAAGAGGCATTCCTTCCTCTTTTACTAATCCTCCTCAGCACAGACCCTTTACGGGTGTCGGGCTGGGGGACGGTCAGGTCTTTCCCTTCCCACGAGGCCATATTTCAGACTATCACATGGGGAGAAACCTTGGACAATACCTGGCTTTCCTAGGCAGAGGTCCCTGCGGCCTTCCGCAGTTTTTGTGTCCCTGGGTACTTGAGATTAGGGAGTGGTGATGACTCTTAAGGAGCATGCTGCCTTCAAGCATCTGTTTAACAAAGCACATCCTGCACCGCCCTTAATCCATTCAACTCTGAGTTGACACAGCACATGTTTCAGAGAGCATGGGGTTGGGGGTAAGGTCATAGATTAACAGAATCTCAAGGCAGAAGAATTTTTCTTAGTACATAACAAAATGGAGTCTCCTATGTCTACTTCTTTCTACACAGACACAGTAACAATCTGATCTCTCTTGCTTTTCCCCACAAAAAGGCAGGAGAGACATCACCTGGGTGCTGAGCTGCTGATACATTATAATCTCATTAATAGGGTGGGCCTATTTAGAAGAGTCACATCACCTGGATATAGCCTCAAATAATATGTCCCCAAGCCCACTATAGAAAGGGAATAAGAAAAAGAGGAGTTACTCCACATAGGTGCTGTGCTCTGCAGTGTGTAATAATCCACTTTCTTGGCAGGGCCTAGCATATGAAGAAGAGTCACATCACATAGTTTCTGCAATAAGCAGTACATCAAAACTTTTTTGGTGAGCAGGACACAGGCAGGGGAGGAAATCACATAACCTAGATGTTAAGCCAAACAATATTTCACAATGTGTTCTGATGGCAGTGCACAGGGAGGGGAGAAAAATCACCTAGCTTATAGGCCCAGAGATATGAGATAATTTGCCCTGTTGGCAGGGCTCAGGCAGAACAGTCACATTATTATAATTCTAACCCAGTGATATGTCACAATGCACCCAACAGAAAAAAAATGTAATCCAAAAACTCACAACACCTGGTTACTAGGCCTAGTAATATGCCAAATCTTTTTGTCTTTGATGTTGACACCATTGAATGTGAGCTGGGTTTGTATATGAGAGTCACAATTTTCCATGTTTCCTGGGCTGTTGTATGACACTCTACAACATTTTAAGGGTTTATACAGCACGTGTGAGAGTGGCAAACCACTCTGACCCCTACATGGTAGTATAGATTCACGATCTTAACATATTGCCCTAAACCCAAGTTTTATAGTCAACATCTCTTCTGCAGGCTGGGTTAAGGAATGAGATCCATTGTCATGCCTGTGAGCTAGATGTAAAAATGAGTCGCTATCCCATCTGTGGTCAGATCCACATAGGAAGGTCAAAATTCCAACTTTCTACTGTATTTACTTTTTAGACTCAGGACCTTAACAGTGGGCTTTGGCCATGTGGGATGGAAACATTTACTTTCACTTGGGTGCATAACCAAGAATCCCAATCTGAACATTTTGCTGGTTCTTGTCTTGAAACTCTCTGTACCACCCAAGGAGGTTATACACTATGAGTTAGTGCTGTAAAGCTCTGTGAGCTTCATACAAATATGCAACCCAGGGCCTTACCCATTGCCCAAAGCCTAGTGATGAGAGGCAAAATATCTCCTATTGGCTGACTCCAATATAAGTCTGATCACCAGGCCTGTGATCTCAACTAAGGCATATGTTGAGATCAAGGTATATGTCAGAGTCCCATTTGTGGGCAAAATGTATGCAGGAGGGTAACATCTCTTTGGTGCTGTGCCAAGCAACTTGTCACTATGTCCTCCCTTGCTTGGCAGGGTATAGGAATTAGAGTCATATTAAATTGGTGCTGGACTGAGCAAAACAAAACCATCCTACCTGTGGAAGAAACCCAGGCAAAAGATATCAGAACACCCACATGATGGGCCCAGGATGTGTCAAAATACCTTCTGTGGCTCCAGGACAGTCATGAGTCATGAGATAATGTCCTGCTCTCAACAGGAAATTATCAGAGTTTTGGCCCCAGCAATATGCCATACTTCTATCTGTATGCAGGACCCAGGCAAAAGAGAAACATCGCCTGGGTGCTGGACCTTGCAATAGGCCAAAAATTCGGGTGGTGGGAATGGTTCCAGAAAATAAGGAGTGACAAATAACCTGACTTCTGACCTCTACGATATGTCACAATCCCTTCTTGTAAAGACCAGGCAGAAGCTGAAAGTCACTTCACTTCAGTCTTGGGCTCAGAGATACATCCCAGTGTCCTCATTATGAAGGGCCCACAAAGAAAAGTCATATCAACTAGGTGCTTCCCTAGTTATATGTCACAATCTAACATGTGGGCAGAAACCAGGCAGCAGAGCCACACCACCTGGGTACAGCCTCAAGTAATATGTCACTATGCCCAATGTAGACAGTTTACAGTAAAAAAAGAAAATCACACCACCTGGGTGCTGGGCTCAGCAATATGTAATAATTTCCTTTCTTGGTAGAGTTCAGGACAAAGAGAACATTAATGTCACCTAGGTTTTGCACTCAGTGGTATGTCACAATTTCTTCAGTGGGCAGGATCTGGCCAGGAGAGCAGAGACACATTACCTAGATGCTGTATCTAACAATATGACACAGCTGGATATGGGAAGGCCATTGGCAAGAGAGATATATTACCTAGTCAATAGGCCCAGAGATATGTGAAAATATCCACTGTTTGCAGTTCCCAGGCAGAAAAGTCACATTATTATGATTCTGAACCATTTCTGAACCATGTAGCATTATGGCTCTGAACCATTTCTGAACCATGTAACATTATTATGATTCTGAACCATTTCTGAACCGTGTAAGAATGCCCTTCTGGAAAAGAATTTATTTTTATTGTTTTTATTTTTATTATTATACTTTAAGTTCTAGGGTACATGTGCACAATGTGCAGGTTAGTTACATATGTCTACATGTGCCATGTTGGTGTGCTGCACCCATTAACTCATCATTTGCATTAGGTATATCTCCTAATGCTATCCCTCCCCTCTCCCCCTACTCTATGACAGGCCCCAGTGTGTGATGTTCCCCACCCTGTGTCCAAGTGTTCTCATTGTTCAATTCCCACCTATGAGTGAAAATATGCTGTGTCTGCTTTTCTGTCCTTGTGATAGTTTGCTGAGAATGATGGTTTCCAGCTTCATCCATGTCCCTACAAAGGACATGAACTCATCCTTTTTAATGTCAGCATAGTATTCCATGGCATATATGTGCTACATTTTCTTAATCCAGCCTGTCATTGATGGACATTTGGTTGGTTCCAAGTCTTTGCTATTATCGGTAGTGCCACACTAAACATATCTGTGCATGTGTCTTTATAGCAGCATGATTTATAGTCCTTTGGGTATATGCCCAGTAACGGAATGGCTGAGTCACATGGCATTTCTTGTTCTACATCCTTGAGGTACTGCCAAACTGTCTTCCACAATGGCTGAACTAGTTTATGTCCCACCAACAGTGTAAGAAACTCTGATGACAGCTTCTTTTGCTGTGCAGAAGCTCTTTCATTTAATTAGCTCCTATTTGTCAATTTTGGCTTTTGTTGCCATTACTGTTGGTGTTTTAGTCATGAATCCTTGCCCATGCCTATGGCTTGAATGGTATTGCCTAAGTTTTCTTCTAGGGTTTTTATGGTTTTAGGTCTAACATTTAAGTCTTTAATCCATCTTGAATTAATTTTTGTATAAGGTGTAAAGAAGAGATCCAGTTTCAGCTTTCTACATATGGTTAGCCAGTTTTCCCAGCACCATTTATTAAATAGGTAATCCTTTCCCCATTTCTTGTTTTTGTTAGGTTTGTCACAGATCAGATGGTTGTTGATGTGTGGCATTATTTTTGAGGGCCCTATTCTGTTCCATTGGTCTATATCTCTGTTTTTGTACCAATACCAAGCTGTTTTGGTTGCTGTAGCCTTGTAGTGTAATTTGAAGTCAGGTAGCATGATGCTTCCAGCTTTGTTCTTTTGGCTTAGAATTGTCTTGGCAATGCAGGATCTTTTTTGGTTCCATATGAACTTTAAAGTAGGTTTTTCCAGTTCTGTGAAGAAAGTCATTGGTAGCTTGATGGAGATGGCATTGAATCTATGAGTCACCTTGGGCAGTATGGCCATTTTCCACAATATTGATTCTTCCTATCCATGAGCATGGAATATTCTTCCATTTGTTCATGTCCTCTTTCATTTTGTTTAGCAGTGGTTTGTAGTTCTCCTTGAAGAGGTCCTTCACATCCCTTGTAAGTTGGATTCCTAGGCATTTTATTCTCTTTGAAGCAATTGTGAATGGGAGTTCACTCATGATTTGGCTCTCTGTTTGTTATTGGTGTATAGGTCTGCTTGTGATTTTTGCACATTGCTTTTGTATCCTGAGACTTTGCTGAAGTTGCTTATCAGCTTAAGGAGATTTTGGGCTGAGACGATGGGGTTTTCTAAATATACAATCATGTCATTTGCAAACAGGGACAATTTGAGTTCCTCTTTTACTAATTGAATACCTTTATTTATTTCTCTTGCCTGATTGCCCTGGCCAGAACTTCCAACATTATGTTGAATGGGAGTGGTGAGAGAGGCCATCCCTGTCTTGTGCCAGTTTTCAAAGGGAATGCATCCATTTTTTGCCCATTCAGTATGATATTAGCTGTGGGTTTGTCATAAATAGCTCTTATTATTTTGAGATATGTCCCATCAATACCTAATTTATTGAGAGTTTTTAGCATGAAGTGCTGTTCTGTTTATATGATGGATAATGTTTATTTATTGGTGTATATTGAACCAGCCTTACTTCCAAAGGATGAAGCCGATTTGATCATGATGGATAAACTTTTTGATGTGCTGCAGTATTTTATTGAGGATTTTTGCATCGATGTTTATCAGGGATATTGGTCTAAAATTATTTTTTGTTTTTCTGTCTTTGCCAGGCTTTGATATCAGTATGTTGTTGGCCTCATAAAATGAATTAGGGAGGATTCCCTCTTTTTCTGTTGATTGGAATAGTTTCAGAAGGAATTGTATCAGCTTTTCTTTGTACCTATGGTAGAATTTGGCTGTGAATCCATCTGGTCCTGGACTTTTTTTGGTTGATAGGCTATTGATTGCTGCCTCAATTTCAGAGTCTGTTATTGTTCTATTCAGAGATTCAACTCCTTCCTGGTTTAGTCTTGGGAGGGAGTGTGTGTCAAGGAATTTATCCATTTTTTCTAGATTTTCTAGTTTATTTGCCTAGAGGTGTTTCTAGTAGTCTCTGATGGTAGTTTCTATTTCTGTGGGATCAGTCATGATCTCCCCTTTGTCATTTTTATTGTGTCTCTTTGATTCTTCTCTCTTTTCTTCGTTATTAGTCTTGCTAGCAGTCTATCAATTTTGTTGATCTTTCCAAAGAACCAGCTCCTGGATTCACTGATTTTTTGAAGGGTTTTTTTGTGTCTCTAACTCCTTCAGTTCTGCTCTGATCTTAGTTATTTCTTACCTACTGCTAACTTTTGAATGTGTTTGCTTTTGCTTCTCTAGTTCTTTTAACTGTGATGTTAGGCTGTCGATTTTTGATCTTTTCTGCTTTCTCTTGTGGGCATTTAGTGCTATAAATTTCCCTCTACACACTGCCTTAAATGTATCCCCAAGATTCTGGTATGTTGTGTCTTTGTTCTCACTGGTTTCAAAGAACATTTCATTTCTGCCTTCATTTCGTTATGTACCCAGTAGTCATTCATAAGCAGGTTGTTCAGTTTCCATGTAGTTGAGCGGTTTTGAGTGAGTTTCTTAATCTTGACTTCTTGCTTGATTGCACTGTGGTCTGAGAGACAGTTGGTTATAATTTGTGTTCTTTTACATTTGCTGAGGAGTGCTTTACTTAAAACTGTGTGGTCAATTTTGGATTAAGTTTGATGTGGTGCTGAGAAGAATATATATCTGTTGATTTGGAGTGGAGAGTTCTGTAGATGTCTATTAGGTCCACTTGGTGCAGAGCTAAGTTCTATTCCTAGATATCCTTTTAACTTTCTGTCTCGATCTGTTTAATGTTGATAGTGGGGTGTTAAGGTCTCCCATTATTACTGTGTGGGAGTCTAAGTATGTTTGTAGGTTTCTAAGGACTTGCTTTATGAATCCGACTGCTCCTGTATTTGATGCATATATATTTAGTAAAGTTAGCTCTTCTTATTGAATTGATCCCTTTACCGTTATGTATTGGTCGTCTTTGTCTCTTTTGATCTTTGTTGGTTTAAAGTCTGTTTTATCAGAAACTAGGATTGCAACCCCTGTTTTTGTTTTTGTTTTCTTTTTCTTTTTTTTTCATTTGCTTGGTAAATCTTTCTCCATCCCTTTATTTTGAGCCTATGTGTGTCACTGCACGTCAGATGGGTCTCCTGAATACAGCACACTGATGGGTCTTGACTCTTTATCCAATTTGCCAGTCTGTGTCTTTTAATTGGAACATTTACCCCATTTACACTTAAGGTTAATATTGTTATGTGTGAATTTGATCCTGTCATTATGATGTTAGCTTGTTATTTTGCTCATTAGTTGATGCAGTTTCTTTGTAGCATTGATGGTCTTTACAATTTGACATGTTTTTGCAGTGGCTTGTACCAGTTGTTCCTTTCCATGTTTAGTGCTTCCTTCAGGAACTCTTGTAAGGCAGACCTGGTGGTGACAAAATTTCTCAGCATTTGTTTGTCTGTAAAGGATTTCATTTCTCCTTCACTTATGAAGCTTTATTTGGCTGGATATGAAATTCTGGGTTGAATATTATTTTCCTTAAGGATGTTGAATATTAGCCCCCACTATCTTCTGGCTTGTAGAGTTTCTGCCAATAGATCCACTGTTAGTCGGATGGGCTTGCCTTTCTGGGTAACCTGACCTTTCCTTTGGCTCCCTTAACATTTTTTCCTTCATTTCAACTCTGGTGAATCTGACAATTATTTGTCTTGTTGTTGCTCTCCTCGAGGAGTATCTTTTAGGCATTCTCTGTATGTTTTTGAATTTTAATGTTGGTCTGCCTCACTACATTGGGGAAATTCTCCTGGATAATATCCTGCAGAGTGTTTTCCAACTTGGCTCCATTCTCCCCATCTCTTTCAGGTACACCAATCAGATGTATATTTGGTCTTTTCATGTAGTGCCATATTTCTTGGAGGCTTTGTTCATTTCTTTTTACTCTTTTTTCTCTAAACATCTCTTCTTGCTTTATTTCATTCATTTGATCTTCAATCACTGATATCCTTTCTTCCACTTGACAGAATTGGCTACTGAAGCTTGTACATGCATCACATAGTTTTCATGTCATGGTTTTCAGCTCCATCAGGTCATTTAGGGACGTCTCTACACTGTTTATTTTAGTAGACATACATCTAATCTTTTTTTCAAAGTTTTTAGCTTCTTTGCGATGGGTTCGAACATCCTCCTTTAGCTCAGAGAAATTTGTTATTACCAATCATCTGAAGCCTTCTTCTCTTGACTCGTCAAAGTCATTCTCCATCCTGCTTTGTTCCATTGCTGGTGAGGAACTGCATTCCTTTGGAGGAGAACAGGCACTCTGATTTCTAGAATTTTCAGCTATTCTGCTCTGGTGTCTCCCCATCTTTGTGGTTTTATCTACTTTTGTTCTTCGATGCTGATGTATAGATGGGGTTTTTGTGTGGATGTCCTTTCTGTTTGTTAATTTTCCTTCTAACAATTAGGACCCTCAGTTGCAGGACTGTTGGAGTTTTCTGGAGGCCCACTCCACACCCTGTTTGCCTTGGTATCACCAGCAGAAGCTGCAGAACAGCAAATATTGCCGAACAGCAAGTATTGCTGCCTGATCATTCCTCTGGAAGCTTCAACTCAGAGGGGCACCCAGTTGTGTGAGGTGTCAGGTGGCCCCTACTGGGAGGTGTCTTCCACTTAGGCTACTCGGGGTTCAGGTACCAGTCTGTCCATTCTCAAATCTCAAACTCTGTGCTGGGAGAACCACTACTCTCTTCAAAGCTGTCAGACAACAATGTTTAAGTCTGCAGAAGTTTCTGCTACCTTTTGTTCATCTATGCCCTGCCCCCAGGGGTGGAGTCTACATAGGCAGGCAGGCCTCCTTGAGGTGAGGTGGGATCCACCCAGTCCAAGCTTCCTTGCCACTTTGTTTACCTAGTGAATCCTCAGTAATGGCAGATCACCCTCCCCCAGCATTGTTACCACCTTGCAGCTCAATCTCAGACTGCTATGCTAGCAGTGAGTGAGGCTCCATGGGCAGGGGACCCTCTGAGCCAGGCACGGGATGTAATCCCCTGGTGTGCCATTTGCTAAGGCCAGTGGAAAAATGTAGTTTTAGGGTGGGCATGACCCAATTTTCTGGGTACCATCAGTCACGGCTTCCCTTTGCTGGGAAAGGGAATTCCCCAATCCCTTGCATTTCCCAGGTGAGGCAATGCCCCTCCCTGCTCTGTGGGCTGCACCCACTGTCTGACAAGCCCCAGTGAGATGAACTTAGTACCTCAGTTGGAAATGCAGAAGTCACCCACCTTCTGCATTCCTCACACTGGTAGCTGCAGACTGGAGCTGTTCCTATTCTGCCATCTTGGAAGCTCCTCCCTGGAAAAGAATTTAAACCAAAAAGTCTCAACACTGGGGTGCCAGGTGAAGGATATGACACAGTCTCCTCAACTATAAGGGTGACACCATTAACTATTACCTAGTTGTGTATATGTCAGTCACAAACTCACATGGGTGCTGGCCATAGTATGACACTCTATACAACATCTGAGAACTTTATATAACATGCATGAGAGTTGAAACCTCACTGAGGCCTACATGCTTATATGGACTCACGATCTTACATATTGCACTAAACTCAGATATGACAGTCAACATCTCTCTTATATGCTGGCTTCAAGGATGACAGCATTATTGGGTTTGTGAGCTGGGTCCAGAACTGAGTGACCATCCCACCTGTGGCCAGATTCTTTGATAAAAATTACAATTTCATCTTTGTGCTGTGTTTACTTATTAGATTGAGGACCTCAACAATGAACGTTGTAAACGCAGGATGGTAATAACTTTTACTTTCACATGAACGTGTTGTGTAAAATCATGATACTAACATTTTTCTGGACCCTGTTATAAAATTCTCTACCACCTAAAAAGTTTTTGTGAGATGAGTTATTGTTGTAAAATTCTGTGAGCTTGTTCACATATGCAATTAAAGGCTTTACCTACTGACTTAAACCTAGTCATGAAAGGCAAAACGTCTCGTACTGGCTGAATCCCAATAGAAGCATGATCATCATGCTTTTGAACTGAAGAAAGGTATATGTTATAATCAAATTTGTGGGCAAAAAAAATCGGCAGGAGGTTGATATCACTTAGGTGTTGTGGCAAGAAGTATGACACAATGCCTTGTCTATGCAGGTCTTAGGAAAGAGGGTCACAATAATTGGGCTCTGGAGCCAGCAATATAACACAACTTCACATAGAAGAAACCCAGCAAAATAAGGAGACTCAAAACACCTATGGAAATGGGCCAAAGGTATATCAAAATACCTGCTCTGGCTCTGGCACAGGCTGGAGAGTCACATCATTAGTGTGCTAGGCCCAGAAATATGCTGAAATTCCCTCTTTATGCACGACCTAGGAATAAGTGTAACAGAATCCAGGTGTGGGGCCCTGAACTACAGCAAAAGTCCTGTTTGTAGGCAATTTTTGGCAACATGATGAGAGTCACATTACCTAATTGCTGGGCTCATCAACACATCACAATCTTCTCATTGTAAAGGCTTAGACAGAATAAGAGACTCACATCACTTAGGTCATGGGCTCAAAGATATGGCCCAATGCCACAAGTAGGCAATACTCAGGCAGAAATAAAGAGTCATAACACCTAGATGCTTTTTCAGGTATATGTCACAATTTCACCTGTGTCCAGTCCTTCCATCCAGTCCTTTCTGTCAGCTGGGTGTGCATACAAGACTCACAATTTCAGCTGTGTGCTGAGCCCTGCTTTGACTCTGTCTGTATAACCCAAAGACTTTGGAAAATACATGTGAATGTTGTAATCTTTTGTGACCTTTGTAGAAGAAGGCGATACAGGACATCATGCATGTCCCTAAATCTAGTTATAAGTGTCAAAATATTCTCTATAGGCTGAGTACACATATGAGAGTCATTATCACTCCTGTGAGTCATGCCTAGGTATCTGTTACAATATTCTCTGTGGTTATAAAGCAGGAAGAATAGTCATATCACCTAAATGCTGGACTGTACATATTCCAATATTCTCTTTGTAGGCAGGGTCCTGTCAGAAATCTCACATAATTTCTGTGCTAAATCCAGCTCTGTGGCACAATGTCCCTTGTGGGTAGTGTCCAGACAGAAGAGGAGAGTCATATCACCTAAATGTTGGCCCCAAAAATATGTCACAATGACTAATGTTGACAGGGCCCAGAAAAACGAGTCATATCATTTGGATATAGTGTTTAGAAATGCTACAATTACCAAAGCGAGCTGGGTACAGGCAGGAGAGGGGAGTCATGTAACCTAGGTGATGTGTCCAGAAATATGTTACAATATCCCCTGAGGACATTGTTAAGACAGCAAGAGTCAAATCACCAAGGTGCTTGGCCCAGGCATTTGACAAAACCTCATTTGTGGGTGATACCTAGGCAGAATTATTAAATCACTCAGGAGCAGTGCAAAGGTTTATGTCATGATTACACTTGCGGAAACGTTTAAGAATAAGAATAACTCTCCTGAACATATCCTGGCTTCAGGTATATAAGCTGTTACTAGGCTTTTGTTATGGTTTCAGGTATATGGCACAATATCACCTCTGGTCAGAGAGAATGCAAGAAAGTCACATCACATAAGTGGCTGTGGCTCCAGTGAGATATCACAATCCACCTTGTGGACAGGACCTTTGCAGAAGAGTCACATCACCTGGATGCTGGTTTCAGTGACAAAAACCTCCTTGTAAACATGACTTTGGAAATAGAGGAGACTCAATTAACCTAGGCAATTGGCCTAGACATATGTCACAATGGCCCTTATGTACAGTGCCAAGGCTGGAGAGTTACCTTACGTTGGTCAGTGGGTTTGGCAATATGTCACAATCTCCCTGTGGCTGGGGCACAGGCAAAAGTGAAGAAACATCACCTTAGGTTCTGAGCCAAGTGATACGTTACAAGGTTTCCTGTTGACAGAATGCAAAAAGGAGAATCCCATCCCCTGGATGAAGTTCCCAGTTATGTGACACAATGCACTGTAACTGCAGGGCCAAGGCAGTACAAGGGAGTCACATCACTTACCTGATGGACCTAGATATAGAACACAATTGTCTTTGTAAGCAGGCTTCAGGCAGATAATTCACATGACCTGGGTGATGGTCTCAGTAATATATTAAAGTGACCTTTGTAGGCAGAGTCAAGGAAGATATCATATATTGCTTTCATGTTTGTTCCACATATGGCACAATTTCATCTGTGGTCTGAGCCTAGAAAAGAGAGTCCCGCTATTTATGTGCTGGGCAAAGTTACCTGTCCCAATCACATGCTAAGAAAGGTTTGGAAATAATTTCACATCACACACAAGTCCTGGTTTCACATATGTGAATCAATCCTATTTATGTTAGGCTAAACTAGAGGACTCACAATCTCAACAGTGGACAGGATCCATGTATAAGAGCTCCGATAACATATTATGTCAATGAGATTGTGTCATATCACTGGACCTAGTAACCAGGTGTTAAAACTTTTGCTTAAATTGTTTCCCGTGTGTGCATTGTGAGACTCTTCTGCCAGGGCACTGCCTAAAGGAGATATTGTCACATATCTATGAGCCTATCCACTAGGTGATTTGTCAATTTTACCTGTGCTTTGCTCCCAAAGAACATTATGACATCTTTTAATGTATCATTTAGGAAATGTGACTTCTCTCTCCTGCCTAGGTCCTGTGCTCTAAAGAAATAGGTACATAGTGCTGAATGCAAAATTTAAATAATGCAACTCTGCTCTTTATTCTGGAGTCTGCCAACAGAGGACATTTTTAAATATTGTTGAGTCTAACACCTTGAAGCTGCACCCAGATGATATGACTCTTCTGACTTGGCACTACCTGCAGAAGAGATTATAATGTATTCTCAGCTCAGAATCCTGGTGATGAGAGTCTCCTACCTTGGTTCTGCCCACAGGAGAAATAGTGACATATACCTGGGTTCAGCTCACATGCACAAATACAGCTGTTATATCTAGACCCAGAAAGAAGAGATATTTTGACATTCTTAACCAGTCTTATGGCCATAAGTAAAGCAATGGGTCTACTAATTGTATAAAGTTCACAGAGGACTATGACACTCAGGCATATGATATACAGCCTGAATGGTACAAAGGATGTCCTAACAGGGACAGTAACCCAGTGCTATTGTGACTCATGTACATACGATCAGCTGATCCTACTGTCATTCTCTCACAAGAATAGCCCCTACAAATAAGGTACTAAATCTCACACAAAACAGCTGTCCCTGGTTGAAACTGTTCCTCTCATACATGTGTCTGGTCCACGGGTCTTTTGGTGATGCATGATTCAGCACACCTGTGAAGCTGTGACTCCCCTCCTGGAACACAATCTTAAAGTGGAATTGGGCATCTTATGCATGGATCATGCTCACTGTTGAGACTGTGACTCCTCTACTTTGGCCCAAGTCATAGGGGGTGTTGACTCACATACACAAAGCTGGGATTTGTGTGGGACTGTGAAACTTATATCTGAATATATCCTAGTGTGTGATTAGGACATAAAAGTTAGCCCAGCTTCTGAATAACTTGACTCTCATTTTTAGGCCATAACCACAGATAAAATTGTGACATGCCTGGACCATGCCCCTAAGCATAGGTGCCTGGGCCTGCCTACAAATTACACTTTTACATATCACTGGGACCAGCACCAAGGTGATTTGAATTATCTGCCTGAGTGCTGCCCAAGAAGAGCACTGTGGCTGATATCTAGGTCCATCAGGTAAGTGATGTGACTCCCTTCTCCTGCCTTGGCCCTGCACTTATGGAGCATTGCAACACACAACTGGGTTCTGCACCCAAGTGATGTGACTCTCCCTTTTGGGTTCTGCCAATGAGAAGCTTTGTAACATATCACTTTGCTCATCACCTAGGTCATGTTTCTCCTCTCTTCTCTCGACCTGATCACAGGGGAGATTGTGACATATTGATAAACTCAGCACCAAGGTGTAGTCACTTTCTTACCTTGGTTTTGCACACAGCAGCCATTGTGACATATACCTATGCCAACTGCCTTGGTTAAGTGAGCCTCCTCTCTTTCTTAAGCCCTTCCCACAGGTGGGATTTTGATATATCACCAAAAACAGTATCCAGTTGATGTGATTCTTCTTTCAGAGTCCTGCCCACAAGATGGATTGTGACATCTCACAGGACCAGCACCCACCCAGGTGATGTGACCTTCCCACTTGCTCTCCACTCACAGCCGATGTTGTGACATATACCTGAGATGAGATAAGAGGACTGACTAATCATGACTCTTAAATATGGAGCCAGGTCATATGCTATATGGTGACTCCCATTCCTGAAGCATTTCACTAATGTTATTGCGACATACACAATTGTCCAGCTCCTGAGTGATTTAATAATCCTGCCAAGGTGTAGTCCACAAGTGAGATTCACCTATATATTTCAGCTGCTCACCTTGGTGATTTGACTCTCCTGTCTTAACAATATCCCCAGGAAGAATTGTAACATGTCTCTGAATCCATCTTCTAGGTTACCTGTCTCCCTGCCTTGCCTCCTCTGCCTGGACTCTGCTTCCACAGGGATTGTAGCATTTTTTTCTTTTCTTTTCTTTTCTTTCTTTTTTTGTTACCTAGGCTGGAGTGCAGTGGTGTGATCTTAGCTCATTGCA
Source organism: Homo sapiens (assembly GCF_000001405.40). Taxonomy (NCBI): domain Eukaryota; kingdom Metazoa; phylum Chordata; class Mammalia; order Primates; family Hominidae; genus Homo; species Homo sapiens. Next base: position 22,907,438 of record NC_000024.10, read on the forward strand.
ACCTCTGCCTTGGGGATTGTAGCATTTCTAAGCACTGCATGCAAATGACATGACTCTCCTGACTGGTTCCTTCAACAGAAGGCATTGTTGCACATCTCTCGGCCAATAATTTAAGTTATATGACTCTCCTCTTCTGCCTAGACACTGCTTAAAAGGGGCATTGTGTCATACATCTGGTTGACACCCCCAAGTTATGCAACTTTTCGTCCAGGAACTTTTCTACAAGTAGAATATTTGAAAAATTCTTGTTCAATAGTTAGGTGACTTGGCAGTCACACCTGCTTCATTACCACAGAGTAAATTGTGATATATAACTAGGCACAACTCACAGGCATAATAATGACTCTCATACCCCACAAATAGGAGTAATTTTGACTCTCACTACTTGCTTTAGAAACATGAGTGATTGAATCTCTCTGCTTTAAAAAAAGGCCACAGAAGATTATAATAGCCTCAGAAATTTTATAAAGCCCTTGGCTTGTACAGAGAGTGCAATAACAGAATACAACAGAGAGTGTGATAACAGAATACAGAGAGTGCATGGTGAGTCTCATACACACACTCAGCTGGCAGTAAAGACTGTCACCATCTCATATATATGAAGCCACATGTCACTCCTGAAAACAGGATATGTGTGGGATTGTAAATCTCATCCTGGGAATTTTCTGTAAGTGTGAGATAAATATTTGCCGAGTACCTTGTGATTGGACTCTCCAAACTTTTTTCATCCCACATATGTAATTGTGATATGTACCTTGAATAACCTCCAGGTGATGTGACTGTCCTGCCTGAGCCTTGCTGTCAGTAAGAATCATGACATACCACTAGATCCAGCACCCTGGTCATGTTACATTTTTGCCTGAGCCCTGCCTACAGAAATCACTGTGACATATCACTGTGTCAACAACTTAGGTCACATAAATCTCCTCATTAGAATGGTCCCTGTGCACTGTCAGGGGCAGTAACATACAGTTGGGCCAGGCACAAAGCTGATGATACTCTTTTGCTAGGGCCATGTCCTAAAAAGGGCATTATGACAAATTTCTGGGTCTTCACATAGGGGATTTTGCTCTACCGCTTGGGTCATGCTTACCTGTATAGTGACATGTTGCTAGGCTAGGCACAAATGTATTGTTATTCTTTCACCAGGGCCAAGTCTCAGGGGGATATTGTGAAATATCTCTGGCCCTATCACTTAGGTGATGTGACTCCCTGCCTGGGTCCTGCCAACATAGAGCATTGAAACATAGGGGCAAAAACTGCACCTATTTGCTCTAACTCTCTTGCCTGGGTCCTGTCCTAAGGGGACCTTGTGAGATAGCTCAGAATCCAGCATCAACGTGATGTAGCTCTTTTGCCTGCTTTCACCCCACATGTAAGACTGTGTCATATACCTAGGGAAGCACCTATATGATATGTGTTATGACTCTTCTCTTCTGCTTGAGCCCTGCCTACTTGGAATATTTGGCCATATATCTGAGCTCCTGTCCTAGGTGATGTGACCCTGCTTTTCTGCCAGAGACTTTACGATGAGGTAATGTGAAATATTGCTAAGCTTGATACTTAGGAGATATGACTCTTCCTTTTTTCCCAAACTGTGCCCGTGAAAAGGAATTCTGACATATTGCTGGGCCCAGCACCCAGATGATGTTCCTCTGCTGCCTTGGTCCTTCACAGAGAATTATGGCATACAGTTGGGCCCCCAACCCCGATGATGTAAGTTCCTGCCTGTGCCACAGCAACAGAAAGTATTTTAGCATATCTTGGTCCCATGTTGTAGGTGTGTTTGCTCTCATGATTTATCTGTTTTTCTTCCATATTCGGGATTGTGTTATATTGCTGGGTCTAGCACCCAGTTAATGTAACCCCCATTTCTACACCCTGCCTAGAGAGGGCATTGTGACACATTGCTTGGCACAATACCTAAATTGTGCTACCTTCTTGTCAAGTTTTTTCCTACAAATTGGATTATTAAATTTACATTCCTTCTATTCAGAGGGATGATGGTCAAATTTTAATTGGGATTACACCAATAATAGATATGTTGCCTCTCATCACTATGCTTATGGCAATAGGTAAGGTTATGAGTTGCATATTTGTACAAAACTCACAGAATGTTACAACACTAACTCATATTCTATAAACTTATTAGGACAGGGCCCAGCAAAAGGTTAAGATCATGATTCTTGGTTTCACATGCAGGTGAGAGCAAAAGTTATCACCATCCCACATTTACAGAGGCCACTGTCAAAGTACTGAGTATAACAAGTAAATAAAGAACAAAGATGGAATTTTGACTTTCATATATGGATCTTGCTACAGATGAGATGGTGGCTCATTTCTGGACCCAGATCACAGGCATAATAATCAGTCTCCCATCTGAACCCAGTCTATAAGAGAGATGCTGACTATCATAACTGGGTTTAAAGCAGTATATAAGATTATGAGTCAATACGAGCATGTATGCCTTAGAGTAGGTTGCTACTCTTATGCATGTTGCATAAAGCCTTCGGATGCTGCAGAATGTGTCATACGATGATCTAGAAAACACATGAGATTGTGACTCTCACATACACACCAAGCTAGCCCTTAAAGGTGTCACCCTAAAAGATGAAGAGATTGTGTCATATCTCTAGGCCCAGTACTCCTAGGTGTTGAGAATTTTCGGCTTAAATTCTTTACCATGGGTGCATTGTGACACATCACTGGGTTAAAATGATGAAAAGGTGACTCTTCCGCTTGGACCCTGGCACCAGGGGATATTATCACATATCTCTGGGTCTATCAGGTAGGTGATGTGTCTCTCCTCCCAGTGCCCTGCCCACAGGGGACACTGTGACATATTGCTAGATACAACATCTAGATAAAGCGAATCTCCTCTGCTGCCTGGATCCTGCCCACTGAAGAAATTGTGACATACCACTGAGTATAAAACCTAGATGATGTGACAGTACCCTTTGTTATGTACTCTGTCAAGAGAGGGAATTTTAATATGTTGTTGAACATGGCACCTGGAGGTGTGACTATCCACTATTTTTTCAACCATGTATACAGTGGGCATGATGACATATTATTTGAGATTGTACCCAAGTGATATAAGCCTCCGGTCTGGGTTGTGCCTACAGAGGAGATTATAAGGTATGCCTGGCTAAGGACCCAGATGATGTGATTCTACTGTCTTGTCTCTGCCCAAACATAAAATTGGGACTTACTCATGAAATCAGTTCATATGTGTAACAAAAACTTTCAAACGTTGACGCAGCCAAGGGAGATATTTTGGTTCTCGTTGCCAGTCTTATGGCCATGGATAAATTCTGAGACCTCCCACCTGTAACAATTCACAGAAAACTGTGCTACTCAGGTATATCACATAAATCATGAGTGGTACAAAGAGTTTCATAACAGGCACCAACAACCAGGTGCTATTTTGAGTCTTGGATGCACACCCAGCTGACACGATTTTCATTCTCATACATAAACAGAGCCTACAAATGAGGTACTAAATTTCACACACATAAGCAGTTGAAATCTTAAAATTGTAACTCTCATACATGAATCTGATCCGCAGTTGGTTTGGTGGCATTTGAACGATGATTCAGCAAGCCTGTGGTGCTTTGAATCTACTAGTGGAGCACAATCTTCAAGTGGGATTGGGGCTCTTATACATGCATCTTGCCCATTGTTGAGACTCTGATGTCTGTACTTCGACCCAACTCACAGGAGATGTTGACTCTTACACCCGAAGGCAGGACTTGTGTGGGACTATGAAATGTATTTCTGAACATTTTCGAGTGTGTGCTTTAGAAGTATGACTTTGCCCAGTATCTGACTGTTTTGAATCTCCTTTCTAGGCCCACAGCACAGTTCGGATTGTGACATATGTGTGCTAAGCACCTAAGCAATATATGATATCTTCTTTGGCAGAGGGACCAAGGACATCTTTACATATCCCTGAAAGAAGCACCCAGCTGATGCAAAACCTTGGCCGGAAGCTTGCCTACAAAGAGCACTGTGGCTTTCATCAAGGTCCATCATATAAGTGATGTGACTTCCTTCTACTGCCTTGGCCTTGCACTTCTAGTGCATTGTTACACATAACTGGGTACTGCACCCATGTGATGGGACCCTTTGTTTGGAGGGGGTAGATTCTACCAATATAAAAACTGTATAATATATCACTTGGCTCAGCACCTAGGTGATGTTTCTTCTCTCTTGACTGAGCCCTGACCACCAGAGAGATGGTGACATATAGGTGAAACCAGCACAAGGTGAGTTCACTCTCCTGCCTTGGTCATAAACATAGGGGCCATTGTGACATATACCCAAGCCAATTGCCTAGGTGAGGTTTGTGTCCTCTCCTGCCTAAGCCCTGCCCACAGGGGGTTTTAGATATATCACTGAAACCAACATCCGGGTTAAGTGACTCTTCTTCTAGAGGCCTGTACACAGCAAGGATTGTGACATTCAACTAGACAAGCATCCACTCAGGTGATGAGAATTTCCTTTTTTCTCCATGTTCACAGGTTATATTGTGTCATATATGTGAGAGCAGATCAAAGGCCTAATAACGACCATTGCACCTGGAGCCTGAAACTTTTTATAGGTGTTATTGTGACACTTTCCTTTGCCAATCTCCTGAGTGATTTAATAATCCTACTCAGTTATAGCTAACAGATGACATTTTGACATATACCTGGACAAAAGCGTGATGATTTGACTCTCATGTTTTAACAGTGTCCTCAGAAGGGATCATAACATATTGCTGGATTCATCCTCTAGGTTGTGTGTCTCTCCTCTCCTGCCTGAATCCTGATTCTAGTGAAGATTTTAGCATTTCTATGCACTGGATCCAAATGACACAATTCTATTGCATGGGCCCTTTTCAACAGGAGGCATTGTGACATATCTCTGGGGCCATGATTTAGGTGACATGACTCTACTCTCCTTCCTGGGCATTCTCCACAGGGGTATTATGCCATAGGGCTTTGCTTAAAACCCAAGTTTTGTGAATTTTCTGTTAGTGTCTTGCCTTCAAAGAGAATATTGGAATAATTCTGACTTAAAATTTAGGTGATGTGACTGTCCTGTCTGTTTAATAACCACAGAGGTAATGATGACATTTACCTAGGTACAGCTAACAGGCATGATAATGACTCTAATATGGGAACCCAGGCAATAAGGTAAATTTTGACTTTTGTCACAAGATTTTGAGACATGAGTGATGTTAAGGACCTTCATCTGGTAAAAAGCTCACAGAAAATCATAACAAACACACATAATTTATAACAACCTTGGGTTATATAGAGTGTCATAATAATGCCTAGCAGACAGAGAAAACTATGAGTCTCATATGCACACCCAAATAACAGTAAGGGCTTTCAACATCAAAGATGAATGAAAGCAACTATCCTACATAAAAAGAGGACATGTGTGGCATTGTAAATCTAATTCCTAGAATTTAATTCCATTGTGAATGTGATATAAATCTTTCCCAAGCACCTGTGTAATTTCACTCTTCAGATTGGGTCCAGCCTATATATGGAATTTTGATATCTACCTGGGCCAATTTTCAAGTGATGTGACACTTCCGCCTGGGCTGTGCTCTCAATAAGAATTGTGACATCACTGGATCCAGCACCCAGGTGATGTTACATTCTTGCTGCACTATGCCCACCCCCGATAATTCAATGTTATTTCACGTAGGTTCTTTTCTATTTCCCTAAGTGTTGGCTGGTCTGAGAAATAAAGGGAAAGAGTACAAAAGAGACAAATTTTAAAGCTGGGTATCCGGGGGAGACATCAGACGTTGGCAGGTTCCCTGATGCCCCCTGAGCCATAAAACCAGCAAGGTTTTATTAGCAATTTTCAAAGGGGAGGGAGTGTATGAATAGGGTGTGGGTCACAGAGATCACATGCTTCAAGGTCAACAAAAGATCACAAGGCAGAAGGTCGGGGTGAGATCATGAGATCAGGGCAACATTAGAATCACTAATGAACGTCCATGTCCAGCTGTGCACGCATTGTCATCTTAACAGGGTTCAAGGGCAGAGAACCGGTCTGACTAGATTTTGCCAGGCTGGCATGTCCTAATCCTAGCACGCCTGGGGATGCTGCTGGAGACTAGGGTGTATTTCATCCCTATCTATATCTGCATAAGGCAGACACTCCTAGGGTGTCCATTTTAGATGTTCCCCCCTGGGAATGCATTCTTTTCCCAGGGCTGTTAATTATTAATATTCCTTACTGGGGAAAGAATTCAGCGGTATTTATCTTACCCGTTTTCAGTAATAAGAGAAATATGGCTCTGTCCTGCCCAGCCCACAGGCCGCCAGACTTTAAGGTTATCTCCCTTGTTCCCTGAAAATCGCTGTTACCCTGTTCTTAAGGTGCCCAGATTTCATATTGTTCAAACACACCTGCCCTACAAACATTTTGTGCAGGTAATGCAATCATCACAGGGTCCTAAGGTGACATACATCCTCAGCTTATGAAGATGATGGGATTAAGAGATTAAAGTAAAGGCAGGCATAGGAAATTGTAAAAGTATTGATTGGGGAAGTAATAAATGTCCATGAAATCTTCACAATTTATGTTCTTCTGCCATGGCTTCAGCCAGTCCCTCTGTTCGGGGTCCCTGATTTCCCTCAACATCATTGTGACATTTCACTGTGTCCATCACTTAGAAGAGGATGCCAGGGTCATGTAACAAGAGGGCATTTTGACATATCATAGGCCTATCATGTAGGTGATATGGCTCTTCTGCTTGGGACCTGCCCACTTGAATAGTGACACATTGCCAGGCCAGGCACAAAAGTGATTGTACTCTTTTGCCAGGGCCATGCTTTAAAGAAGGCTTTATGACATATCTCTGAGCCTATCACCTAGATTATATGACTTCTTGCTTTGCCTTGTCCACATGGATCTTTGTGATATAAGGGTGGAATCTGCACCTAGGTGATATAACTCTCTTGTCTGGGTCCTGTTCTAAGGGGGACTTATGAACATGTCAGGGCCCAGGACCAGATGATGTGGCTCTTTAGCCTGGTTTCTGCCCACATATTAATTTGTGATATATGCAAAAAGAAGCACCTATGTAATATGACTCTCTCTTTCTGCCTGAGCCTTGGCTACTTGTGACATTGGGCCATATCTGAGCCCATCATGGAAGTGATGTGAATCCCTTCTGCTGCCTGGGTCCTTCATTTACAGTGCACTGTGACACAGAAGTGGGTACTGCACACAGGTGATGTGATTCTCCTTTTTGGGTTCTGCCAACAGGAAGTGATGTAACACATCACTTGGCTCAGCATGTAGGTGATGTTTCTTCACTTTTGCTTAGGCCCTGACCACACGGAGATTGTGGCCTGTTGCTGGACCCAGAAACAATGTGAAGGCACTCTCTAACATTGGTACTGCACATCAAAGACATTGTGAGACATATCTAGATAAATTCCTTAGGTCAAATGAGTGTCCTCTCTTGCTACAGTCCTGCCCACAGACGGGATTTGGATATGTCACTGCAGTCAGCATAAAGGTGATGTGGCTTTTCTGCCAGGGTCCTGCCCAGAAGGTGGATTGTGACATCTCACTGGTGCCACCTCCACATAGGTGACGTGACTTTCTTGCCTTCTCTATGGCCACAGTTGATATTATGCAATATACCAGAGAAAATTACAAAAGTCTAATAACAACTCATATGCCTGGTAATTGTGACAAGTACTTTTGCCCAGCTGCTGACTGACTTAGTATTTCTGCCTCTGTATAGCCCATAAATGAGATTTTGACAAATAACTGTGCCGCACATATTAATGATTGCTTGTGTTATCTTAACAGTGTCCGCAGGGGGGAATTGTTAACATATTTCTGGACACATATTATAGCTTACATGCCTCTCCTTTCCTGCCTGGACCCTGCTTCCTTTGGTAATTGTAGCTTTTCTAAACACTGTATCCAAATGATATGAATTTCTTGCTTGGGCCCTGCCAAAATGAGGCACTGTGACATATATTTGGGCCCATGATTTAGGTCATATAACTCTCCCCTCCTGCCTCGATACTGCTACAAATGACATTGTACCACATAGCTGAACCTAGAACACAAGTTATGTAAAATTTCTGACAGTACCCTGCCTATTAAGAGAATATTGAAATATTTCTAGCCCAGTATTTAGGTGATGTGGCTGTTCTGCCTGCTTCATAACCACAGAGGGAATTGTAGCATATACTAGGCATGGCTCACAGGAATTATGACTCTCATATGTGGGCTCAGCCAATAGAAAATATTTTGACTCATAACTAACTTTAGGGACATGCGTGATGTCTTGGATCTCCTTTTTCTGCAAAGATCACAAGAGATTACAACACTCCACATATTTTACAAGGTCTTTAGTTTATACAGACAGCATCAAAGCAGGGCTTGGCACACAGGTGAAATTGTGAGTCCTGTATACACACCGAGCCGTGTGTAAGGACTGTCATTATTTCACAAGGATTAAGCCAGTTGTCACACATAAAAGCAAGATGTGTGGTATTGTAAATCTCACCTTTGGAATTTTCTGAAAATGTGATTTTGATATAAATTTTTGCCAAGCTCCTGTGTAATTTGAGTCTCCAGGGTGGTCCTAGTCCATATATGGGATTCTGATATCTACTTAGGCCAAACTCTAAGTTATATGACTCTCCTTCATAGGCCCCTCTCTCAGTAAGGATTGTGATATATCACTGGATCTAGCACCCAAGTAATGTTACATTCTTGCCTGTGCCATGCCCACCCAAATTATAGTGACATATTTCTGTGTCCACCTCATAGGTGATGTAACTCCTTTCTCTGGAATGGGCCGTGCACAAAGGAAGGATAGTGACATATTGCAAGGCCAGGCCCACAGGCAAGGATACTCTTTTGGCAGAGCCTTGCCCAAAGGAGGGCATTTTGACATAACTCTGGACCTATCACCTAGGAGATGTGGCTCTCCTGCTTGGGACCTGCCAACCTCGAGGTGAAATATTTCTTGGCCATGCACATAAGTAGTAGTACTCTTTTGCCAGGGCTATGCTTCATAGAGGACATTGTGATATATCTCTGGACCTATCTCCTAGGTGAAGTGACTCCTTTTTTGGGCCCTACCCACATGGAACATTGTGGCATAAGCAGAGAAACTGCACCTAGGTGATGTAGCTCTCTCTGCTGGGGGCTGTTTTAAGAGAGCCTTGTGCTATATCTCAGGACCCAGCACCCAAGTGATGTGGCTATTCTGCCTGCTTTCTGACCACATATTACCTGTGACATATTCCATGGAAAGAACATAAGTGATACGGCTCTTGTCATCTGCCTGAGTCCTGCATCCTGGGGACATTGTGACATATCTCTGAGCCCATGACCTAAGTGATGTGACTCTTTTTCTGCCTGGGCATTCACAGTAGGAGGATTTGGGCACATTACTAAGCCCAGCACTCACAATATGTGACTCTCCCTTTTTTCCTGAATTATGCCACAATAAATGAAATTTTGACCTATTCCAGGGTCCATAGCCCAGATGATGTCACTCTACAACCTTGGTTCTGCATAGAGAGAAAATTATGACATATGGCATATTGCTGGGCCAAGCACCCTTATGATGTGACTCTCCTGCCCGTTCTTGAGCCAATGAAGGTATTTTGACATATCTTAAGTCCATTATCTAGGTGTTTTGGCTCTCATAACTTGACTGGGTTTTTTCTGCATGTGGGATGGTGTCATAATGATGGGTCCAGCACCCAGTTAATTTGACCCAATTTCTTATACCAGACATGGAAAAAGCATTGTTACATATTGCCTGGCAAAGCGTCTAAGTGATGTTACCCTTCTGCCTAGTTTTTTGCTCATATATGGGATTATGACATATGCCTTTCTTCAGTTCACAGGCATAATGATTAAACTTATATTTGGATTCAGCCAATTAAAAAATCTTTTGCCTCTCAGTGTTAGGCTTAGGGCAATAAGTAAGGTCCTGGGTTGCATATTTTTCCAAGCTCACAGAAGTCTACAACACTAACTTATATTGTATAAACTCTGCTGGTAGAGAGCTTTATAACAGGGCCTGGCAAAAAGTTCAGAATGGGACTCTCATTTACACACCCAGATGAAATTAAAAGTTGTCACCATCCCACATTTATAATGCCCACTGTAGAAGTTCTGAGTCTAATGAGGGAATACATCACAAATTTGAAATTGGACCTTTTTTTTTTTTATTTGGATCTGGACACAGATGGGATGGTGACTTATTTCTGAACCGAGCCCACAGGCATAATAATAGGTGTTCCTGGCTGGGTGCGGTGACTCATGACTGTAACCCCAGCACTTTGGGAGGCTGAGGCAGGTGGATCATGAGGTGAGGAGATCGAAACCATCCTGTCTAATACGGTGAAACCCCATTTCTACTAAAAATACAAAAAATTAGCTGGGCATCGTGGCACACACCCCTAGTCCCAGCCATCTGGGAGGCTGAGGCAGGAGAATCCCTTGATCCCAGAAGGCAGAGGTTGCAGTGAACTGAGATGGCACCACTGCACTCCAGCCTTGGTGACAGAGTGAGAATCCATCTCAGAAAAAAATAAATAAATAATAAAAAATAAATTAAAATAAATAAAATAAAATGGATCTTCTCTTTTAACACTGCCTATAGGAGAGATGTTGAGCATCATAACTCAGTTTAGGATGATAGGTAAGACCGTGAGTCCATATGAGCAAATAGGCCTCAGAGAGGTTTGAAACTCTCACACGGGTTTTATAAAGCCCTTAGATGTTTTTGAGAGTGTAATACATTGGTCCAGCACACACGTGAGATTGTGACTCTAATATACATGCTCAGCTAAAGGTTAAAGTCATCCTCAAAGATGAAGGGATGGTGTCATATCACTGGCCTAGTATCGTGGTATTGAGACTTTTTGCCTCAAATTACTTTCCATGGGTGCATTGTTACATATCGCTAGGTCAGAATCATAATAATGTGCCTCTTCTGCCTGGGCCCTGGTAACAGGGGATATAATCACAACTATCTGGGTCTATCAGATGCGTGGTTTGTCTCTCCTGCCTGTGCCCTGCCCCCAGAGAACATTTTGAAATACCACTGAAACTAATGTCCAAGTAATGTAACCCTCCTCTCTTGCCTGCATCCTCAGCCCAAAAGAATTGTGACATACGGCTGAATGTAAAAGCTAGGTGACATATCTCTCCTCTCTATGCAAGAGTATATGTTTGTGCTGCATTCTATTTCATTACTTCGTATTCTACCTTTATTCTACCAGTGCCAAAGTGCTTTGATTACTCTAGATTTTTGTATGTGTGTGTTTGGAAATTATTATGTGTAATGCTTCTAATATTTTTCTTCTTTTTAAAGTTTGTCAGGCTTTCCGTGGTCCCTTAAGATCTTACATAATTTTGTGAATTTTTTTCTATTTTTGGAAAACTCAAATTTAAAACTGAAAAGGGTCATGTTTTATATGTGGGTTACATTAAGCCACGAAGAAGCATGGACACATCACAATATTATGTCTTCCAACTCTTAAGAAGAGCATGCTCAAAATGTGTTGTTGGCCAGGTGTGGTGACTCATGCCTGTACTCTCAGCACTTTGGGATGCTGAGGAGGGTGTATGGAGACTTCAGGATATTGAGACCATCCTGGACAACATGGTGAAACCCTGTCTCTACTAAACTATAAAAAATATTTGTACTTTATGGTTGTGTGACTGTATTCTCAGCTACTCAGGAAACACGGTGGTTTGCATGCCTTTAATCCCAGCTACTCAAAAGGGTGAGGCTGGGGAACTGACTGAACCCGGGAGTTAGAGGTTGCAGTTAGCTGAGATTGTGTCAATGCCCTCCAGCCTAGGGACAGAGTGATACTCCATCTCAAAAACAAACACACACACACACACACACACACACACACACACACAAACTTTTCTCTGTTACGAATTTCTAGTTTTATTGCATTTGCACTATAAATACTTGTAAAATTTTAATTTAAAAAATTATGAAGTCTTTTGTGGTGTCACACGTGGTCCACCTCACAAAATGATTTGTTAGCTATTGAAAAGAATGTGTGTTCAGTTTTCTATATATATTTGTTAGGTGTAATTATTGCATAGTGCATTCAACTTGTTCCTTCCCTTATTGATATTCTGTCTTGTTTTATTTATTCCTAAAAGCGGGATATTGATGTACCCTTCCATTATTATATTGCTGTCAATTTTGGCTTCAATTTTGTCAATGTTTACTTAATGTGTTTGAGAAAACTTTCATATATTTATAGATTCTCAGTGAATGATCTCTCTTACTAGAATTGAATGTCCTACTTGGTCTCTTGTAAATTGTCTTAAAGAAAATTTGGGGCGGTTCCAAGTGGCCGAATAGGAACAGCTCCAGTCTACAGCTCTCACATGAGTGATGACAAAGATGGCTGATTTCTGCATTTCCAACTGAGGTACCAGGTTCATCTCACTGGGGCTTGTCAGACAGTGGGTGCAGGACAGTGGGCACAGGTCACTGAGCATGAGCCAAAGCAGGGCGAGGCATTACCTCACCCAGGAAGTGCAAGGGATCAGGGAATTCCCTTTCCTAGCCAAGGGAAGCTATGACAGACATCACCTGGAAAATCGGGTCACTCCCAGCCTAATACTGCACTTTTCCAATGGTCTTAGCAAATGGCACACCAGGAGATTATATCCCACGCATGGCTTGGAGGGTTCCACACCCATGAAGCCTCACTCGTTGCTAGCACAGCAGTCTAAGATCAAACTGCAAGGTGGCAGCAAGGCTGGGGGAGGGGGATCCGCCATTGCTGAGGCTTGAGTAGGTAAACAAAGTGGCACAGAAGGTTGAACTGGGTGAAGCCCACCACAGCTCAAGGAGGCCTGCCTGCCTGTGTAGACTCCACCTCTGGGTGCAGGGCATAGCTGAACAACAGGCAGCAGAAACCTCTGCAGACTTAAAAGTTCCCATCTGACAGCTTTGAAGAGAGTAGTGGCTCTCCCAACAAAGAGTTTGAGATCTGAGAAAGGACAGACTGCCTCCTCAAGTGAGGCCCTGACCCCCAACTAGCCCAACAGGGAGGTACCCCCCAGCAGGGACAGACTGCAGCAGGGACAGACTGACACCTCACATGGCCGGGTATCCCTTTGAAATGAAGCTTCCAGAGGAACGATCAGGCAACAATATTTGCTGTTCAGCAATATTTGCTGTTCTGTCACCTCCACTGCTGATACCCAGGAAAACACGGTCTGGAATGGACCTCCAGCAAATACCAACAGACTTGAGGATCCTGACTGTTAGAAGGAAAACTAACAAACAGAAAGAACATCCACACAAAAACCCCATCTGTACGTCACCATGATCAAAGACCAAAGGTAGATAAAACCACAAAGATGGGGAAAAAACAGAGCAGAAAAGCTGAAAATTCTAAAAATCAGAGCACCTCTCCCCCTACAAAGGAATGCAGCTCCTCACCAGCAATGGAACAAAGCTGGATGGAGAATGACTTTGGTGAGTTGAGAGAAGAAGGCTTCAGACTTCTCCAAGCTAAAGGAGGATGTTTGAACCCTCCACAAAGAAACTAAAAAACCTTGAAAAAAGATAAGACAAATGGCTAACTAGAATAACCAGTGTAGAGAAGTCCTCAAATGACCTGATGGAGCTGAAAACCATAGCACAAGAACTACACAATGAATGCAGAAGCTTCAGTAACTGGTTCAATCAACTGGAAGACAGGGTATCAGTGATTGAAGATCAGATGAATGAAATGAAGTGCAAAGAAAAGTTTAGAGAAAAAAGAGTAAGAAGAAATGAACAAAGCCTCCAAGAAGGATGGGACTATGTGAAAAGACCAAATCTACGTCTGATTGGGGAGAAGGGAACCAAGTTGGAAAACACTCTGCAGGATATTATCCAGGAGAACTTCCCCAACCTAGCAAGGCAGGCCAACATTCAAATTCAGGAAATACAGAGAACGCCACAAAGATACACCTTGAGAAGACCAACTCCAAGACACATAATTGTCAGATTCGCCAAAGTTGAAATGAAGGAAAAAATATTAAGGGCAGCCAGAGACAAATGTCGGGTTACCCACAAAGGGAAGCCCATCAAGCTAACAGCTGATCTCTCAGCAGAAACTCTATAAGCCAGAAGACAGTGGGAGCCAATATTCAACATTCTTAAAGAAAAGAATTTTCAACCCAGAATTTCATATCCAGTCAAATTAAGCTTCATAAGTGAAAGAGAAATAAAATCCTTTAGAGACAAGCAAATGCTGAGAGATTTTGTCACCACCAGGCCTGCCTTACAAGAGCTCTTGAAGGAAGCACTAAACATGGAAAGGAACAACTGGTACCAGCCACTGCAAAAACATGCCAAATTTTAAAGACCTTCGATGATAGGAAGAAACTGCATCAACTAATGAGCAAAATAACCAGCTAACATCATAATGACGGGATCAAATTCGAGCATAACAATATCAACCTTAAGTACAAATGGGTTAAATGCTCGAATTAAAGACAGAGACTGGCAAATTGGATAAAGAGTCAAGACCCATCAGTGTGCTGTATTTAGGAGACTCATCTCACGTGCAGAGACACACGTAGACTCAACATAGATGGATGGAAGAAGATCTACCAAGCAAATAGAAAAAAAGGGGGGTGGAAGGGTTGCAATCCTGATTTCTGATAACACAGACCTTAAAACAACAAAGATCAAAAGAGACAAAGAAGGCTGTTGCATAATGGCAAAGGGATGAATTCAATGAGAAGAATTAACTATCCTAAATATATATGCACCCAATACAGGAGCACCCAGATTTATAAAGCAAGGCGTTAGAGACCTACACAGAGGCTTAAACTACTACACAATAATAATGGGAGACTTTTTAACACCCCACCATCAACATTAGACAGATTAATGAGACAGAAAGTTAAAAAGGATATCCAGTAATAGAACTCAGCTCTGCACCAAGCGGACCTAATAGACATCTACAGAACTCTCCACCCCAAATCAACAGATATATGTTCTTTTCAGCACCACATCACACTTATTCCATAATTGACCACATAGTTGGAAGTAAAGCACACCTCGGCAAATGTAGAAGAGCAGAAATTATAAAAAACTGTCTCTCAGACCATAGGGCGATCAAACTAAAACTCCGGATTAAGAAACTCACTCAAAACTGCTCAACTACATGGGAACTGAACAACCTGCTCCTGAATGACTACTGTGTACATAAGAAAATGAAGGCAGAAATAAAGATGTTCTTTGAAACCAATGAGAACAAAGACACAACATATCAGAATCTCTGGGATACATTTAAAGCAGTGTGTAGAGGGAAATTTATAGCACTAAATGCCCATAAGAAATCATGAAAGATCTAAAGCTGACACCCTAACATCACTATTAACAGAACTAGAGAAACAAGAGCAAACACATTTAAAAGCTAGCAGAAGGCAAGAAATACCTAAGATCAGAGCAGAACTGAAGGAGACAGAGACACAAAAAACACTTCAAAAAATCAGTGAATCTGGGAGCTGGTTCTTTGAAAATATCACCAAAATTGATAGACTGCTAAGCAAGACTACTAAAGAAGAAAAGAGAGAAGAATCAAAGAGACACAATAAAAAGTTATATAGGGGATATCACAACCGATCCCACAGAAATGGTAACTACCCTCAGAGAATACTAGAAACACCTCTATGCAAATAAATTAGGAAATCTAGAAGAAATGGATAAATTCCTTGACAAATACACCCTCCCAAGACTAAACCAAGAAGAAGTTGAATCCCTGAATAGACCAATAACAGACTCTGAATTTGAGACAATAATTAATCCCTATGAACAAAAAAAAGTCAAGGACGAGACAGATTCACAGCCGAATTCTGCCAGAGGTACAAGGAGGAGCTGGCACCATTCCTTCTGAAACTACTCCAATCATTAGAAAAAGAGGGAATCCTCCCTAATTCATTTTATGAAGCCAACAACATCCTGATACCAAAGCCAGCCAGAGACAGAACAAAAAAGAGAATTTTAGACCAATATCCCTGATGAACATCAATGGAAAAATCCTCAGTAAAATACTGGTGAACCGAGTTTAGCAGCACATCAGAAAGCTTATCCACCACGATCAAGTTGGCTTCATCCAGGGGATGCAAGTCTTGTTCAACATATGCAAACCAATAAACGTAATACAACATATAAACAGAACCAAAGACAAAAACCACATGATTATCTCAATAGGTGCAGAAAAGGCCTTTGACAAAATTCAGCAGCCCTTCATGCTAAAAACTCTCAATAAATTAGGTATTGATGGGACGTACCTCAAAATAATAAGAGCTATTTATGACCAACCCACAGCCAATATCATACTGAATGTGCAAAAACTGGAAGCATTCCCTTTGAAAACTGGCACAAGTCAGGGATGGTCTCTCTCACCACTCCTGTTCAACATAGTGTTGGAAGTTCTGGCCAGGGCAATCAGGCAGGAGAAAGAAATTAATGGAATTCAATTAGTAAAAGAGGAAGTCAAATTGTCCCTGTTTGCAGATGATATGATTCTATATTCAGAAAACCCCATTGTCTCAGCCCAAAATCTCCTTAAGCTGATAAGCAACTTCCACAAAGTCTCAGGATGCAAAATCAATGTACAAAAATCACAAGCATTCTTATACACCAATAACAGACAAACAGAGAGCCAAATCAAGAGTGAACTCCCATTCGCAATTGCTTGAAAAAGAAGAAAATACCTAGGAATCCAACTTACAAGAGATGTGAAGGACCTCTTCAAGGAGCTCAAATCACTGCTCATTAAAATAAAAGAGGACACAAACAAATGGAAGAACATTCCATGCTCATGGATAGGAAGAATCAATATCGTGAAAATGACCATACTGCCCAAGGTAATTTATAGATTCAATGCCATCGCCATCAAGCTACCAATGGCTTTCTTCACAGAATTGGAAAAAATTACTTTAAAGATCATATGGAACCAAAAAAGAGACTGCATTGCCAAACGATCCTAAGCCAAAAGAACAGAGCTGGGGGCATCACACTACCTGACTTCAAACTATACTACAAGGCTACAGTCACCAAAACAGCATGGTACTGGTACCTAAATAGAGATATAGACCAATGGAATGGAACAGAGCCTTCAGAAATGATACCACACAACTACAGCCAATTGATCTTTGACAAACCTGACAAAAACAAGAAATGGGGAAAGCATTCTCTATTTAATAAATGGTGCTGGGAAAACTGGCTAGCCATATGTAGAAAGCTGAAACTGGATCTCTTCATTACAGCTTATACAAAAATCAATTCAAGATGGATTAAAGACTTAAATGTTCTACCTAACACCATAAAAACCCTAGAAGAAAACCTAGGCAGTACCATTCAGGACACAGACATGGGTAAGGACTTCATGTCTAAAACACCAAAAGCAATGGCAACAAAAGCCAAAATTGACACATGGGATCTAATCAAACTAAAGAGCCTCTACACAGCAAAAGAAACTACCATCACAGTGAACGGGCAACCTACAGAAGGGGAGAAATTTTTTGCAATCTACTCATCTGACAAAGGGCTAATATCCAGACTCTACAAAGAACTCAAACAAAGGTAAAAGCAAAAACAAACGACCTCATCAAAAAGTGGGTGAAGTATATGAACAGACACTTCTCAAAAGAAGACATTTATGCAGCCAACAGACACATGAAAAAATGCTCATCATCATGGCCAAAAAAGAAATGCAAATCAAAACCACAATGAGATACCATGTCACACCAGTTAGAATGGTGATCATTAAAAAGTCAGGAAACTGCATGTGTTGGAGAGGATGTGGAGAAATAGGAACACTTTTACACTCTTGATGGGACTGTAAACTCGTTCAACCATTGCGGAAGACAGTGTGGTGATTCCTCAAGGATCTAGAACTAGAAATATCATTTGACCCAGCCATGCCATTACCGGGTATATACCCAAAGAAGTATAAATCATGCTGCTATAAAGACACATGCACACGTATGTTTATTGTGGAACTATTCACAATAGCAAAGACTTGGAACCAACCCAAATGTCCAACAATGATAGACTGGATTAAGAAAATGTGGCACATATACACCATGGAATACTATGCAGCCATAAAAAAGGATGCATTCGTGTCCTTTGTAGGGACATGGATGAAGCTGGAAACCATTATTCTCAGCAAACTATTGCAAGGACAAAAAAAACAAACACCACATGCTCTCACTCATAGGTGGGAATTGAACAATGAGAACACTTGGACACAGGATGGGGAACATCACACACCAGGGCCTGTCGTGGGATTGGAGATAGGGGGAGGGATAGAATTGGGAGATATTCCTAATGTAAATGATGAGTTAATGGGTGCAGCACACCAACATGGCACATGTATACATACCTACCAAACTTGCACGTTGCGCACATGTACCCTAGAACTTCAGGTATTAAAAAAAGTAAATTTTATGAAATATCAGAGTTTTCAACTTAATAACTTGTTTCCTCTTTTCCACTCATTGGGTTAACACTTACATGGAATGTATTTCTCATCCTGTCATTTTCTGTCTTTTTTTAAATTAGATCTGAAGTGATTCTCTTGAAGACATGACATAGTTGATCTTAATATACATCATGATATAGTGAGAATTTTTTTTTTTTTTTTCGTTTTGAAGGTTACTTTTGCTGGGTGTGGTATTCTTGCTTAGACTCTTTTTTTCAGTGTTTTAACTATGTCATCCTGCTCCCATCTTGCCCAAAAAATTTATGTTCATAAATTTACTTGTAATCTTGCAGAAGCATGCATACAAATAACACATCTCTTTTATCTTCTTGCATTCCAGATTCTCTTCTTGTCTGTGAATTTCAAAATATTGTTTATGTTGTGTCTTATTAGAAATATTTTTGTGTTAATCTTCATTGTTATTTGCTGAGCTTCTTGATTTCTTATATTTTTTACTAATGTTGAAGTCCATGTTAGTTTTTTTTTGGTACTTCTACTCTACAATTTTTATTTCTTTTTGTGATCTTTATCTTTGGTGAATTCCTTTTTGTTATTTCATTTTTTATCTTTATTCTCATTTTCTCTTTCAGATGGTAATATTGATTTTTAGGGTAATTTTTTTCTTTTAAATATAGATCTAGACTTCAATTCAAATTATCACAGCTAATTTTTAAAACTCCATCTTTAAATAATTGTTTTCTGTATATTCCTTTTTATGTTTGATTGATCCATATTATCTTGATGTATTTCAATGTTTGCCTCACTGTCTAGGTGGGGAAGTTATCATGGATGATATTCCAAAATATGTATTTCAAGTTGTTTTCATTCCCCCCATCACTTTCAGGCACTCTCTTTAATCATGTATTTGGTTACTTTACATAATTAAATATTTCTCAGAGGTTTTGTTCATTTCTATTTATTCTTTTTTTACTATTCTTGTCTCTATTATTTCAGAAAGCCAGTCTTGAAACTCTGAAATTCTTTCTTCTGCTTAGCCAATTCTGCAGTAATATGTGTGAATAAATTATAAAGTTTTGTATTCTGTTTTTCAGCTTTATCACACTGGCCACATTTTCCTCCAGATTGTTTGTTTTATCTGTCAGTTTCTGCAATTTTCCCTTCCTTGCATTGGTTTGCAACTTACTTTTGTAGCTCAATGAAGCTTATTTCTATTCACATTCTGAATTCTATTTCTGTCTTCTTAGGTCTTGCTGGAAATGTAGGTTGGTTATTTGGATTAAATAAGTCACTCTAGCTTTTTTTTTTTTTCCCCAGCAGTTTTGCATTGATTTTGTCTCATCTTTGTAGGCATATATTTGAGGTTGCTGAACTTTGAATGAAGATTTTTTAATCATATTTTGATGTTCTTGAGTATCTGATTGTGGCATAAGGTGCTTTCATCCAACAGGCTTTGTTCTTGGGAGAAGTTTTTATTTTTTTATTTTTATTTTTTATATTTTTTGTGGAGGGGTTGGGGGAAGTGCTCAGCTCACAACTCAGAGGCTTCATACTCAGCGGGAATTGTATTGAGCCCCAACTCTCTTCCCTGTCTCTTTGATATTTGGAGTCTGCCACCCTGTTGGACTAAGTTTCTGCAGCTTCAGCAGAGTGCTAGTGGATATGGAGTTTCTGCCTGTCTTCACTTATTCATCTCAGTAGCAGGAGCAATGTAGCTGGGATGGGAGTAGGTGCACCTGCTGGAGACTGTGTGCTGTTGCAATAAATGTGGTGTTAGCATGTGGTAGGATGCTGACCAATGAAGGTTTGAAGCCTTCTTTTTGCCCCCTAAAGAAGAAGTGATTGTTCAGAATGTGGGAGGATACACTGTTCTCTGCACAGTGTTAGCATAAAGGTAGCAGTGAGTCTTTTTGGCTCTCTGCCCACCAAAGCTTTATCTACAATGGCAGCTGCTGGGTTGGCAGGAGCATACTGCATTCCCGTTTGCTAGTGGGCCAAGCAAAGCCAAATCTGCCTTTGAAGACATGTGCCAGTAAAGTAATATGAGGAGTTGCCATGTTTTCGAGGGAAAGTGCAGTGTGGGAAAGAAACATGTGGGCTGCTGCAGTCATAGGGGCTGCCTAGCTGTTGCTCTTCAGGAGTTATATGTGACCTACCAGTGCAGATGGTATGGTATGGGCTCTCAGTGTGCCTGAGACTGGCCTGTAAGGATCTGGGTGCCTGGGAGAGGCGGTAAACCACGGAGTGCTCAGTTAGACAAGCTTCTGATTTTCAAAGCTATATTACAGTAATTAGGTCCAACACTTCCCTAGGGCAAAACTCTCTTATGTGAAAAAGTTGCTGGTAGAGAAATGGCCATCACTGGCCACACCTTACTACAGATGCCCTTGCACCAAACCCTCTGGTCACCACATAAGCTGGCTTGCTGCCCTACCTCTTTGCTGGTTTTCTGAAGGCTGCATCTAAGAGAGATGTAGGTCAGCAATCCCTCAGTACAGTCAGCCCATGATGAAAGATCTGTGATTTTGGTCAAGTTAGGGGTCAACTGTCTGGTGAGGAGCAGTGGGTAGTTTGTGGGACCCATGGTGAATGAACTGGCCTCCTCTCCTTGGGTAAACTGCAGCTTGTTTGATGTTTGAATAAGACACTCAGGGTTTTGGATTTTTCACTAGTCTAAGGGTAGCAAGGAAAGTTCTACTATAGAGGCAGTGGCAGAAATATTTTCAGTCGTTACTGGGGTCCCTGTCCAGGGAGTCGCTAAGTTGCTACTATCTCAATACCTCTGGCAGTGATTGGCTAGTGGCCCAGGCCTGGAGAACCTGTCCAGTGAGAATATATGAGAACAGGCACTCACATAACAGTATGGCCACTTTTCTGAAGGGCTGCCTCAGTATGCGAGGTGTCCATTGCCATTCCTAGTCACCTAAGATTTTCCAGTACTTGAAGTTACCACCACTGAATGTTGCTAAACTAAATAATTGCAGCGTGCCTTTTTTTTTCTGGGTGCTCAATCCCAGGGAGGTATAGACCTCTTTCCAACCCAATAGCACCTATAAGAGGTAGCTGGAATCCCTTGTTGAAATTTCTTACTCAGTAAAGAGAACGTAATTGGGGAGCCACTTAAGAAAGCAGTCTAGCAACATTTTCATAGTACGTCTCTGCTGTGCAGAGGTACCACTTCCATCCACAGTTTATTTGGATTCTCCAAAGCCAGAAGGCTGGAACAGCCAAGTCACACACATAGGAAAAATTGCTGCTCACTCTTCCCTCTAGCAATTATATCACAAAGAGGTTTCAAAATTCCATCGACCAAAGATCGTGGTCTTTGATCACAGCTACTACCAGTGGTGGTAGCTGCTCACTCTGGTTAGGAAGTCCTTTCCAGTTGCAAGAAATGAGATTGGGTACCTGATTTAACAGGCATTCTGGCCATGTCTTTTTAGAGCACCTATACTGTGCTAGGAGATTCTTTATTCCCCACGTTAGCTTGGGCTTTTTAAAGCCTGAAGGCTGGAATGCCTAAGTTGCCCAAGCAGCTAAGGTGGTGTCCCACTCGACTTTCTGATAGCTCCATGCCAGGGAGGTCCAGTGCTGCTACCAATGGGCTGACCAGAATGCTAAGCCAATAAGTCTTACCCTGTGGGGCACTGTGGGCATGGGTCCTAAGACCTAAGACCATGACTGGTCAGCCTCATGGATTCTGTCTCTTTTCTATGAATACTTACAGAAGTACAGATTCCTGCTTTACTGGAGTTGCAACTACTTTTTCTGGGAAGCCTGGAAAAACTGAGTACCTAAAGTTCTTGAATCTCTGCACAGGCCTCAGCAGCTGATCTCTGAGACTCCACGTAGCTCTGTGTGTTCAACTGAAGGCCTTGATGAAGCAGGTTCATGAATAGATCTCCTCACCTGAGGGTTGCAAAGATCTGTGGGAGAATCGTGGGTTCCCAGGGTCACACTTATACCCACTGCTTTATTGAGTGGGAATGTTTTCTTGGTTCCATGTTGTTCCCAGGTGGTTCACTGTCCTGCCTTGCTTTATTCCATTCTCCATAACTTAAGTTGTTTGATTTTTCCCAATGCAAGCACCTGGGTGTTTCAGTTGAAGGTGATGTATTTATGCACAACTTGCATTCCTCTCTATGAGAACTACACAGACTAGCTGCTTCTCATCAGCAGTCTTGATCACTTTCCTATAACAGGGACCTAGTTTTTAATATTAAAATAATTTAATATTTTTCAAAAGCAAATATTGATGTAATTTAACTCTTACATTTGTTGCTATGTCTTCATATCTAAAATATATGGGAAAGAACATGGACAATTGTTGCTCCACCAGAGTTATGAGAGGTTCTTCCATATTAGATGGACAGATTTATCTATTTTGCAATGGAAGACTAAGAAAACTGAAATCTAATATACATGAAAAATTTCTAAGTGAAAAGGGCAAGTACTGGTTGGTTTATAACAGTATCATAGTGACAGGATGATAGGAGTGTGGTAAGTGCTCAGGATAATATTATGCATAGTAATAGGAACAATTTGAATTTTAAACAAAAATTGCTTTACCATTTGCAAATTAAGGTAATTAAAATACAGTGAATTTAAAAATACCTTTTTAATGACAATGTGTGGACTTAATTTTTTTCAAATTAACCAGAATTGTTGTTATTGTGTTAAGGCTATTTTATATTGAATGTGTGTCTTGCCACTGATGTTATCGTATCTTACTCAAAGCTGTAAGTAACAGATGGTGACAATTTGCTATAGGGTCACAGTGAAATAACGTCTGTAGTCATTCTTTTGTCAGTGGTCTTTAACTTAAAATAATTTGGAAAATATGGTTTTTACAACTTACATTTATGTTTTTCTTGTAACTAAAGGTGATTATGATGGCTCTAATGGAGATTATATGAGTATAATGGAGCTACAGTCTTCTGAATTCTGAACAAGTGTTTACAAAATTTTATCCTACTTTTTTCTATTAAACATATGACTTCTCTGGTCTGCTAAACACATAAAGACCTTTAGCTTTAGTTTACATGAATTTAAATATAAGAGATATATTACTGTAAAATAAACTTTAGGTGTGTAACAGATCTATAGCAAGTAATGAGAGTTATTTATGGCTGTGTATCTACTTTGAGAAGGAAAGAAAAATGTTAGAATGCAACAGATAATTTTACAAGTGTTGATAACTTATCACCAAATAAAAAACTTCAACAATTTTGAAAGCAAATCTATTTTCTCAGCTTTGTGTTAAACTCATTTATTTAAAATATTATTGCTCCTGGCTTAGAAAAATCTTGGGCAAATTCTGCTTTTTATGTTTGTCCCTTTGCCTGTTGCTAACTGTAGACATAATGTATAATTCTCTTTTCAGAAAATTCCGCAAAACATTCTTTGGTGTGGGTGCAGTGGCTGACATCTGAAATCTCAGCACTTTGTGAGGCTGAGACAGGTGGATCACCAGAGACCAGGGGTTCAACACCAGCCAGGCCAACATACTGAAAGCCCATCTGTACTAAAAATACAAAAATTATCTGGGTGGGTGCGTGTAATCCCAGCTACACAGGAGGCTGAGGCAGAAGAATCACTTGAAACTGGGAAAGAGAGGTGGCAATGCACCTTCTGGAGCTGCAGGGTGGGCACTGCGCAGTGGCTTGGTAAAAGGAGGGTGAGCAGCCTCTCACTGAGGGGATTTCATTGCCCCTTATTCTGATGGGCAAATTGAGCCCCCAAAGCCACAAGCCAAGAGGGGCAAAAGCACTCATCTGAGGCAAGAACCTTTTTCTTTACAGGCTCCCTTAAGTTTCAGACTTCCCTGGGCTTGCCTGAATCCTCTCTGGGCTTGCCTTTAGAAAAAAGATTCTTCTTCCTTCTGATTGTAGGCAGAGAAGCAACCAGTCAGTTGTGGTAAGCCCACCCACAGCTTCTTTTGTGGGCCAACCTGGGCCTCTACACTCTACTGGACTGTAAAACAGAAATTCTAGAGTCCAGAATTCACATTTTGTTCTAGAACAAGAGTTAAGCACCCAGGCCAGAGCAAAAGTGGGCCTGTTAATTCCGTGGCACAAATCCCAAATCAGAGAACTGGCTTGACTGTCCAGCTACACCCAGGCAGGGTTTGTACTGTTTCAAGTTGGTCCCATTCTCTTCCTGCCTCCTCAGCTACACCCAGGCAGGGTTTGTACTGTTTCAAACAGGTCCCATTCTCTTCCAGCCTCCCGTAACTTGCCATCTGTATCAGCTGTTTCTCTACCCTCCACACCCTATAATTTTTGAAATTCCTCTGAAGACTGCCTGAGCCAAACATCAAGGGTCACAGAGCTCTAGCCTACTCAGGCTGTGCCAGGAAGGGAGAGCTCACAACCTACCTTGACACTTAAGAGTCATGTACAAATAGTAGCAACTCTAGGAGGAGGACTGTCACATACTCAGATCCTTTTCTGGTCTCCATAACAAAAGATATGTCAGAATGGCAAGGATAATAATACACAACCCTGGCAGTTCTCCCTTTTAAAGGGCAGCCTCAGCCTGGTCATTCTGAACCACAATTTTAGGGTTTATTTCAGCATGTCCCACCTTGTAAAATAGTACTGGAGCCCCAGAATGATATGATTGAGTGAAATTCTGGAGAAGGAGCACCTCAGCAGCCTGAATGAACCTATAATAGGAACAGATCCTACCAGCTAAGAAGCCATCTCATTAACTTAGATATCCATACCAGCAACGTGCACACACATCAGCCCCTTAAATAAAATCCTGTCAATGGAGTGATTCAGGTAAAAGCAAAAATTTGTTTATCTAGAGTCTCAGGAAGAAGAACCTCTGTTGTCTGAATCAGAATATATGATGGATGCAACTGACAGTGTTAACTTTACTTGGGGATAGCTGGACATTAACCTTACATTAAAAGTGCTTCTGAGTGTTAAAACTTCCAAGTGACAAAAATCAAATTGTGGCCTGGCTGGGAGCAGTGGCTAATGCCTGTAATCCCAGAACTTAGTTAGTCCAAGCCAGGTGGATCATCAGAGGTCAGGAGTTCAAGATCAGCCTGACCAACATGGAGAAACCTCTTCTCTACTAAAAATACAGAGTTCAAGATAAGCCTGACCAACATGGAGAAACCTCTTCTCTACTAAATATACATCAGCCAGAGATTGTGGAACTTGCCTGTAATCCCAGCTACATGGGAGGCTGAGACAGGAGAAGATCATGCCATTGCACCCCAGCCTGGTCAACAGAGTGAGATTTTGTCTCAAAGAAAAAAAAAATCTAGTAGTGGCCAACCTAGAAGTTATTCTTTACCTATGAGGAACGTCTGAGACCCTGGTCTGTCCTATCCTGTGGCATGGAACACGGGCCACACAGAGGATTGAAGCCCTTTCATTTTTTGTTAAATAAAGGCTGACAGATGAAAGGTTGTTCAGACAAATGTGTTAAATAAAAATACTATACTAACTATAGGCTTTTTGCAAGTGGCTGTTGTTATCCTACTAAGCCCACTGACACTGGACTTTCTCCACTTTATGTAAGTCCAAAGTAAAACTCCATATCTCATTCACTGGTTCTGAGTCTATTCTTTGACATCTTGAACCTCAAAACTCACCAAAGCATCAGCTATAGATGCAATTGTTCTCTTTACTACTCTCATTCAAGCCTCTTTTTTCAGATGAACTTTCAGTGGAATACCAAGAAAGATGAACATGAAACACATCGTGGTCAGATGTAAGATTGATGCCAGAATAGGCAGTGACCACTTTCAAAGCAAAAGGGAGCATTTTTCTTTCCCCATGAGCAGCTCTCAACTTCTGTCATCATTTTCTGGTTTCAGTAATGGTTACATCCTGGCTCTGGAGGAACCATTGGCCCTGGGTAATAAACATCTTCACTTAATCCTGGTGCAAAAAAGCTTTCTTTTGACAAATATGTCCTCTGTGATCACGAGCTTCTAAGCAATCTGGACAATGCCCAAACCAAAAAAAAAAAAAAAAAAAACTATGAAAGAGAGATGAGTAGGTGTTAGGGAAACAACTTTCCACTTTTTTCTTTTGGCAAATTCAAACAATTTTGATGGTAGACAGATGTGCAGAAGAGGACAGCATAGTATAATTCCTCATCACATGAGTTTACAACCAAGAGTTTTCAGTCCTAACTATGAGAGCTCCAGATGAAAACCAGAAGTTACTTCACTGTACATCTATTAATGTCTGATTGCACAGCTTTTTTTTATCATACTGAGGAGCCTTCACTGAGTATTTTTCCATTGAACATGTAGAGATAAACAGGAAAAGATAAAATAACAACTCCATAAATTTATTAAACAAGGTGTAGAAATGTTTATCTTCTCATATTATTACCATTTTCACACACACATAATTGCATGTATATCTACCCATAAAGCTGAAATTTTCATAATAAATCTGTTATATGTCAAGTTTAAATTCAAAAAATATTTTTCAGTCAGTCGTGGTGGCTCACACCTGTAACCCTAGTACTTCAGGATCCTGAGGTGGATGGATCACTTGAGGTCAGGGGTTTCAAACCAGCCTGGTGAAACTATGTCTCCACTAAAAATCCAAAAAAAAAAAAATTTTTCTGGGGATGGTGGTACATGCCTGTAATGCTACTTGGGAGGCTGAAGCCAGACAAGTTCTTGAATCTGAGATGTGGAGGCTGCAGTGATCCCAGATTGTGTCACCACACTGCAGGTGGAGTGACACCGCAAGATTCTGTCTCAAAAACAGACAAACAGAAAAATATTTTTTCTTTCTTACAACAAAAAGACACACATGTGTTCTAGATATGCCCTGGTGGAGTGGAGTGGGTGTGGAGCCTGTCTTTGTAAAGAAGGAAGAAGGGCCAGTACCCAGGATTATGTGTGAAGGATGAATTGGCACACAAATAAAGGGGCAGCCAGGCCCTTGGCCTAGCAACACTGAAGCTTACAGGTGGCTTCGGAAAGCAGGATAAATAGCCCGTGGACTTAATGCTAGATGGCTCTGTAACAATGAAACATCTGCCCAGGGATCTTAGCAATCCTGCTAGAAGGCCCTGACTATACCCTGGATTGGAGATACCTGAGGTAGAGTGGCTGCCAGAGAGCCTGAGCAAACACCAGTTTTGACCACTATGGCTGGGTCAATCTAAAATAGCTTATCTCTTCTGATTTACAATACAAAATATAGAAAAATAAAGTGAAAAAAGTAAAATCAAGAGAAAAAAATTAAAAAATAAGTTTAAAGTAATTAAAAATAGTAAAGACAAATAAACTGAAACAAAATAGAGAAAAATAAAGAGAAATGTAATTAAGATCAGGGAAAGTAAATAAAATGAAGATGAAGAAAATAAATACAATAAAATTAAGAGAAATAAACAGAAATGAAACAATTTGCAATAGAATAAAATAAAACTTTATGAATCAGGAGAAAAAATAAAAGTAAAAATAAAGATAAATATGGAGAAATAAAATAAAATAATATAAAGGGATAAGAATGGGAGTAAATAAGATAAAAAAGAAATTAAATAAAATGTTTCAAACAAGACACAAATTGGAGAACATTTGAAATGAAGAGACAATAATATAAAAAATAAAAGATAGAAACAAATTTAAATGCATAGAAAAAATGAAAGTAAATAAAAAATAAAAAAGAAAAAGAAAAATATATAGAAAAATAAAAGTTAAAGAGCAAAATAAGACCTGGGGATAATCTACAAAATGTTTCACCCAACAATTGCATAGTACATATTTCTATATACATTTGGCATGTTTTCTTAGATAGGCAAACTTTTAAGCTAGAATGCAAGTTTTAGCATATTTAAACTGACGGTAATCACAAAAAATATTATTTCTGACTACAATAAAATATAACTGGAAGTAAAAACCAAAAGAAAACTAGTATATCTGCATATACATGAAACCTAGACAAATTCTTGAGCATACTATTTTTCAAGAGTTAGAATAGGCAAGTTTCTTTAGATGTTAATTGTTTGGATTCACTCAGGCCGCTGGCAGAAATATTACAGGGAAGTATTAGGAAAAGTTATAAGGAATAGTAACAAACCTTTTTGGCAGGCTAAAAGGCTAAAATTATTATATAGCTTGTAATAATTGAACAGGCTGAAGGCAACCTCTTCTTACCTTAAAGCATTAGGTCATAGGGTAAATACTAGGGACAACTGAGGCTTCTCCAGTTAAGTCTGTTTACTCTACCTCCACTAACTAAGATGGCTCTCTCCAGGGAGTTCGACCAGAGAAATTGCCCCCAATGGTATTTACTTTAGACTGTGGTAACTGAGGTTTAATCATTCACAGAACTATTCTCTTAACAATGTTAATTATCCACAAGTGTGTTTACTCAAAGCTTCTGTGATTAATTCTATACTAAATAAATGCCTGGAGGGTGAGTTGCTCAGGGTGGGCCTCCATTCTTTACAGGACTCTCCGTGGAGTCTGGGAGTGGCCTCGGACCCTCTGCTGCTGGCAAAGCAGGATATCTGTGTGTCAGGTAGTTTATTCACCCATCGCCAGGTCTGCAGTTGGAGCCCATTGTGTGAGGCAGTCTGTGAAGGAAGTGTGAGAACCACCCTCATGAGGAAAGCTGTAGAGGAAGAGTGAGGAATGCGACAGACTCCCTGAAAGCAAAGGTGGAAAAAGAATTCACGTGGTGAAGTCAGTGACTAATCAGTAAGTCATTGGTGCCCACTCGAGGTTACCAAGTTCTGGGAGAAGTTGGGTCAAGCTGAGGTATTCTCATGGGACAACATTTATCAGCTCAACAGAAACAGTATATAAAAGTGTTGAAACAGTTGCTTAAGGCTAGTGGAGCATCAGTTTTGCAGGCTCAATTAGGGGACATAATGCAAACTGTTGTAATCCTGAGAGGTAAAACTGGCTGGGCTTTGGGTGGGGTGGGGACTTGGAGAACTTTTCTATCTAGCTAAATGATTGTAAATGCACCACTCAGTGCTCTGTGTAGAGCTAATCAGGTAAGGGACTTGGAGAGCTTTTCTGTCTAGCTAAAGGATTGTAAATGCACCAATTGGTGCTCTGTGTCTAGCTAAATGTTTATAAATGCACCAATCTGCACTTGCTAAAAACAGACCGATCAGCACTCTGTAAAATGGAACAATCGGCAGGATGAGGGTGGGGACAAATAAGGGAATAAAAGCAGGCCACCTCAGCCAGCAGTGGCAACCCACTCAGGTCCCCTTCCACACTGTGGAAGACCTGTTCTTTTGCTCTTTGCAATAAATCTTGCTGCTACTCAGTCTTTGGGTCCACACTACCTTTATGAGCTGTAACACTCACCATGAAGGCCTGCAGCTTCACTCCTGAAACCAGCAAGACCACAAACCCACCGGGAGGAACAAACAACACTGGATGCACCACCTTTAAGAGCTGTAACACTCACTGTGAAGCTCTGCAGCTTCACTCCCGAAGTCAGCGAGACCATGAACCCACTGAGAGGAACAAACAACTCCAGAAACACCAACTTTAAGAGCTGTAACACTCACTGTGAGGGTCTGCAACTTCACTCCTGAAGTCAGCGAGACCATGAACACCTGAAGGAACAAACTCTGGACACACTGTCTTTAAGAACTGTAACAGTCACCGTGAGAGTCCATGGCTTCATTCTTGATGTCAGTGAGACCAAGAACCCATGGGAAGGAATCAATTCCAGACACACTTTGGTGACCACAAAGGGACTATTGCCTATTGCCAAGCAGTGAGTACCATCGACCCCTTGTGCTTGCTATTCTGTCCTATTTTTCCTTAGAATTCTAGGGCTAAATAGCAGGCACCTGTCAGCCAGTTAAAAGCAACTAGCTTGGTCACTGAACTAAAGACATGGGTGCCAGGCTTTCTGGGAAAGGGCTCTCTAGCAACCCCAACTCTTCGGAGTTGGGAGTGTTGGTTTGCATGGAACTAGCTTCCACTTTCCCTGTACTTCTGGGCTGAGATGAGGGTTGATAGGAAAACCATTCAGCTCCATGGTCCCAACAACAAATTGGTTGACCCTGCAGCCATGGCGGAACTCTTAGTCATGTCGCCCAAGCGAGACTCTCCCATCTATCCTATCTATCCTGAGCCTTGCCTCCTGGGTCCTAAAGCCTGTCAGACAATCTTCCTCTTGCTTCTGTTCTCTGAGGCTAGTCCTGCTTCTAAAAACCACTCCCTGTCTCTGGTGCTTTTCTAGTTTCTCCTGTAAGAACTATTTCTGGTATAAACTCCAGGACTCTATTCCCTTCTCCTGGCACTCAGGCTCAGCAATCAGAAAGAGAGAATTTTTGCCCAAAGCCCCATTTTAAGGGGGACTATCTGGAATTTTAGGATCCCTCCTCAGACAAACAGGCTTAACAAAACCTATTCCTGAAGCTAGGATATGGGACGCCTCAGAAATTGTATCTTTCTTATTCATATAAGTGAGGACAAAAGGCATCACTCTTCTGACTCTGGTGATCTCTTCCCTCCCTCAGGGTATGGCCCTCCACTTCATTTTTGGGGCATAACATCTTTATAGGACAAGGATAAATTCCCAATATTAACAGGATAATGCTTAGGACTCTAACAGGTTTTTGAGAATATGTCAGTAAGGGCCACTAAATCCGATTTTTCTCAGTCCTCTTTGTGGTCTGGGTGGACAGGCAAGGCTGCAGGTTTTGTTGTGGTCCAGGAGGAAAACCAGTGTTTCTGCTGCTGCATCAGTGAGCACAACTATTCTGATCAGCAGGGTCCAGGATCCATTGTGGGTTCTTGGGCAGGTGGAGAAACAAACAAACAAAAAGAGTGGGCCGTTTTCTCTTTCGGATGGGAAACACTCAGGCATTAACAGACCCACTCTTGCAATGCATCCTAAGCCATTGGGACCAATTTTACCCACAAACCCTGAAAAAGTGGTGGCTTATTTTTTTCTGCACTATGGCCAGGACCCAATATTCTCTCTCTGATGTGGAAAAATGGCCACCTGAGAGAAATATAACTTACAATACTATACTGTAGCTTGACCTTTTCTGTAAGAGGTAAGGCAAAAGGAGTGCAATACCTTAAGTCCAAGTTTTCTTTTCATTGAAGGAGAATACAAAACTATGCAAAGCTTGCAATTTACATCCCACAGGAGGAACACTCAGCTTACCTGCATATCCTAGCCTCCCTATAGCTCCCCTTCCTATTAATGATAAGCCTCCTCTAATCTCCCCTGCCCAGAAGGAAACAAGCAAAGAAATCTCCAAAGGAACACAACCCTTCCCCGGGCTATCGATTACATCCCCTTCAAGCTCTAGGGAGAGGGGAATTTGGCCCAACCTTGGTACATGTCCCCTTCTCCCTCTCTGATTTAAAGCAGATCAAGGTAGACCTGGGAAAGCTTTCAGATGATCCTGATAGGTACATAGATGTCCCACAGGATCTAGGGCAAAGCCTCGATCTCACTTGGAGAGATGTCATGCTATTGGTAGATCAAACCCTGACCTTTAATGAAAAGAATGTGGCTTTAGTTTTAGCCTGAGAGTTTGGAGATACCTTGTATCTTAGTCAAGTAAATGATAGAATGACAGCTGAAGAAAGGGAAAAATTCCCTACGGGTTGGCAAGCCATTCTCAGTGTGGATCCCTATTGGGACCTTGACTCAGATCATGGGGACAAGAGTCATAAACATCTGTTCACCTGTGTTCTAGAAGGACTAAGGAAAATTAGGAAAAAGCACATGAATTATTCAGTGATATCCACCATAACTCAGGGAAAGGAAGAAAATCCTTCTGCCTTCCTTGTGTGGCTAAGGGAGGCCTTAAGAAAATATACTGCCCTGTCACCCAAATCACTCAAGGGTCAATTGATTCTAAAAGATAAGTTTATTACCCAATCAGCCACAGACATCAGGAGAAACTCCAAAAGCAAGCCCTGGGCCCTGAACAAAATCTGGAGGCATTACTAAACCTGGCAACCTTGGTGTTCTATAATAGGGACCAAGAGGAACAGGCCCAAAAGGAAAAATGAGATCAGAGAAATGCTGCTGCCTTAGTCATGGCCCTCAGACAAACAAACCTTGGTGTTTCAGAGAGGACAGAAAAGGGAGCAGGGCAATCACCCGGTAGGGCTTGTTATCAGTGTGGTTTACGAGGACACTTAAAAAAAAAGATCATCCAGGCCGGGCGCGGTGGCTCACGCCTGTAATCCCAGCACTTTGGGAGGCCGAGGCGGGCGGATCACGAGGTCAGGAGATCGAGACCATCGCGGCTAAAACGGTGAAACCCCGTCTCTACTAAAAATACAAAAAATTAGCCGGGCGTAGTGGCGGGCGCCTGTAGTCCCAGCTACTTGGGAGGCTGAGGCAGGAGAATGGCGTGAACCCGGGAGGCAGAGCTTGCAGTGAGCCGAGATCCCGCCACTGCACTCCAGCCTGGGCGACAGAGCGAGACTCCGTCTCAAAAAAAAAAGATCATCCAATAAGAAACAAGCTGCCCCCTTGTCCACGTCCACTATGTCAAGGCAATCACTGGAAGGTGCACTGCCCCAGAGTACAATGGTTCTCTGGGCCAGAAGACCCCAACCAGAGGATCCAACAACAGGACTGAGGGTGCCTGGAGCAAGTGCTAGCTCATGTCGTCACCCTCACTGAGCCATGGGTATGCTTATCCATTAATGGCCAGGAAATTGGCTTCTTCCTGGACACTGATGCGGTCTTCTCGGTGTTAATCTCCTGTCCTGGACGACTGTCCTCAAGATCCGTTACCATCTGAAGAATGCTGGGACAGCCTGTAACCAGGTATTTCTCCCAACTCCTCAGTTGTAATTGGGAGACTTTGCTCTTTTCACATGCCTTTCTTAATATGCCTGAAAGTCCCACACCCTTATTAGGGAGGGATATATTAGTCAAAGCTGGAGCTATTATCTACATGAATATGGGGAGCAAGTTACCCATTTGTTGTCTGTGGCTTGAGGAGGGAATTAACCCTGAAGTTTGGGCATTGGAAGGACAATTTGGAAGGGCAAAATGCCTGCCCAGTCCAAATCAGGCTAAAAGATCCCACCACTTTTCCTTATCAAAGGCAATTTCCCTTAAGGCCTGAAGCTCATAGAGGATTACAGGATACTGTTAAACATTTAAAATCTTGAGCCTCAGTAAGGAAATGCAGCAGTCCCTGCAGCACTCCAATTCTAGGAGACCAAAACCCAGTCAGTGGAGACTAGTGCAAGATCTTAGACTCATCAGTGAGGCAGTAATTCCTCTATATCCAGTTGTACCCAACCCCTATACCCTGCTCTCTCAAATACCAGAGGAAGCAGAATGGTTCACAGCTCCGGACCTCAAGGATGCCTTCTTCTGTATTCCTCTGCCTCTGACTCCCACTTTCTCTTTGCCTTTGAGGATTCCACAGATCACACGTCCCAACTTACATGGAACGTCTTGCCTCAAGTGTTTAGGGATAGCCCTCATCTGTTTGGTCAGGCACTGGCCCAAGATCTAGGCCACTTGTCATGTCCAGGGACTCTGGTCCTTCAGCTTGTGGATGATTTACTTTTGGCTACTGGTTTGGAAGCCTCATGCCAGCAGGCTAGTCTAAATCTCTTGAACTTTCTAGCTAATCAAGGGTACAAGGTGTCTAGGTCAAAGGCCAAACTTTGCCTACAGCAGGTCAAATATTTAGGCCTAATCTTAGCCAGAGGGGCCAGGGCCCTCAGCAAGGAATGAAAACAGCCAATACTGGCTTATCCTCACCCCAAGACATTAAAACAGTTGCGGGGGTTCCTTAGAACCACCCACTTTTGCCGACTATGGATCCCCAGATACAGCAAGATGGCCAGACCACTCTGTACGGTAATCAAGGAGACCCAAAGGGTAAATACTCATCTAGTAGAATGGGAACTAGGGGCAAAAGTACCCTTTAAAACCTTAAAGCAGGCGCTAGTACAGGCTCCCGGTTTAAGCCTTCCCACAGGACAAAACTTCTCTTTATATGTCACCAAGAGAGCAGGGATAGCTCTTGGAGTTCTTACTTAGATTTGTGGAATAATCCCCCAACCAGTGGCATACCTAAGTAAGGAAATGGATGTAGTAGCAAAAGGCTGGCCTCACTGTTTATGGGTAGCTGTAGCAGTGGCTGTCTTAGTGTCAGAGGCTATCAAAATAATACAAGGAAAGGATCTCACTGTCTGGACTACTCATGATGTAAATGGCATACTAGGTGCCAAAGGAAGTTTATGGCTATCAGACAACCACTTGCTTAGATACCAGGTGCTACTCCTTGAGGCACTGGTGCTTCAAATATGTACATGCATGGCCCTCAACCCTGCCGCTTTTCTCCCAGAGGATGGGGATCCAATCAAGCATGACTGCCAACAAATTATCGTCCAGACTTATGCCACACAAGATAATCTCTTAGAAGTCCCCTTAGGTAATCCTGACCTTAGCCTATATACTGATGGAAGTTCATTTGTGAAGAATGGGATACAAAGGGCAGGTTATGCCATAGTTAGTGATGTAACTATACTTAAAAGTAAGTGTTTTCCCCTAGAGACCAGAGCCCAGTAAGCAGAAATACTGGCACTTACCCAAGCCTTAGAACTGGGAAAGGGAAAAAGAATAAATGTGTATACAGATAGCAAGTATGCTCATCTGATCCTACATGCCCATGCTGCAATATGGAAAGAAAGGGAGTTCCTAACCTCTGGGGAAACCCCCATTAAATGCCACAAGGAAATCATGGAGTTATTGCACACAGTGTAAAAACCCACGGAGGTGGCATGGCACTCTTACACTGCCAAAGCCATCAAAAGGGGAAGGAGAGGGGAGAACAGTAGCATAAGCAGCTGGCAGAGGCAGGGAAAGACCAGCAGAAAGGAAAAAGAGGAAGAGACAGAAAGTCAGAGGGAGAGAGAGAGAGGAAGAGACAGACAGACAAAGAGGGAGTCAGAAAGACAGAAAGAGAGAGATGAAGGAGAAGTCAAAGAGAATGAAAGAGATATGGAAATAGTAAAGAAAAAACAGTATACCCTATTCCTTTAAAAGCCAGGGTAAATTTCTAAATATCTACCCAGCCAAGGCATATTCTTCTCCTGTGGAATGTCAAACTATATCTGCCTCCCCACTAACTGGACAGGCACCTGCACCTTAGTCTTTCTAAGTCCCAACATTAACATTGCCCCAGGAAATCAGGCCCTATCAGTGCCCCTCAAAGCTCAAGTCCATCATTGCAGGGCCATACAACTAATACCCCTACTTATAGGGTTAGAAATGGCCACTGCTACAAGAACCAGAATAGCAGGTTTATCTACTTCATTTTCTTACCATCACACACTCTCAAAGGATTTCTCAGATAGTTTGTGAGAAATAACAAAATCTATCCTTACTCTACAATCCCAGCTAGATTCTTTACCAGCAGTGACACTCCAAAACTGCAGAGGACTAGACCACCTCACTGCTGAGAAAGGAGGACTCTGCACCTTCTTAGGGGAAGAGAGTTGTTTTTACACTAACCAGTGAGGCATAGTACGAGATGCTGCCTGGTGTTTACAGGAAAAGGCTTCTGAAATCAGACATCTTTCAAACCCTTATACCAACCTCTGGAGTTGGGCAACATGGCTCCTCCCCTTTCTAGCTCCCATGGCAGCCATCTTGCCATTACTTGCCTTCGGGCCCTGTATTGTTAACCTTCTTGTC
The DNA here is from genome assembly GCF_000001405.40 of Homo sapiens. Classification (NCBI taxonomy): domain Eukaryota; kingdom Metazoa; phylum Chordata; class Mammalia; order Primates; family Hominidae; genus Homo; species Homo sapiens. The sequence continues at coordinate 22,943,589 of NC_000024.10, forward strand.
AAATTTCTTTCTTCTAGAATTGAGGCTATCAACCTAGAGATGGTCTTACAAATGGAACCCCAAATGAGCTCAACTAACAGCTTCTACTGAGGACCCCTGGACCAACCTCCTGGCCCTTTCCGTGGCCTAAAGAGTTCCCCTCTGGAGGACACTACAACTGCAGCATAATTCTTTGCCCCTATCTAGCAGGAAGTAGCTAGAGAGGTCATTGGCCAATTCCCAACAGCAGTTGAGATGTCCTGTTTAGAGAAGGGATTGAGAGGTGAAGCTGGCTGGGCTTCTCAGTCAGATGGGGACTTGGAGAACTACTTTGTTTAGATAAAGGATTGTAAATGCACCAATCAGCACTCTGTGTCTAGCTAAAGGTTTGTAAATGCACCAATTAGTGCTCTGTGTCTAGCTAATTGGGTAGGAGACTTGGTGAACTTTTCTGTCTAGCTAAAGGATTGTAAATGCACCAATCACGCTCTGTGTCTAGCTAAAGGTTTGTAAACACACCAATCAGCACTGGATAAAAATGGATCAATCAGCACTCCGTAAAACAGACCAATCAGCACTCTGTGAAATGGACCACTCAGAAGGATGTGGGTGACACCAGATAAGAGAATAAAAGCAGGCCACCCGAGCCAGCAGCAGCAACCTGCTTTGGTTCCCTTCCATGCTGTGGAAGCTCTGCTCTTTCACTCTTTGCAATAAATCTTGCTGCTTCTCGCTCTTTGGGTCCGCACTACCTTTAGGAGCTATAACACTCACTGTGAAGGTCTGCATCTTCTTCTTGAAGACAGCAAGACCAATAACCCACTGGAAGGAATCAATTCTGGACACAATCCCAAGATCATGGTTCCCAGAAAAAGGAACACTGGATGTAGTACTCTGAGAACAAGTGGGGATAAATCTTCAACATCAGACACAAAGGCAACAGGTCCCAGCTGTTATGGGCTTTCATTACAGCAGCCCTGTCTCCATTATACACAGAACAGACTATAAAGGGGAACGAGGAGGAAATGTCACCTGCCTTATCACCTCCTCTTCCGTCAGCCCTAATATTACTGAGCCAAAATAACAAAGAAGAAACAGATATTTTACCTGAGCCTTTTTCTTCAATACGTAAGAAAAAGGACCAGGAATACCCTCCAGTTATTAGTCCCTGTCTTCAGCTGGCAGCAATAAAAGGAGAGTTATTAGCCTGCCCGGTAATGCAAAATCAGCCAAGTAATCAGGTACATAAAGGGTTAAGAATAATCACTAAAAGCCAGAGCCACAGGGCCAGGACAAGGAAGCAGTAAGTAGAAAGAAAAACTCCACCCACACTGTGACAGAAGCAACAAAGAGCCAAGCTGCAGCCAGAGCTAGCCTGCTGCGAGTGGAACAGAAGCACACGTGACAAATTCCACCCAGGCCACATGTGTCCCACAGCTGGGGAAGGGAGCCAGCACAGGCAAAAAATGGCACAGGCAAAAATGGCGACTTTATAAATGTAAAGCAGTCACAGCGCCGGGACCTGCCTGCTCCTTTCTCTAACTCCACAGGCTATCCAAGACAAAATCTCATGTGCTGCTTGTTTACAAGCAACATCACAGATTATAGTTCTCAGCTAAAATTTAAGTAAAATGTAAGAATTAGAAAACCTCTTTCTAATAACCTCCACTGTTGTCATCTCTCTTCCACCCTGATGAAGCTCACCAAATTCAAGTAAAACAGTAACGTTTAAAGGTTGAGACATTACAAACAACCCATGAGTTAGTTTAGAAGTAGTTAAAAGCAAACTTTGTTTTTTAACTAGTAGAAAAAAAATTCCTGATTACATGATTATTCATTTTATGGATGATATTTTACTAGCAGCCCCAACGGAGCCAATACCTTTAAATTTGTTTACCTCTGTCATAAGGAATACACAACTGAAAAGTTTAGTCACTGCACCTGAAAAAGTACCCATGTTCCCTCCTTGAAAATATCTTGGATATCTGTTAATCTCCTGGTCAGTAAGACCTCAAAAGTTTAACCTAAGTACTAACAACTTACACACATTAAATGATTAGCAGAAATTATTGGACAATGTTACCTGGATTTCTCCCATTGTTGGAATTCCTACCAATAAACTACAAAACCTGTTCTCTATCTTAAAGGGCAACCCAGCCCTCAATTCTCCCAGATATTTAACCCTTGCAGCAAAAAGGGAAATCAAGGAAATTGAGCAAGCCGTCTTTCAAAGGAAGCTAGATCGCATTGATCCACCGTATTCCAATCAGCTATTTATTTTTTCCACCTAACACTCCCCTACAGGGTTACTAGGACAAATGACTCCCAGGCTATGTTTCCTAGAATGGGTTTTTTGCCCCCATACCGGGACTAAAACACTGTCTCCTTATACTCAGTTAATTACTAAAGTCATCTATTCAGGTCACAAACGTTAAAAATCAGTTGCGACATAACCGATATCATCATGATTCCTTTAAGTAAAGAGCAATTCAAAGCTTCATTATCTTTGTCAATACACCCACAAATAGTTTTATCTCATTACACAGAGCAAATAAAGCACATCCTCCCTGCTGATAAAGTCTTTCATTTCTTATCTCATACTCCGGTAATAATGCCTACAAAAAGAGTTTACTCCCCTGTAACTAATGCTTTAACACGGTTTACTGATGGGTCCGCAAACATGGAAAAGCAGCAGTCTGGTAGAGACCATATAATTCAATCATGCAATCTGAGTTTACTAGCAAACAGAAAGCTAAGGTTACTCTGTTTATTTATTAAAGAAGTTTTACAGCCTTAACTCTATTCTGGAGCCAGGACGGTTTACTCTTTCTCCAACTTCAGCAATTGGCTAGATCAACATACAAGTCCCATTTTTATTACACATATTTGAGCCCACAGCTTACTTCCTAGCCCATTGGCTTATGAGCAGTGATCAAGCAAACCTACAGGTTAAGCCATCACTGCTAGACCAAGCCACCCAATCGCATGAATTTTTCCATCCAAATTGAAGAAACTTATCAACTTACTCAGAGACTGGCTAAATAAATTATCCTACAATGCCCAGATTGCCAGCTCACAGGTAAGTCCCCTCCTTCAACAGGTGTTAACCCTAGGGAAACAGAACTTAACCTGCTATAGCAAACAGATGTTACACCCATACTTGAATTTGGAAAACTTAGATATGTACAAGTATCTATTGATACCAACACTCATTTAATTGCTGTCCAAGATCAGAGAGAAACAGAAAGGTTAAAGAGAGAAATAGAGGGGAAAAAAAAGAAAGACTAGAAAAACCAGAGGTCAAAGTCACAAAAAGTAAGACAAAGAAAAGACATAAAGAGAAAGAAATGTTAAGAAAGTTATAACCATTAGACTGCACCTTTATTAAGGAAGGTTATGAAAGAAATAAAGTTAAGGCATGTTGAAAATTGTCTGTGGAAGTCATAAAAACATTATAAAAAGAAAACTATTCAGGACATGTTGTATAATTTTGTTTTGAAAGTCTAAGCAAGTTTTAAAATGTTAATTGTTAACAAAATTCTCTGAGTAAACATATTGACTAAAGTTAAAGATGTGTCATCCAACAATCATAGACTGGATTAAGAAAATGTGGCACATACACACCATGGAATACTATGCAGCCATAAAAAATGATGAGTTCATGTCCTTTGTAGGGACATGGATGAAATTGGAAATCATCATTCTCAGTAAACTATCGCAAGAACAAAAAACCAAACACCGCATATTCTCACTCATAGGTGGGAATTGAACAATGAGAGCACATGGACACAGGAAGGGGAACATCACACTCTGGGGCCTGTTGTGGGGTGGGGGGAGGCGGGAGGGATAGCATTGGGAGATATGCCTAATGCTAGATGATGAGTTAGTGGGTGCAGCACACCAGCATGGCACATGTATACATATGTAACTAACCGGCACATTGTGCACATGTACCCCAAAACTTAAAGTACAATAATAAAAATAAATTAATTTAAAAAAGATGTGTCATCCAGTTTTTCTGTAAACAAGACATTAAAAGCACAAGTTTTTCTTAAAGCACTAACCTGCTCTTTAACAAAGATTATGAGAGATATCTTAGCACAGACACAATCTCTACAATTTCCAATACACAAGCACCAGCCAAGACACTGCATCCTCATCAAAGGATTAAAAGAAGAAAAAACTCGAGCCAGCCTAGGAGAGACCCTGCAAGATGATGCAGCTTTATCAGAGAAAGATGACTCAGAAGGCTATGCAAATCCTGCTTCTTTTTTATTCTCTCACTTTGTCTACTACCTGTATCTGCCAAGCTCTATTAAGCCCATCTTGTAACCTCCTTTGTTCTACCCTAGTACTTAGACTAACACCCCCTTTCCAGCTTCTAACAACATCACTGCTTAAATAAAAGGAAATCAACATTCCCCCAGTGAGGTTCCTCATTAATAGCACAGAGTGAACTCAGATGGCAAGTAACTCTGCAAGTCACTCTGACTGGAAGAAGTGTTGTTAATTATACTCATGATTGTTTTGTGTTATTTGCTATTTATATGATGCAAAGCTGGAATAAGATCAGTGACCACCTCACCTGACAAACCTATGACTGCACATATCTGTGCTCTGCAATCAAAAACCTGATGCAGAAAAGAACAGAGAGGAGGATTTTGAGATTCACTCAGGAGGATGGCAGAAATATTAAAAGAAAATAATTAGGGAAAGTTATAGGGAATAGTCACAGACTTTTGGAAGGCTGAAAGGTTGCATAGCTTGTAATAATTCAAGGGGCTGAAGGTAGTCGGTTTTAACCTTAAAGCATTTGGTCATAGGGTAAATGCTAAGGACAATAGAGGCTTCCCCAATTAAGTTTTTTTACCCCACCTCCATTAACTAACCTTTAAGCCAGATGGTCCTTTCTGGGGAATGTCAACCAGGGAAATTGCCCCCACTGGCATTTACTTTAGACCGTGGTGCCTGAGGTTTCGTTATTCACAGAACTATTCTCTTAACCAGGTTAATTATCCACAAGTGTGTCTACTCAAAGCTTCTGTTAATAATTCTATACTAAATAAATGCCTGGAGTGCAAGTTGCTCAGGGCACAGCTGCCACTCTTTACAGGACTCCCTTTGGAGACTGTTAGTGGCCCCAGACCCTCAGCTGGACTTGAAAAGCAGAATATCTGTGTGACAGGGTACTTTATTCATCTGTCGCTCGGTCAGGGGTCTGCAAGGGACAGACTCCCTGCAGCTAATGCCCTCATGAAAAGAGTGGTGCCTCAGTTAATGGTATTAGAAATGATCTACAGGTCAATGAGAACTCTTTCAAAGAGCCAATAGTTTTTTGTTGTTGTTGTTGTTTTTGTTTTTGTTTTGCAGAAGTAGTAAAATATTCTAAAATGTTTGAGTCAATATTTAGCTGTGTCACCCAGGCTGGAGTGCAATGCTATAATCATGGCTCACCATAGCCTTGACACATCAAGCTCAATTGATCCTCCCACCTCAGCTCCAGAAGTAGCTGAGACTGCAGGTGCATGCCACCATGCTCAGCAAGTTCTTGTATTTTTTGTAGATACAGGGTTTCACCATATTGCCCAGGCTGGTGTCAAACTACTGGGGTCCTGCAATCCACCTTCCTTGGCTTCCCAATGTATTGGGATCACAGGAGTAAGCCCTCAAATATTGCACTATAATTTATGTAAACACTCAAAAACAAACAAAACAAAAAAAGTAGCAAAACAACTTTGGAAAAAAAGAATATACTTAGATAAATACTTTTTATTTCAAAACATATTGCCAAGTTACAGTAATCAAAATAGTGTGGTGCTGGCATAAAGACAGTTAAATCAATGTTAAGGCAAATAACAGAGGCCAGAATGAAACCCACATGCATAAAATTCAGCTTATCTTAAACAAACGTTCTAATTCCTCATGTTGCAGAACGTTCTCCTTCAGCAAAATTGGGTTCTTGTCACATGACTAGGAAAGATTAGGCTCAGGGACACTCCTGAAGGATAAAGAGTAGAGCTGATTGGGTAAAAGAAAAGAAAAAAAGAAAAACTCTCAACGAAGTGAGTGGGAGTCGTGTTTACCAGGCCCCCACTTCACGGATTGCTGAACACCAGACCATCACACAGGAACTGATGAAGCCAGGCTCCTCCTCCCTGCACAAGGGGTAAAGTTTCCATGGCCTTCCAAGCCTCCACTCCCTTCCCCCAGTTTTCAGATGGAAATTATTCAAAGAGAATCTGTTGGAAAAAGGCAGGCTTCATCTAGCACAAGCACTCGATTTTTCAGCCTTCAGGCTGTTTTAGGCTTGAAGATGGGGTTTTGTCCAAGACACTTGGCTGTTTTCTAACTCTGTTATTTTCCACTGTCAATAAGTATATCTAACTGCTGTTAGAATAAGGATAAAGATGAGGACAAAAACCACTTTTAAGTGCTTCCTGATGACAGGGGGCACTGTTGTGAAATAAATGGCAGTCAGTTATTCCTTAGAGGCCTAAGTGTCTCCAGTGAAAGGGGCCATTGTCTCAGCCTATGGTAGTGTGACTGTTTGAAGTTTGATAGCCTGAAGGTGAGGAGAATCAAACTGTGTTACTAAAAAGCACGTATTAAAATGAACCAAGGGAAATGTGGAAGAGACAGCTCAAAAAAAATCCAGGGTTTTCACCAGTTTGCATAGGTAGAGGGAGGCCAAAAGCCCAACAGGAAAAAATAAAAGAAAGAAAGAAAAAGAAAAGGAAAGAAAGAAAGAAAGAAAGAAAGAAAGAAAGAAAGAAAGAAAGAAAGAAAGAAAGAAAGAAAGAAAGAAAGAAAGAAAAAACTTTTACCCTTTTGACAGCATATGAGACTTCTGGGTTCTTTTCTCCTGGGTCCAATCCTAAGCTGTCCAGTTTAATGTTTGGGAAATTAACTCTTCCAAACTTGGAGGATGCATTGAAGAGGAATGTCCCAAAACATGGAGATGTGATTACCTATCTCTAAACAGCAAACGGAGGAGAAAAAATGAAAAGTTAGCATTTTTTCAAAGGAGTTCCAAGGGTTCAGGATGCATTCAAAATGGGTCTAGACTAAAAATGAATGGTTACTTATCTTGAAAGAGATAGAGGAGCAGGAGTCCCTGGCTCCTTTCTCTTCCTAGCAATTTCCCAGGGTGTGTTGAGCTATAGGAGAAAGAATATTCTTTTTCCCACTTCAATCCTTGTATCCCCAAGTCCCACTGATTGTAACAGGGTGCCTCCCATGGGTGTCGAGGCAGCTTTCACCAATGTTAACAGGGAGGCCTAAGGGGGTGGATATATCTGCTCTTACACATGTGTACCCTTTCTTCCCTGCTGTCAGTAGCTCTGGAGTTCACTGGACCTCATTTATGGCATGGATAGTAGCATAATCTTTATCCATGAAATCGGGGGCTTGGCTTAATCCCTGGGAATTAGTTATGCTCACCAGCATTGTGCTTTTTTACCTCCATTATCACCTGCCTCTGGATTTCTCAAATTTTTTACTTTTTTCTATGGTGTCAAACAGAAGCTTAGAATTGAGGCTGGGGCAAAAATGTGTCTCAGGGCATTGCATGGACTCTTTATCATGAGCTGAATGCTAAGATGAAGCTGTGGAATTGAGTTCTTCTTCTACAAGGGTGAGAAAAGAATGACTGTGACATACTGAGGAAACTAGTGGCTATAGTTGTGCTTCATAAAATTTAGGTGGGCACCCTATATATTCCCATCACTCTGCAGAATTTGCAGGATAATTGTCCAGAATTATAATGTTAATCCAGATTTTCATGTGTACCAATTCATTTTTGTTTATTGTGGGCTGCAGTTGAAGATCATTAGTGGGGTCACAGAAATAAGCAAGATTGTTCTAAAAAGTAGGCAACAATGCAAAACTTGTGAGTTTAGAATTTAATGACAAATATATAATAAGTTGTGAAACATAAACTTTATCCAGTCCTCTTCTATTAAAAAATAAATCATGATAGGACTGAGTTGTTTGTAAAATAAACTTTATTCTGATACTGGGCCTGATTATTTGCATAAAATGCAGCAAGAATAATTATTTCTAGATAGGTCTTTTACATTGGCTTTGATGGAACTCTGTTCCACAAGAAATTTCAGATGGGACTTTCTAAAGTCAAGCCCAGCCACGGGTTTGTACAATCAGATAATTTTTAGTTGGGTGATTCTCTGCTCTTATGGTCCCAAGATAAACTTGGAGCTCCTGGGCCTGTCAGAAAGTGTCATTATTTAGTTACCACAGATCAGGAACCCTGCTAAAGGACTGTTTAGATGAGGTATAAAGCCAATTTTTCCACTGGGATTTTCTTGGTTCTGCAAGTTGATCTTGACTCCTTAAAGGGAAGCTTATTTTTTAGTCAAGGCCTTGTTCAAACAACCAGTTTCTCCAGTTGTGTTCTGTTGGAAGAGAAATTGGACTGTTATTGCACTGATACAAACACCTATATTGCCACAAGTTAAGAACACTCACAACTATTTTTCGAATTCAGGAGAAGTCCTGCCGAGAAAGGCAAACGTGATCCAAATTGTGCACACATGAGTACACCTTGCTCACATATTAAAGGCTGTAAGTATCTCAAGATGTTTCCTTGACTCTGGTAAATAATACAAGAATGAGTAATGTCTCAAACAAAAGTCAGAAGGGCTACTTCAATTTTCTATTAGTCCGGTCCATTCAGTCAACTCTTCTTTTGTTTGATATTCATACATATTTTAGCTCTTTGAGAGTCCTGTAAGTTTTTCCTGTATTTCAATGTCACAAGCTCCAAAGTTATCGGAAGCCTGCAATTGAGAGCACCTATTAAAGATCTATAGCTGATTAAAAAGCACTTCATAAAAAAATCAAAAAAGGAATAATTATCTGTGTATTACAAAGTGTGCAAGGTAGTTACAGTCAGAAATATGACAAAAATTTTCGTTATCTATATGGTTTGCAATAAATTAACCTAACAACCTTAATTGTGGATGATAGCATATACTTCAGACATTAGAATTTTAGAAATCCCATATAATTTTAGAACATGTATTAGTATTAGTCACCAAAATATCACCTAAAAATATTGAACACCATTTGGCAATTCCGTGTAACTAATCATGCCATATAATCCTGTTTATCTCTCTTGTTGATACTCTATGGGCCCTCTGTAGCATCCAAAAGCTAGAAATAAAGAAAGATAATTTTGTAACTACAGTGTGGTTTTGAGAAGGATGTTACAACTTAGAGGTTTAAAAATCCTGAAATAAAATTCCAGATTTTCCTAAATTACTTATTTAACAAAAATGATGACTTAGAAATGGAAAAGATATAATTTTTATAAATTATTTTATAATTCTTTACAAATGTTGGTAAGGAACAGATTAGTGCCTTAAGAGTACCTTGTTGGGCTTTTATTTCAATGTTCAATTTACAAGCATCTCACAGACATGGTAATGACTGTCATATGTGGGCCTCACACATAGAAGTATTTTCAACTTCCATAAATTGCTTTTGAAACATGAATGATTAAATCTCTTTCTGGTAATAAAAAAGTTCAAAGAAGACTATAGCAGCCTCAAGTATTTTATAATGTCCTCAGCTTGTACAGAAATTGTTATGATGGAATGCAGCAGAAAGGCATAATTCTGAGTCTCATATGCACACTGATCTGACAGTAAGGAATGTCACCATCTTAAATATATGAAGCCAACTGTCACTCATAAAAACAACTAATGTGTGGTATTGTAAATCTTACCCTGGGAGTTTTCCGCCAGTGTGCTTGTGATTTAATATTTTGTGAATCACCCATATGATTTGACTCTCTGGAAGGGTTTCAGCCCACATATGTTATTGTGGTATCTACCTGGGCCAACCTTGAGGTGATGTGACTCTCCCATCTGGGACCTACTCCCAGTAAAAATCACGAAAAATCACTACCTCCAGCACACAGGTCATGTTATATTTTTGCCTAAGCTATGCCCACAGAAATTATTGTGACATATCACTGTGTCAGCCCTGTAGGTGATGCAACTCTCCTCATTAGATTGGGCTGTGCACAGAGTATGGTATACTCACATATGGCTGCACTAGGGTCACAGATGATGGAACTCCTTTGCTGGGACCTTATCCTAAAAAGGGTATTGTGACAAATCTCTTGGCCTATCCTCTAGGTGATATAACTTGCTGCTTGAGTCCTGCCACATGGAGCATTGTGACATAAGTGTGAAAACTGTAACTGTTTGTTGTAACTCTCTCACCCATGTCCTGTCCTAAGGGAGCATTGTGACATATCTCAGGAACCAGCATAAAGGTGAAGTGACTCTTTTGCCTGACTTCTCCTGATATGTTAGATTGTGTTATAAACCTAGGGAAGCACCTAGGTGATATGACTCTTCTCTTCTGCCTCAGCCCTGCCTACTTGAGACATTGGGTCATATATCTGAGCCTGTGTTCTAAGTGATGTGTCTGTTTTCTTCTGCCTGAGCCCTTACCGTGGGATGCTGTGACATATTGCTAAGCCCAATACTTAGATTAAATGACTGTTCTTTTTCCAAATCATGCCAATAAAATAAATTTTGCTGTATTGCAGGGTACAGCACCCAGATGATGTACCTTTTCTGCCTGAGTCCTGCAGAAAGAGATAATTATGGCACATTGCTGGGCCCATCACCCTGAAGATATAACTCTCCTGCTTGTACCAGAGCAACTGAAAGTATTTTTATATATCTTGGGCCCATCCTGTAGGTGTTTTTGCTGTCCTTATTTGTTTGGGCTTGTTTTTCCACATTTGAGATTGTGTCATATTGCTGGGTCCAGCACTCCAGCACCCAGTTAATGTAACCCTCATTTCTAGACCCTGCCTAGAGAGGGTATTGTGACATATTGCTTGCCACAGCATGTAAGTTGTGCTACTTTTCCACTAAGTTTTTTTTTCTACAAATGAGATTATGATACTTACATTGCTTCAACTCAGTGGCATCATGATCAAACATAATTGGCATTCCACCAATAGTAGACTTTTCCCTCTCATAGCTGTGCTTAGGGCAATAGTTACAGTTATGAGATGCATATTTGCACAAAGCTCACAGAAATTTACAACACTAACTCATAGTCTATAAACTTGGGTGGTACACAGAGTTTTATAATAGAGCTCAGCAAAAGATTAAAATTGTGACCCTTGATTACAAATGCAGGTGAGAGAAAAAGTTTTTAGCATCTCATATTTATAAAGCCCACTGTTGAAGTTCTGACTCTAAGAAGTAAATAAAGTACAACGATGGAATTGTGACTCTCATATGTGGATCTTGCTACAGATGAGATGGTGACTCATTTCTGGACCCAGATTATAGGCACCATAATGGGTTTTCTGTCTGAACCCAGCCTATAAGAGAACTGTTGATTATCATAACAGGGTTTACATCAATATGTATGTTTTGGGTCAAACGAGCATGTAGGCTTCAGAGTGGTTTGTAACACTAAGGTATTTTGCATAAAGCCTTCAGATGTTGTAGAGTGTCTCATAAGATGACTGAGAACACACTTGAGATTGTGACTCTTACATACATAACAAACTAACAGTTAAATGTGTCACCTAAAGGATAAATTGATAGTGTCATATGACAAAGCCCAGCACCCCGGTGTTGAGAGTCTTGGCTTAGATTCTTTCCCATGGGTGTATTGTGAAATATTGCTGGGTTAGAATCATAAAAAGGTGACTCTTCTTCACGGATCCAGCCAACAGGGGATATTGTAACATATCTCTGGGCCTATCAGCTAGGTGATATGTCTCTCCTCTCACAGTGTTCTCTCACAGGGGACACCGACATTTTGCTGGATATAGTATCTAGGTAATGTGCTCTCCTCTCCTGCCTGGATCTCACCTACCTAGGAAATTGTGACATACCACTGAGTGCAAAACCTAGGTGGTGTGACTCTCCTCTTTGTGCTGGAATCTGCTATAAGAGGGAATTATAACATATTGCAGAGCCCAGCACCTAGGGAATGTGACTACCCTCTATTTTTTCAACCCTGTATACAATGGTCAAGATGATATATTATTTGAGACTGTACCCAGGAGATATGAGCCTTCTGACTGGATCCTGCCTAAAAAGAAGATATAATGTATTTCTGGCTAAGGACACAGATGATGTGACTTTTCTATCTTGTCTATGTCCAAAGATGAAATTCTAACATATACCTGGATTCAGCTGATATGCACAATAATAACTCATGCATGACCCATCCAAGGGAGATATTGTGAATCTCAGAGCCAGTTTATGGCCATGAGTAAAGTCTCAGATCTCTGTAAAATTAGATGTCTGTAAAAATTCAGACAAATGTATCCTACTCAGGTGTATCATTTAAGGTCTGTGTGGTACAAAGTGTGTCATAACAGGCACCAGCAACCAGGTGTTACACACATCGAGTTGTCACAGTTGTCATTTTCACACATGAACAGAGCCTATGAATGAGTTAAAAAATCTCACACACATAAGCAGTTGAAGCTGGAATTTGTTACCGTCATATATGAATCTGATCCACAGATGCTGTGGTGAAATTTACCCACGATTCTCCAGACCAGTGGTGCTTTGACTGTCCTACTGGAACACAACCTTCAATGTGATTGGGGCTGTTACACATGTATCTTGCCCATTGTTGAGATTATGACTTCTTTACTTCGACCCAACTCATAGGAGGTGTTGACTCTCATACCCGAAGCCAGAAGTTGTGTGGGCCTGTAAAATTTATTTCTGAACATTTTCAAGTGTGTGATTGTGAAGTTTGACTTTGTCCAGCATCTGAGTATTTTGACTCTCCTTTCTAGGCCAAGCCTAGAAATTGTGACATACATGCACCAGCACCTAAGCAATGTATAACAACTTTTTGTCAATGCAACTAGGGGCCCTTTTACATGTTACTGGTACCAGCAACCAGCTGGTGTGAAATGTTGGCCTAAACCCTGCCTACAAAGAGCATTATGGATTTTATCCAGATCCATCATGTAAATAATGTGAGTTCCTTCTACTGCCTTGGCCCTGCAATTATGCTGTATTGTGACACACTGCATTCAGGTGATGTGAGAGTTTTTGAGGGGAGTTCTGCCAATAGAAAGCTATGTAACAAATCACTTGGCTCAGCCCCTAGGTGCTGTTTCTCCTCTCTTGCCTTGACCCTGACCACCAGAGAGACTTTGACATATTGCTTAGCCCAGCACCAAGGTGAGTTCACTCTCCTGTCTTGATCCTGCACACAATGGCCATTGTGACATATATCAAGGCCAATTGCCCATGTGCAGTTTGTCTCCTCTCTTGCCTAAGCCTTGCCAACAGAGAGGATTTAGATATGTCACTGAAGCCAGCATCCAGGTGATTGACTCTTCTCCAAGAGTCCCACCCACAAGGAGAATTGTGAAATTTCACTGGACGTGCACACACTTAAATGATGTGACTTTCCTTACTTTCTTCTCCTTCCCCACAAGTGGTAATGTGCCATATACTTGAGAACAAATAAAAGGTCTAATAATGACTCTTGTACCAGGAACCAGGTCACGTGCAGGATTGTGACTCTCAACACTGAACCTTTTCACAGGTGTTATTCTGACGTTTATTTTTGCCCAGCTCTTGAGTCACTTAATAATCCTGCCTATTTAGAGTCCAGATGTGACATTTTTACATACAATTGGGCCAAAACCTTGGGGATTTGACTTTTGTCTTAACAGTGTTCTCCGAAGGGATCATAACATATCTCTGGACCTATGATCTAGGTTATGCGACTTTCCTCTCCTGACTGCACGCTGATTAAAGCAAAGAGTGTGGCATTTCTAAGCACGCATCCAAATGATATGACCCTTTTTCCTGGGCCATTACAACAGAAGGCATTATGATATATCTCTGCACCCATCATCTAGGTGATATGACTCTCCTCTCCTGCCCGGACACTCTTCACAAGTAACATTACAGCATAGAGCTTGGCATAACACCTAAGTTCTGTTACTTCTCCGTTAGGGCCTTGCATACAAAGAGAATATTGGAATATTTCTGGCTTAGGATTTAGGTGATGTAGTGTCCTGCCTATTTAGTAACCACAGAGGGCATGGTGACATATACCTAGGCACAGCTAACAGGCATGATAATGACTCTCATATGTGGACACAGCCAATAGGAGAAATTTTGACTCTTACAACTAGGTTTAGAGACATGAGTGACATGAAGCATCTCCTACTGTTAACAATGTCACAGAAGATTACAACACTCACACCTTCTTATAACACCTGTAAGTAGTATAGAGAGTGTCATAGCAGGGCCTAGGATAAAGAGGAAATCGTGAGTCTCGTTTGGACACCCAGCTGACTGGAAGGATTTTCACAATCACAGATGTATAAAAGCTACTGTTCTACATGAAAACAAGACACATGTGGCATTATAAGTCTAATCCCTAGAAATTTATTTTATCATGACTGTGATCTAAAACTCTTCCATGCGCTTTTTTGATTTCACTCTTTGGACTGGTTCCAGCCTACACATGGAATTTTGATATCTACCTGGGCCAACATTGAAGTCTTGTGATTCTTCTGCCTGGCCTGCTCTCAGGAAGAATTGTGACATCATTGGATCCAGTACTTAGGTGACGTTACATTCATGCTTGCCCCATGCCCACACACATCCTTGTGACATATTATGTTGTCCATCACTGAGGTGATATAACTTTCCTCTCTGAAACGGGCCCTGCACACAGGGCAGGAGAGTGACATATTCATAAGCCAGGCACACAGGTAATGATACTTTTCTTTGCCAGGGCCATGCACAAAAGATAAGATTATGACATGTTACAGGGCCTATTGTATAGGTGATATGGCTCTCCTGCTTGAAAACTGCCCACTGGAATAGTGACATATTGCTAGACCAGGTGACAAAGGTGATTGTACTCTTTTGCCAAGACCATGGTTTCAGGAAGGTTATGTGACATATATCTGGGCCTATCACCTAGGTGATGTGAATTCCTTCATAGGCTGCCCACATGGAGCATTGTAACATAAGGGTGGAACCTGTTCCTAGGTGATGTAACTCTCTTGCCTAGGTCCTTTTCTAAGGGGGATTTGTGAATATCTCAGGACCCAGGACCAGGTGATGTGATTCTTCAGCCTGGCTTCTTCCCACATACTAAATTGTGACCTATACCTAAAGAAGCACCTAGGTGATACGACTCACTTTTTTTGCCTGAGCCCTGCCTACAAATGACTTTGGGTCATATCATTGAGCCCATGACCTAAGTAATTTGACTCACTTCTTCTGTCTGTAGTTTTACAGTGGGAGAATTGTGATGTATTGAGAAGCCCCGTACTTAGGTTGTGTGACTCTCATGTTCTTGCTAAAGAGTGCCCATGAACAGGGCTTTTGCTGTATATCAGGACCCAACACCCAGATAATATTACTCTTCTGCCTAGCTCATGGATAAAGAGGGAATTGTGGCATATTGCTTGGCCCAGGACCCTAAGAATATGACTCTTCTGTCCATGCCAGGGCCACAGAAGGTATTTTGACATGTCTTTTGCTCATTCTGTAGGTACTTTGGCACTAACCAGTTTGCTGGGTTTCTTCCACGTATTTTTGTGTCACATTGTGGGTTCCAGCCCCCGGTTAATGTGACCCCATTTCTTAGGCTCTGCCTAGGGAGGGCACTATGATATATTGCTTGGCACAACACCTAAATGGTGTTAACCTTCTGCCTAGTTTTTTGCCCACAAATGGGATTATGACATACACTTTGCTTCAGCTCCAAGGCATGATGATCAAGCTTATTGTGGGATTAAGCCAATAGGGGACATTTTACCTTTTACCCCTAGGTTTAGGTCAATAGTTAAGGACCTTCATTTCATATTTGTTCAAAGATCACAGAATTTTACAACATTAACTCATATCCTACATTCACAAAGCTTATTGCTGAAGTCCTGAATTGATCAAGTCAATAGAACCGAAAGTTTGAATTGTGACTCTCATAAGTGAATCTGACTACAGGTGAAATGGTGGATCATTTCTACACCCATCTCACAGGCCTAATAATGGTCTCAACCCTGATGCCAGCCTGTAGGAGACATGTTGCCTGACATACCTCAGTTTAGGGCAATATGTAAGATTATGAGTCCATATAAACATGTAGCCCACAGAAAGTTTTGCAACACTCATGCCTGTTGCGTAAAGTTTTCAGATGTTGTAGAGAGTATCATACAATGGCAAGCACACTTGGGAGATTGTGACTGTCATATACACAACTAGATAACAGTTTATGATGTCATGCTTAAAGATGAGGAGATTATGCCACATCCCTTGGCTTAGTATACCGGTATTGAGACTTTTTGGTTTAAATTCTTTTCCATGAGGTCATTGTTACATATCACTGGATCAGAACCATGACAATGTGACTCTTCTATCTTGGCCCTGCAAAGAGCAGATATTTTCACATATCTCTGCATCTATTGGCTAAGTGACATTTCCCTCCTGCCAGTGCCCTGCCCACAGGGGACACTGTGACATATTGCTACATATAGCATCTAGGTAATGTGACCCTCCTCTCCTGGATGGATCCTGTTGACTGAAGAAATTGTGACATACCACTGAGCACAAAGTCTAGGTGACATGGCTCTCTTCTTTGTTGTGTACTCTGCCAAAAGAGGGAATTATTACATATTATTGAGCCCAGCATGCTCGTGGTCTAATTCTTTTTTTTTTTTTTTTTCTTTGAAGATGTCTACATTGGGCATGGTGACATATTACTTGAGGCTATACCCAGGTGATGTGGCTCTTCTTCCTGGTTTCTGCCCACATGTTAGATTGTGACATATAACTAGAGAAGAATATAAGTGATATAACTCTTCTTTTCTACCTGAGCCCTGCATACAGGGGCACCGGGATGTTTCTCTGAGCCCATGACCTAAGTGAAGTGACTCTCTTCTCCTGCCTGGTCTTTACAATGAGAGGATGGTGACATTGGTGACATATGGCTGAGCCCAGCACTCGGGTTATTAGACAAACAAAGATTTTGACCTATTGCAGGGCCAAGCATGCAGATAACATTACTCTTTTGCCTGGGTCCTGCACATATGAGGGATTATGGCATATTTCTGGGCCCAGCACCCTAATAATGTGACTCTCATGGCTGACCCAAAGCCACAGAAGGTATTGTGATATATCCTGGGCCCATTCTGTTGGAATTTTGGCTTTCATTTCTAGGTTGTCTTTTTCCACATATGGGATTTTGTCATATTGCAGTTCCAACACCCAGTTAATGTTACTCTAATCCCTATACCCTTCTTAGAGAGGACATTGTGACATGATGCTTGTCACAGCACCCAAGTGATGTTACCTTCCTGACTCACTTTTTGACCACAAATGGGACTATGTCCTACACCTTACTTCAGTTCACAGGCATGATGGTCAAACTCATGCTGGGATTCAGCCAGTAGGATACATTTTGCCATTCATTACTAGGCTTAGGGAAATAGATGAGGTCCTGGGTTTCATATTTGCATCAAACTCAAAAACTTTACACTAACTCATAATGTATACATTTCTTGGGTTGTAAAGAGAGTTTTATGAAAGAGATCATCAAAAGTTTAGATTAGGACTCTCCGTTAGACACCCAGGTGAAAGCAAATGTCGTCACCATCCCACATGTACAAAGCCCACTATTAAGTTCCTAAGTCTAAAAGTGAATAGAGAACAAAATTGGAGTTGTGATCTTCATATGTTGATCTGGCCTCAAATGGGAGGGTGACTCACTTCTGGATCCAGCTTACAGGCAAAATAAGGGGTCTCATCCCTGAACCTAGCCTACAGAAGATATGTTGACTATCGTATCTGGGTTTATGGCAGTATATAAGATAATGAATCCATACAAGCATGTTGGCCTCAGAGTGGTTTGCAACTCTCACGAATGCTGTATAAAGCCTTTGAAAGTTGTAGAGTGTGATACAATGATCCAGGAAACACATGAGATTGTGTTTCTCATATTCACACCCAGCTCACAGTGAATCATGTCACTCTGAAAGACAAGGAGTTCTGGCATATTACGAAGCCTGTTACCAAGATGTTGAGACTTTTTGGCTTAAATTCCTTCCCATGGATTCACTGTGACATATCACTGGGTTAGAATCATAATAATGTGACTCTTCTGCCTTGACGCTGCCAAGAGGGAATATTATCACATATCTCTGGGTCTATAAGCTAGGTGATTTGTCTCTTCTTTTTGTGCCCTGTCCCCAGGGGACATTGTGAAATATCGGTTTACATAATATTTAGAAAATGTGACTATCCTCTCCTGCCTGGGCCCTGCTCACCATAGAAGTTGTGACATACCGCTGATTGCAAAATCTAGGAGATGTAGCTCTCCTTCATATTCTAGACTCTTCCAAAAGAAGGATTATTACATATTGCCGAGCTCAGCATCTAGGTGGTGGAACACTCCTCTTTTTCTTCTTTCCTGTCTTTAGTGGGCTTGGTGACATACTGTTTGAGGCTGTACCCAGGTGATGTGACTCTTCTGACTAGGCCCAGCCAAAAAATGAGTATATACTGTATCACTGGCTCAGCACTCAGGTGATGTGATGTTACCCTTCTGATTAGCCCCAGACTACAAACAAGATTATACTATATAACTGGCTCAGCACCCAACTGATGTGACTCTCCTGGCATTTTTTCTGCTCACAGATCCAGCTGTGACATGTACCTTGTTTAAGCACACATGCACAATAATAATTCTCATACCTGGACCCATCCAGTAGAGATAACTGACTCTCACAGCCAGTCTCACAGCCATTGGTAAAGTCCTGGGCTTTTCACTTGTATAAATTTCACGAAGGATTATAACACTCAGGTATATCACATAAAGCCTTAATGATACAAAGAGTGTAATAACAGAAAGCAGCAATGAGGTGAGAACACTTGTATGTACACCTAGCTGACACGATTGACATTCTCCCACATGAACAGGGCCTAGGAATGAGGTAATAAATCATGCACATAAAAAGCAGTCAAAGATTGAAATAATTACTCTTATACATGGATCTGATTCACAGGTGGTTTGGTAACATACGAACCATGATTCAACACACCTGTAGTGCTGACTCCCCTACTGGAAAACCATCTTCAAGTGAGATTGGGGCTCTTATACATGAATCTTGCTCGTTGCTGAGATTGTAACTCCTCTGCTTCAACCCAACTCACAGAATAATTGAATCACTTACACAAAAGAAATACTTGTGTGGGATGTGGAACTTATTTCCAAATCTTTCTGAGAATATAAAAGGGAGAGGTAACTTTGCCTAGCACATGAATCGTCTGACTCTCTTTTCTAATCCCAGACTAGATTTTGCCATATGTGAAACAAGCACCTAAGAAACATATAATAGTTTCCAGAACTCCCACTGCAAAGGTCACTTTTATATATCACTGGGACAATCACCTAAGTGATGTAAATTATCTGCTGAAAACTGCCTACAAGAATTGTGTCTTAAATCTAGGTACATCACATAAGTGTAGTGAGTCCCTTCTACTGTCTTGGCCCTGCACTTACACTGAAATGTGACACATAACTGGGTGCTGCACCCATGTGACATGATTCTCCTTTTTGAGCTCTGCTAACAGGAAGCATTGGAACATATCACTTGGCTCAGCACCTAGGTGATGTTTCTTCATATTTTCTCTGGGCCCTGACCATGGGGAAATTGTGACATATTGCTGCACCCAGCACTAAGTTGTGGTCACTCTACAGCCTTGGTCTTGCACATGAGGGTCATTGTGACATATATCTGCACCAGTTGCCTAGGCTAAGTGGTTCTCCTCTCTTGCCAAAGTTCTGCCCACATAGTGAGTTTTGATATGTCACTGCAAGCAGCATGCAGGTGATGTGGCTTTTCTGCCAGGGTCCTGCCCGCAAAGTGTATTGTGACATTTTACTGGACCCGCACACACATAGCTGATGTGACTTTCTTGGCTACTCTCTGGCCACAGGTTACATTCTTGTCTGCAGCATGCCCACAAAAATTATTGTGACATATTTCTGTGTCCACCTCATAGGTGATGTAACTTTCCTCTCTGGAATGGGCCCTGCTCAAAGAAAAGGTAGTGACATGATTCAAGACTGAGAACACAGGTGAGGCTACTCTTTTGCCAAAGCCATGCCCAAAGGAGAGGATTCTGATGTATCTCTGGTTATGTGGCTCTCCTGCTTGGGTATTGCCAACCTGGAGCGTGACATGTTTCTAGGCCAGGCACACAGGTGATGGTACTCTTTTGCCAGGGCCATGCCTCATAGAGGACTTTGTGACATATCTCTGGCCCTATCACCTAGGTGTAGTCCATTCCTCCTTAGGCACTACCCACATGGAGCATTGTGGCATAGGCAGAGAACCTGCATGTAGGTGACGTAACTCCATTGTCTGGCAGCTGTTCTAAGAGAGCCTTGTGAAATATCTCAGCATGCAGAACCCAAGCTATGTGGCTCTCCTGTCTGTTTTCTGCCCACATGTAACATTGTGATATATTCCTCAGGAAGCACCTAGGTGATATGAATCTCCTTGACTGCCTGAGCCCTGCCTACTGGGGTCATTGGGATATATCTCTGAGCCCATGACCAAAGTCATATGGCTCTCTTGTACCAGGGCCTTTAAAATGGTGGGATTGTGACATGTTTCTGAGCCCAACATTTACATCATGTGACTCTACTCTTTTTTCTGAACCGTGACCGCAAAGAAATTTTGACCTATTGCACTCAGATGATGTTATTTTTCTGCCAGAGTCCTGAATAAAGATAAAATTATTGCAGATGGTCAGCTGAGCACCCTGATGATGGTACTGTCCTATCTGTGCCAGAGCCACAGAGAGTATTTTTGACATGTCTTCGGCTTTTTCTGTAGGAGTTTTGGCTCTTATCCCTTGGCTAATATTTTTCACATGTGGAATTCTGTAATATTGCTGGGCGCAGCACCCAGTTAATGTAACACTCCTTCCTAGGTTCTGCCTAGAGAGGGCATTGTGACATGTCGATTGCCATATCGCCTATGTGATGTTACTCTTTTTCCTAATTTTTTGCCCACAAATGGTATTATGACATATACCTTGCTACAGCTTACAGGTATGATGGTCTCTTATATTAGGATTCAGGCAATAGAAGATATTTTGCCTCTCATCGCTAGGCTTAGGGCAACATATAAAATTCTGGGTTGGAAATTTCTTCAAAGCTCACAGAAGTTTACAACACAAATTTGTCTTGTATAAACTACTTGGGTGATACAGGGTTTCATAACAAGGCCCAGCAAAGAGTTAAGATTGTGACTGTCAATTACACACCTAGGTGAAAGTAAAAGTCGTCACTATCCCACATTTACAAAGCCCACCGTTGATGTACTGAGTCTAACAAGTGAAAAGAATATAAAGATAAAATTGTGGCTCTCATATATGGATCTGGCCACATGTGCGATTGTGACTCATTTTTGACCAAGCTCACAGACATTCCTGACATCAGCCTAAATAAGAGATGTTGGCTATCATACCTGTGCTTAAGGCAATATATAAGACTGTGATTTCATATAAGCATGTGGGCCTCAGAGTAGTTTGCAACTCTCACGCATGCTATATAAAGCCCTCAGACATTACAGAGGGTGTCATAGCATGGCCCAGCACACACGTGACATTGTGACTCATATACACACCAAGCTAACAGTTAAAGGTGTCACTCTCAAAGATGAGGAGATTGTGTCTTATCGCTGGTCCTAGTACCCAGGTGTTAAAACCTTTGCATAAATTGTTTCCCTTGTTTGCATTGTGATATATCCTGGGTTCAGAATCATAATAATGTGACTGCTCTACCTGGGCCCTGCCAAAAATGTATATTATCACAGATCTCTGAGCCTATCAGCTAGGTAATTTGTCTATTTTGCCCATGCTTTACCCTCAAGGAACATTATGACATATCTTGAAGTAACATCTGGAAGTGTGACGCTCGTCTCCTACCTGGGTCCTGACCGCAGAATGAATTGTGACATACGACGGAGTACAAAACCTAGGTAATGCAACTCTCCTCCTTGTTCCAGAGTCAGCCAAAAGAGGTAATTACTACATATTGCTGAGCTCAGCACCTAGGTGGTGTGACTCTCCTTTTTTTCTTCAAACCTGTCTACAGTGGACATGATGCCGTAGTACTTGATACGGTACCCAGGTGATGTGACTCTTCTGACTTGGCCCTGCCTTTGAAGGAGTTTATAATGTATCCTGAGCTCAGAATCCAGGTGATGAGACTCTCCCACCTTGCTTCTGCTCACAGGTTAAATTGTGACATATAACTGGGTTCAGCTCACATGCACAAATAAAATTGTCATACCTAGAACCAGAAAGGAGAGATTTTTTGACTCCTATAGCCAGTCTTATGGCCACAAGTAAAGTACTGGGTCTCCTAATGGTATAAAGTTCACAGAGGATTATGACACTCTGGCATATTATATAAAGCCTGAGTGGTAAAAACAGTGTTATAACAGGGAACAGGAAGGAAGTATCATTGTGACTCTTGAATGCACAGCCAGCTGACCCGGTAGTCATTCTCTCACAAGAACAGGGCCTGCAAATAAGGCATTAAACCTCACAAAGAGAGCAGTCAAAAGTTAAAATTGCTCCTCTTCTATATGGGTAGTTTGGTGATGCACGATTGAGCACATCTGTGAGGCTGTGACTCCTCTGCTGGAACACATTCTTCAAGTGGAATTGGGCATCTTATACATGAAGCTTGCCCACTGTTGAGACTGTGACTCCTCTGCTTTGACCCAACTCACAGGAAGTGTTGACTCACATACAAAAATCCAGAACTTGTGTGGGACTGTGAAACTTATTTCTAAATATTTACTATCATGTGGTCAGGACATAAAAGTTAGCTGATCCCCTGAACAATTTGACGACCAAACACCTAAGTATAGATGCCTGGGTGTGCATACAAAGGGCAATTTTACATATTACAGGGATCAGCACCCATGTGATGTGAAATATTTGCCTTATCCCTGCCTATAAAAGACTTTGTGGCTTATATCTAAGTTCATCATGTAAGTGATGTGACTGCTTTCTACTGCCTTGGCCCTGCACTTATAGTGCATTGTGACACATAACTGGATACTGCACCCAGGTGATGTGACTCTGCATTTTGGGTTCTGCCAACAGAAAGCTTTGTAACATATCACTTAATTCAGCACCTAGGTGATGTTTCTCCTTTCTTGTATCACCCTGACCGAAGGGGAGATTGTAACATTGCTAAACCCAGCACCAGGTGAGATCACTTTTATACCTTGGTTTTGCACATAGCGGCCAGTGTGACATATGTCTAAGCCAATTGCCTAGGTAAAGAGGGTCTCCTCACTTACCTAAGCCCTGCCCACATGGGGGATTTTGATATATCACTGCAACCAGCATCCAAGTGATGTGACACTCTTTCCAAGGCCCTGCTTACAAGAAAGATGACTACATCTCACTGGACCAGCACCCACCCAGGTGATGTGACCTTCCTCCTTGCTCTCTGTTTACAGGTGATATTGTGCCATATACCTGAGACCAGACAAAAGGACTAATCACGACTCTTAAATCTGGACCCAGGTCATATGCAAGATGGTTATTCCCATTCCTGGAACTTTCAACCAGTGTTATTGTTATATATACTTTTGCCTAGCTCCTGAGTGATTTAATAATCCTGCCTAGGTGTAGCCCACAAATGAGATTTGGAAATATACCTCGGGTGATCACCTTGGTGATTTGACTCTCCTGTCTTAACAATATCCTAAGGAAAGATTGTAACATGTCTCTGGACCCACCATCTAGTTACCTGACTCTCCTCTCCTGCCTGGACCCTGCTTCCACTGGGGATTATAGCTTTTCTAAGCACTGCATCTAAATGATATGACTCTCTTGCCTGGTCCTTTCAATGGGACACATTGTGAAATATCTCTGGGCCTATTATTTAGGTGGTATGAGACTCCTCTTCTGTCTAGACACTGCCCACAAGGGGCATTATGCCATACATCTGGGTGTAACACCCACGTTACAAAACTTTTCTGCAAGGAACTTGTCTACAAGAAAAATAATGGAAAATTTCTGGTTCAGCATTTAGATGACTTAGCTGTCATGCCTATTTCATTACCACAGAGTAAATTGTGACCTATACATAGGCACAACTTACAGGTATAATGACTCTTTTATGTAGACCCCACAAATAAAAATAACTTTGACATTTCTAACTTACTTTAGAAACACGAGTAAATTATCTGGTCGTGGTGGCTCAGGCCTGTAATTCCAGCACTTTGGGAGGGTGATTCAGGTGGATCACAAGGTCAAAAGATCGAGACCATGCTGACCAACATGGTGAAACACCATCTCTGCTAAAACTACAAACAGTAGCTGGGTGTGGTGGTGTGCGACTGGAGTCCAAATTAGTCAGGAGGCTGAGGCAGATGAATTGCTTGAACCCAGGAGGTGGAGGTTGCAGTGAGCAGAGATTGCAGCACTGCACTCCAGCCTGGGTGACAGAGCCAGACTCTGTCTCAACAACAACAAAAACAACAACAAAAACAAGAGTGAATAAATCTCATAAATCTCTTTCTGGTAAAAAAGAAAAAAAAAAGGTCAAAGAAGATTATAACACCCTCAGATATTTTATAATGCCCTTGGCTTGTACAGAGAGTGTAAAAACACTATTCAGCAGAAAGGTGAAATTGTGAGTCTCATATACACACCCAGCTGACAGTAAATACTGTCACTGTCTGAAATATGTGAAGCCAGCTCTCACTCATGAAAACAAGACATGTGTGGTAGTGTAAATCTCATTTCAGGAATTTTCTCCCAGTGTCATTTTGAAAAAACATCCTTGCTGACCATCTGTGTGACTTGACTCTCCAGACTGGTTCCAGCCTGAGGTTGTTATTGTGATTTCTACCTGGTCCAACATCTAGGTGATGTGACTCTCCTGCCTGGGTCCTGCTCTCGGTAAGGGTCATGACATATCACTAGGTCCACCACCCAAGTCATGTTAAATTTTTGCCTGTGCCATTCCCACAGACATCATTGTGACATATCACTGTCTCGTATGTCATACAACCACTTAGGTGATGTAACTCTCCTCATGACAATGGGCCCTGCACACAGTGGGGGATAGTATCATATGGCTGGGTCAGGCACGTAGATGACAGTAATCTTTTATTAGAGCCGTGTCCTAATGAGGGCATTGTGACAAATCTCTGGTACTATCACTTAGGTGATTTTGCTCTCCTGCCTGGGCCCTGCTTACCTTGATAGTGACACATTACTAGGCTAGGCAAACAGGTGATGGTACTCTTTTGCCCGAGCCATGCCTTAAGAAGGATATCGTAACATATCTCTGGCCTATTACCTAGGTGATCTGACTATCTTTTTGAGCCCTGCCCACGTGGAGCATTGTGACATAATGGTACAACCCGCACCTATTTGTTATAACACTCTTGCATGGGTGCTGTCTTAAGGGAGGCTTGTGTGATATATCTCAAGAGCCCACATCAAGGCGATGTGGCTCTTTTGCCAGCTTTCACCTCATATGTTAGATTGTGTTATATACCTAGGGAAGCCCCTATGTGATATGACTCTACCCTTCTGCCTGAGCCCTCCTTACTTGAGACATTGGGTCATATATCTGAGCCTGTGTCTTAAGTGATGTGAATCTTTTCTTCTGCCTGAGTCTTTGCAATGGGGTGATTTGACATACTGCTAAGCCCAATACTTAGGTACTATGACTCTTTTTTCCCCAACCATGCCCAAGAAAAAGATTTTTGAGGTATTGCAGGGCCCAGCACCCAGATAATCTTTCAATTCTACCTGGGTTCTGCATAAAGAGATAATTATGGCATATTGCTGGGCCCCTCACCCTGATGATGTAACGCTCCTTCCTGTGCCAGAGCAACATAAAGTATTTTTACATATTATAGACCCATTCAGTAGGAGTTTTTGGTGTCATCATTTGTCTGGGTTCTTTTTTTTTTCCACATTTGGGATTGTGTCATATTGCTGGGTCCAGCCCCCATTTAATGGATCCCTCACTTCTATATCATGCCTAGAGAGGGCATTGTGACATATTGCTTGACACAGCACCTAAATTGTGCTACCCTCCTGCCAAGTTTTTTTTTCTACAAATGGGATTTTGAAATTTACCTTGCTTCATTTCAAAGGCATAATAATCAAACTTATATTGGGATTGCACCAATAGTAGACACTTTGCCTCTCATTGCTACACTTAGGGCAATAGGTAAGGTTATAAGTTGCATATTTGCATAAAGCTCACATATGACAACACTAATTCAAATTCTGTAAACTTTTTGGCTGGTACACAGAGTTTTATAACAGGGCCTAGCAAAAGGTTAAGATCGTGACTCTTGATTACACATGTCATGCAGGAGAGAGATGAAGATTTCATTATCCCACATTTAAAAAGACCACTGTTGAAGTCCTCAGTCTAACAAGTAAATAAAGTACAAAGATGGAATTGGGACTTTCATATGTGTGTGTTGCTACAGTTGAGATGGTGATTCAGTTCTGGACTCAGATCACAGACATAATAATGGGTCTCCTGTCTGAACCCAGCCTATAAGAGAGATGTTGTCTATCATAACTGAATTTAAAGCAATACATAAGATTGTGAGTCAACAGGAGCATGTAGGCCTCAGAATGGATTGCAAATCTCATGCATGTTACATAAAGCCTTTGAATATTGTAGAATGTGTCACACAATGACCCAGAACACGTTACATTGTGACACTTACATACATACCAGTAAAAAGTGTCACCCAAAAAGATAAGGAGATTGTGTCATATCACTATGCCTGGTAACCCTAGGTGTTGAGATTAGTGGCTTAAATTCTTGACCATAGGTGGATTTTGAAATATCGCCGGGTTAGGATCATAATAATGTGTACTCTTGTTCTTGGACCTAGCAAACAGGAAATATTATCACATATCTCTAGTCCTGTTTGCTAGGTGATGTGTCTCTCCTGCCAGTGTCTTGCCCACAGGGAACACTATGACATACCACTAGATATAGCATCAAGGTAATGTGACTCACCTCTTCTGCCTGGATCCTGCCCACTGATGAAATTGTGACATACCCCTGAGTGCAAAACACAGGTGATGTGACTCTCCCCTTTGTCCTGGACTCTGTTAAGAGCAGCGATTATATCATATTGCTGAGCCCAGCACGTAGAGGATGTAACTATCCACTATTTTTTCAACCCTGTATGCAGTTGTCAAGATGACATATTATTTGAGATTGTACCCAGTGATATGACCCATGTCACTGGCTCCTTACCACAGAGGAGATTATAGTGTATCCATGGCTCAGTATGCAAATGATGTGACTCTTATGCCTTGTTTCTGTCCAAAGGGAAAATTGTGATACATACCAGAAATCAGCACACTTGCACAATAATAACTCTCATACATGAACCCAGCCAGGGGGAATATTTTAACTCTCATAGTCTGTCTTACAGCCACGGATAAATTCCAAATCTCCCACCTATAAGAAATCACAGAAAAGTAGCCTAGTCAGGCATATCATATAAATCCTGAGTGGTACAAAGGGTGTCATAACAGGCACCAGTGACCACGTGCTATTGTGACTCTTGGACGCACACCCAGCTGGCATGTTTGTTATAAACAGGGCCTATGAATGATTTACTAAATCTCCCTCCCATAAGCAGCTGAAGCTAGAAATTGTTACCTTATATATGAATCAGATCCATAGGTGGTTTGGCGATGTTTGAACCACAACTCAGCAGACCTTTGGTGATTTGACTCTTATCCTGACACACAATCTTCAAGTGGGATTGGGGCTCTTATACATGCATCTTGCCCATTGTTGATATTGTGACTCCTGTACTTTGACCCAGTCATAGGAGATGTTGAGTCTCATGCATGAAGCTCAGACTTGTGTGGGACTGTGAAACTGATTTCTGAACACTTTTTAGTGTGTGAATGAGAAGTGTGACTTTGCCCAGCATCTGAGTGTTTTGACTCTGCTTTCTAGGCCCAGAGCAGAGTTGAAATTGTGACATACATGCAACAAGCAACATATAACACCTTTAGCAACGTGACAGGGGGCACTTTTACATGACACTGAAACCAGCATTCAGCTGATGTAAAATCTTGGCCTGAGCCCTGCCTGCAGACAGCACTGTGGCTTTTTTCTAGGTCCATCACATAAGTGATATGACTTCTTTCTACTGCCTTGGCACTGCACTTATGGTGCATTGTGACACATAACTGGGTACTGCACTCAGGTAATGTGACTCATTTTCCTGTGGCGCTCTGCCAATAGGAAGCTTTGTAACATAACACTTGGTTCAGCACCTCAGTGATGTTTCTTCTCTCTTGCCTGAGCTCTAACCACTAGAGAGATTATGAAATGTTGCTGAACCCAGCACCAAAGTGAGGACACGCTCCTGCCTTGGTCCTGCACATAGGGGCTATTGTGACATATCTCCAGGCCAATTGCTTAGGTGAATTTTGTCTCCTTTCCAGCCTAAGCTCTGTCCTTAGGGTGGATTTTCATATATCACTTAAACCAGCATCCAGGTGATGTGACTCTTTTCCAGGAGTCTTGCCCACAAGGAGGATTGTGACATTTCACTGGACCAGCACCCACTGAAGTGATGTGACTTTCCTTTCTTCTCCTTGCCCACAGGTGAAATTATGCCATATACCTGAGACAGATCAAAGGAATAATAACAACTTTATACCTGGAGCCAGGATGTGCAGAATGGTGACTCTCATTCCTGAACATTTCCACCAGTGCTATTGTGACATACACCTTGGTCCAGCTCCTCAGTGATTTAATAATCCTGCCTAATTATAGCCTGCATATGACATTTTGACATATACCTGGACCTAGAACCTTGGTGATTTGACTCTCCTGTTGTAGAGGGTCCTCAGAAAAAACTATAACATATCTATGGGCCCATCATCTAGGTAATGTGATGTTCCCCATTTGTCTGAACCTCCTTTCAGTGAAGAGTGTGGCATTTCTAAACACTGCATCCAAATGACATGACTCTCTTGCCTGGGCCATTTCAACAGGAGGCCTTGTGACATATCTCTGAGCCCATCATTTTGGTGATATGACTCTCCTCACCTGCCTGGACATTGTCCACAAGAGGCATTATGCGATAGAGCTGGGACTGGCACCAAAGTTTTCTGACTTTTCGGTTAGTGCCCTGCTGACAAAGAGAACGTTGTAATACTTCTGGCTTAGAATGTAGGTGATGTGTTTGTTCTATCTCTTTTATAACCAAAGACGGGATGGTGACATATAACTAGGCACAGCTAATAGGCATGATAATGACTCTCTTATGTGGACCCAGCCAATAGAAGAAATGTTGCCTCTTATAACTAGGTTTAGGGACATGAGTGATGTAGAATCTCCTTCTGGTAAAAAGGTCACAGAAGATTGCAACACTCACACATATTTTTTAACACCCTTGTGTTGAATAGAGGGTGTCACAAAGCACCTAGCACACAGAATAAATTGTGAGTATTGTATGCACACCCAGCTGACAGCAAGGAATTTCACCATCACAGGTGGATGAAGGCATCTGTCCTACATGAAAACAGGACATGTGTGGTATTCTAAATCTAATCCCCAGAATTTTATTTCTTCAAGACTGTGATATAAATCTTTGCCAGTTACCGGTGTGATTTCACTCTTCAGACTGGTTCAAGCCTACATATGGCATTTTGATATTTACCTGGGCCAACCTTGACATGATGTTACACTTCTGCCTGGGCCCTGCTCTCAGTAAGAATTGTAACATCACTGGATCCAGCATCCAGGTGATGTTACATTCTTGCCTGTACCATGACACACACGTTATTGTGACATATTACTGTGTCCATCACTTAAAAGAAGTAACTCTCCTCTCTAGAATGGGCCCTGCACACAGGGCAGGATAGTGACGTACTCCTAGGAGTGGCACAGAGGTGATGATACTATTTTGACAGGGCCACGCCCCAAAGAGGGCATTTTGAAATATTGCAGGGCCTATCATAGAGATAATATGTCTCTTCTGCTTGGGACCTGCACACTTGAATAGTGACATATTGCTAGGCCACACACAAAGGTGATGGTACTCTTTTGCCAGGGACATGCTTTAAGGAAAGCTTTGTGACATATTTCTATGCCTATCACCTAGGTGATGTGACTTCCTGCTTGGCCCTGCCCACATGGAACATTGTGACATATATGTGGGACCTGCACCCAGGTGATGTAACTCTCTTGACTGGGACCTTTTCTAAGGAGGGCTTGCAAATGTCTCAGGACCCAGGACCGTGTGATGTGGCACTTCAGCCTGGATTCTGCCCACCTATTAAATTGTCTAGGTATGTGAAATATACCTAAACAATTGACATATTGTGACATATTGAGCCCACCACTTAGGTAATGTGACTCTCGACTGGTTGCCGAACAACGCCCATGAACAGGCCTTTTGCCATATTTTAGGGCTCAGCACCCAGATGATGTTACTCTTCTGCCTAGGTCGTGCATAAAGAGGGAATTATGGCATACTGTTTGGCCCAGCACCGTAATGATGTGACTCTCCTCCCTGTGCCAGAGCCACAGAAAGTATGTTGACATATCTTTGGCCAAATCTGTAGGTATTCTGGCTCTCATCACTTTGCTTGCTTTCTTCCATGTGTGGTTTTATCATATTACAAAGCTCCATCCCCCAGTTAATGTGACCCTCTTTACTAGCCCCTGCCTAATGAGGGCGTCATGATATATTACTTCACACAGAACCTAGGTGATGTTAAACTTCTGCCTAGGTTTTGCCCCCACAAAAATTGGATTATGACATATACCTTGCTTCAGTTCAAAGGCATGATGATCAAGCTTATATTCAGCCAATAGGACATATTTTTCCTCTCATCACTAGGTTTAGGTCAATAGGTAAGTTCTTTCATTGGATATTTGTACAAAGCTCACAGAAGTTTACAGTATTAACTCGTATCATAAATACTTCTTGTGTGGTACAGGGAGTTTCATAACAGGGCTCATCAAAATATTAAGATTGTGACTCTCAACTACACATTGAGGTGAAAGTAAAAGTTGTGACCATGCTATATTTACAAAACTCATTGTTGAGGTCCTCAGTCTAACAAGTGAATACAGTACAAAATTGGAATTGTAATTTTCGTAAGTGAATCTGGCCACAGGTGGGATGGTGACTCATTTCTGGAGCCAGCTCACAGGCATAATAATGGTCTCATTCCTGAAGCCAGCATATAAGACAGATGTGGACTGTCATACCTTGGTTTAGGAAAATATCTAATATTGTGAGTCCATAGAAGCATGTAGGCCTCAGAGTGGTTTGCAATGCTCATGCATGCTGTTTAAGGCCTTCAAATGTTGTAGAGGGTCATACAGTGGCCCAGGAAACATGTGAGATTGTGACTATCAGATACACAACCAGCTCACAGTTAATGGTGTCACCCTCAAAGACAAAGAGATTTGGCATATTGCTAGGCAGAGTACCAAGGTGTTGAGACATTTTGGCTTAAATTTCTTCCCATGGGTTCATTGTGACATATCGCTGGGTTAGAATTCATAAAAATGTGACTCTTTTGCTTGGACCCTGCCAAAAGAGGATAGTATCACATATCTCTGGACCTATAATCTTGGTGATTTGTCTCTTCTGCCTGTGCCCTGCCCCCAGAGGACATTGTAAAATATCATTTGGCTTAACATCTAGGTCATACTACCTACCTCTCCTGTCTGGGTTCTGCTCACCAAGTAAATTGTAACATACTGCTGATTACAAAACCTAGGGAATATGACTCTCCTTCATATTCCTTGTTAAGAGAGGGGATTATTACATATTGCAGAGTGCAGCACCTAGGTTGAGTGACTCTTCTCTTTTTCTGTCAATCTCCGGATTAATGACATACTATTTCAGTCTGTATCCAGCTGATGTGACTTCAGACTATGCCCAGCCTACAAATGTGATTATACTGTGTAATTGGCTAAGCATCCAGGTGATGTGACTCTTCTGGCTTCTTCCTGCTCATAGGTGGAATTGTGACAAATGCCTGGGTTAAGCAATCCTGCACAATAATAACTCTCATACCTGGACAGAGCCAGTATGTTGTGATTCACTCAGGTTTGTGGCAGAAATATTAAAAGGAAATACTGGGGAACGTAATAAGGAAGAGTCACAAAGCTTTGGAAGGCTGAAAAGTTACATAGCTTGTAATAATTGGACAGGCTTAAGGTGGCCAGTTCTTACTTGAGAATATTAGGTCATAGGGTAAAATGAGGGACAATATAGGCTTCCCCAGTTAAGTCTGTTTATTTTACCTCCATTAACCAGTCTTTGAACCAGATAGCTCTCTCAGTGGGGAGCTCGACCAGGAAAGTTGCCCCCTAATAGTATTTATTTTAGACCATGGTACCTGACCTTAATCATTTGTAGAACTACTTTCTTAACCATGTTAATTATCCACAATTGTGTTTACTCAAAGCTTCTGTTGTTAATTCTATATTGAAGAAATGCCTGGATTGCAAGCTGCTTAGTGCCAAGTTTGTCATTCTTCACAGGACTCTCCTCAGAGTCTGAGTGGCCTGGGAGCCTCAGCTGGACTGGCAAAGCAAAATATCTGTGTCATTCTCACACATGCACAATTGTCATTCTCACACATGCACAGGGCCTACTAATGTAGCCCTTGAATCTCACACATAAAGAAGCACTCAAAAGCTGAAATAATTACTCTCATAAAGGAATCTGATTCACAGGTGGTTTGGTAACATATGAACCATGATTCAGCACACTGCGGTGATGTGACTCACCAACTGAAACACAATCTGCAAGTGAGAATGGGCTGTCATATATGAATCTGGCTGATTGTTGAGATTGTGACTCCTCTGCTTTGACCCGGCACATAGATAGTGTTTACTCACATACAGGAAACCAGGACTTTGGTGAGACGTGAAACTTATTTTCAAACCTTTTTGAGAGTGTGATTGGGACAGGTAACTTTGCACAGCACATGAATAATTTGGATCTCTTTTATACACCCAGATCACAGAAGAAATTGTGCCATATGTCGAACAAGCATCTGAGCAATATGTAACACATCCCTTGGCTCTTTCTATGAAGGGCACTATTACATATCACTGGGACCATTACCCAGATGATGCGAATTATCTGCCTGAAAACTGCCTACCAAGAGAATTGTGTCTTATATGTAGGTCCATTATGTAATTGATGTGACTCCCTTCTACTCCTTTGTCCCTGCATTTACAGTGCATTGTGACACATAACGGGTACTGCACGCAGGTGAAGTGATTCTTCTATTACGGTTCTGTCAACAGGATTTATGTGACATATTACTTGTTTTACCAGCTAGGTAATGTTTCTTTGCTTTTGCCTGGGCCCTGACCAAAGGGAGATTGTGACATATCGCTGGGCCCAGCACCAATGTGAGGTCACTCTCCAGCTTGGGTACTGCACGTGAGGGCCATTGTGATAAACATCCAGGACAATTGCCCAGGTGAAATGAGCATCCTCTTCTGCCAAAGTCCTGCCCACATAGGGAGTTTTCTAATGTCACTGATGTGAGCATCCAGGTGATGTAACACTTCTGCCAGGATCCTGCCTGCAAGGGGGACTGTGACATCTCACTGGACCCCCACCCACATAAGTGATGTAACTTTCTTTCCTTCTCTCTGGCCACAGGTGATATTGTGCTCTATAACTGAGGTCATAACAAAAGCCTAATATCAACTCATCTATCTGGAGCCAGAATATGTGCAGTATGATAAGTCTTATTCCTAAACCTTTCCACAAGTTTAACTGTGACATATACTTTTGCCCAGCTCCTGAGTGATTTAATAATTTTGCCTAGGTATAGCCCCAAAATGAGATTTTGACAAATATCTGTGCCAGCCACCTTGGTGATTTGACTGTGCTATCTTAACAGTCTCCTCAGAGGGAATGTCACATATTTCTGGACTCATCATCTAGGTTACATGACTCTCTTGTTTGGCCTGTACCCAGCTTCCTTTAGTAATTGTAGCATTTGTAAACACTGCATCTAAATGAGATGACGGTCTTTTCCGGATCCTGTCAACAGGAGGCATTGTGACATATTTCTGGGCACAGGTTTTAGGTAGTATCTCTCTCCTCTACTGCCTGGTCACTGCCCACAAATACATTGTGCCACAGAGATAAATCTAGCACACAAGTTTTGAGACATTTCTGAAAAGACCTTGCCTACAAAGAGAATATTGGAATGTTTTTTGCCCAGCCTTTAGGTGACATTGCTCTTCTGCCTGCTTCATAACCACAGAGGGAATTTTAAGATATACCTAGGCATGCCTATCAGGAATGACAATGACTCTTATATGTGGATTCAGCCAATAGAGGATATTTTGACTCTTATGACTAGGTTTAGGGAAATACATGGTGTCCTGAATCACCTTCTTGCACAAAGGTCACAAAAGATTACAACATTCACACATACTTTACAAAGTCCTTGGGTTATACAGAAGGAGTCAAAGCAGGTCTCGGAATGCAGGTAAAATTGTGAGTCTTGTGTGCACATCCAGCTGACAGTAGGACTGTTATCATCTCACGTGGATGAAGCCAACTGTCACACTCGAAAAAGGATGTGTGGGGTATTGTAAATCTCATATTTGGAATAGTTGGACAGTGTGATTGTGATATCAATCTTTGCCATGCACCTGTGTAGTTTGCCTCTCCAGGCTTGTTCCAGCATGTATATGGGATTCTGATATCTACCTAGGCCCCAATCTCAAGGTGATGTGACTCTTCTGCCTGGGCCATTCTCTAAGTAAGGATTGTAGTATATCACTGGATCTTGCCTCCGGGTGATGTTACATTGTTGCCTGCACCATGGCCACCACAATTATTGTGACATATGCCTGTGTCCACCTGACAGATGATGTAAGTCTCTTCTCTGGAATGTTCTCTGCACAGAGAAAGAATAGCGACATATTGCAAGGCCAGGCACAAAGGCATAGGTGCCTTTTGCCAGCGCCATGCCCAAAAAGGGCATTGTGACATATCTCTGAGCCTATCATCTAGGTTATGCTGCTCTCCCACTTGGGCCCTGCCAATCTGGAGACTGATATATTTCTAGGCCAAGCACACAGGTGATGTTACTCTTTTGCCTGGGCCATACTTCATAGAGGACATTGTCACATATCTCTAGGCCTATTACCTAGGTGAAGCGACTTGCTCCTTGGGCCCTACCCCTATGAAGCATTGTGGCATAAGCAGAGAACCTACTCTGAGGTGACGTAAGCCTCTTGCCTAGCTGACGTCCTAAGAGAGCCTCATGACATATCTCAGGACACAGCACCCAAATTATGTGGTTCTTCTGCCCGGTGTGCGTCCTTATGTTATGCTGTGACGTATTCCTAGGGAAGCACCTAGGTGATATGACTCTCCTAATCTGCCTGTGCCATGCCTAGAGGGGCTATTGGGACACATGTCTGAGACCAAGACTGAAGTGATGTGACTCTTTTTTTCTGCCTGGGCCTTCAAAATAAGGATATTGACTCATTGTTGGGCAGAGCACTCAGGATATGTGACTCTCCTCTTTTTCCCGAATGATGCCCACAGAAAGGAATTTTGACCTATTGCAGGGTCCAGCACCCAGGTGATATTACTCTTCTGCCTGGGTTCTGCATAAAAAGAAAATTATGGCATATTGCACATTGTTGAACCCAGTATTTTTAAAATTTGACTCCCTGCCTGTGCTGGAGTCAAATATTTTGATGTCTCTTGTGCCCATTAGGTAGGTGCTTTGGCTCTCATGTATGACATATACTTAGGTCCACTTCACAGGCATTATGACGAACTTTATATTGGGATTCACCCAATAAAAGATATTTTGCCTTTCATCATTAGGCTTAGTGCAATAGGTTAAATCCTGGGTTGCATATTTGTACCAAGCTCATAGAATCTTTCAACAATAACTTGCATTGTATAAACTCTTTGTTGGTAGAGAGTTGCATAACAGGGCCCAGCAAAAAGTTCAGATTATGACTCTCGCTTACACAACCAGTTGAAAATAAAAGTTGTCACCATTCCACATTTACAGTGCCCACTGTTGAGATCTTGAGTCTAACAAGGGAATACAGCGCAAAGTGTGAACTGTGACTTTTATATGTGGATCTGGCCACAGGGAAAATGGTGATTCATTTCTGGACCCAGCTCACAGGCTTAATCATAGGTCTTCCCCCTTAACCCTGTCTGCGGGAGAGATGTTGACTACCAAACCTAGGTTTAGGATAATATGTATGACTGTGAGTCCCTATGAGCATGTAGGCCTCAGAGAGGTTTGCAATTCTCACGCAGGTTTCATAAACCCCACGGGTATTTTACAGAGTGTAATATATTGGCCCAGCATACACATGAGATTGTGACACTAATATACATGGTCAGCCAAAATTTACAGGTGTTACCCTCAAAGATGAAGATATTGTGTCGTATCACTAGGCCTAGTGCCCAGGTTTTGATACTTTTTGCGTCAAATTCCTTTTCATGAATGCCTTGTTACATATCACTGGGACAGAATCATCATAATGTAATTCTTCTCCTGAGCCCTGCAAACAGTGGATGTTATCAAACATCTCTGTGTCTTTCAGCTAAGGAATATGTCTCTCCTGCCAATGTCTTGTCCACAGGGAACATTTTGACATATTGCTAGATATAGCATCTATGTAATATGACTCTACCCTCCTGACTGGATCCTTCCCATTGAAGAAGCTGTTGCAGAACACTGAGTGCAAAACCTAGGTGATATGACTCTCCTCTTTGTTATGGACTCTGCCAAAAGAGGGAAATGTAACATGCTATTGAGCCCAGCACCTAGGGGATGTGACTGTCCACTATTTATTCAATCCTGTATACGGTGGGCATATTGACATATTATTTGAGACTGTACCCACCTGATATGACTCTTATGACTGGGTCCTGCCTACAAGGAGATTATACTGTTTCCCTGATTCAGGACCCAGGTGATGTGACTCTTCTCTTGCCTCTGTCCAAAGGTGAAACTGTGACATAGACCTGGATTCAGCTCATATGCACAATAATAACTCTCATGCCTGGACCCAGCCAGGGGATTTATTTTGATTCCCTTAGACAGTCTGACTACCATGGTTAAATTCCTCAATCTCACATATGTAAGAATTCATAGAAAAGTACGCTACTCTGTCATATCACATAAAGTCTGAGTGGTACAAAGGATGTCATAACAGGCACCAGTGACCAGGTGCTATTGGGAGTCTTGGACACCCACCCAGCTGACACAGTTGTCATTCTCACACATGAACAAAGCCTACAAATCAGATATTAAATCTCACACACATAAGCAGTAGAAATTTTTCTTACTCTCATACATGAATCTGATCCACAGGTGGTTTGGTGACATTTGAAGCATGACTCAGCAGACCTGTGGTGCTTTGACTCTCCTACTGGAACGAAATCTTCAAGTGGGAGTGGGTTTTTTGTTATTGTTGTTGTTGTTGTTGTTTTGAGACAGAGTTTTTCTCTTATTGCCCAGACTGGTGTGCAGTGGTGCCATCTCAGCTCACTGCATCCTCCACTTCCTGGGTTCAAGTGATACTTCTGCCTCAGCCTCCTGAGTACCTGGGACTACAGGCACCTGCCACCATGCCCGGCTAATTTTTTCTGTGTTTAGTAGAGGCGGGGTTTCACCATGTTGGCCACTCCTGACCTCAGGTGATCCACCCACCTCGGCCTCCCAAAGTGCTGGGATTACAGGCATGAACCACAGTGCCTGGCCAGAGTTGGGGCTCTTATACATGGATCTTGCCCATTGTTGAGACTGTGACTCCTGTACTTCGACCAAACTGATAGGAGATGTTAACTCTCATACCTGAGGGCAGGACTAGTATGGGACTGTGAAACTTACTTCTGACCATTTTTGAGAGTGTGATTGAGAAATATGGCTTTGCCCAGCCTATGAGTGTTTTGCATCTCTTATCTAGGCCCAGAGGACAGTTGAAATTGTGACATACATTCGCCAAGCACCTAAGCAACGTATAACACCTTTTTGGGAATGCGACAGAGGGCACTTTTACATATCTCTGGGACCAGCGCCCAGCCGATGTAAAATCTTGGCCTGAAACACGGCTACAAAGAGCATTATGGCTTTTATCTAGCTCTGTCATGTAAGTGATGTCATTTCTTTCTACTGCCTTGGTCCTGCACTTATGGTGCCTAGTGACACATAACAGGATACTGCACCCAGGTGATGTGACTCATTTTTGGGTGGAGTTCTGCCAATAGAAAGATTTGTAACATATCACTTAGCTCAGCACCTAGGTGATGTTTTTTCTCTCTTGCCTGAGCCCTGACCACCAGAGAGATTGTAACATATTGCTGAACTCAGCACAAAGGTGAGGTCATTCTCCTGCATTTTCCTGCCCATAGGGACAGTTGTGACATATATCCAGGCGAATTGCCTAGGAGCAGTTTTTCTCCTCTCCTTCCTACGCCTGCCTTGTCCACAGAAGGAATTTAGATATATCACTGAAATCAGCATCCAGGCGATGTGAATCTTCTTCCAGAGTCCTCCCCACAAGAAGGATTGTGACATTTCACTGGACCAGCACCGACTCTGATGATGTGACTTTCCTTTCTTCTCCCTGCCCACAGGTGATATTGTGCCATATACTTGAGAGAAGATAAAAAAATTATAACAACAACTCCTGTACCTAGAGCCAGAACATTTGCAGGATGGTGACTCTCATCCCTGAACCTTTCCACAGGTGTTGTTGTGACATACACCTTTGCCAAGCTCCTGAGTGATTTAATAATCCTGCCTATTTATAGCCCAGAGATAACAGTTTGATATATACATTGGCCAAAAACCTTGGTGATTTGACTTCCCTGTCTTAGCAGTGTCCTCAGAAGGGATCGTAACAAATCTCTGGACCCATCATCTAGGGTATTTGACTTTTCTCTCCTGCATGAACCCTGCTTCCAGTGAAGAGTGTAGCATTTCTAAGCACTGCATTTAAATGACATGACCCTCTTGCCTGGGCCCTTTCAATAGGAGGCATTGTTACATTTCTCTGGGCCCATCATTTAGGTTATATGACTCTCCTCTCCTGTGTGGACACTCTCCAGCAAGGACATTATGCCAACGACCTGGGCCTATGACCAAATTTTGTGGCTTTTCTGTTATGGCCCTTCCTGCAAATAAAATATTGGAACATTTTTGGCTCATGGTTTAGGTGATGTGGTTTTTCTGCCCATTTAATAACCACAGAGAGCATGGTAGCATATACCTAGGCGCAACTAACGGCCATGATAG
The DNA here is from genome assembly GCF_000001405.40 of Homo sapiens. NCBI lineage: Eukaryota > Metazoa > Chordata > Mammalia > Primates > Hominidae > Homo > Homo sapiens. The sequence goes on from NC_000024.10 coordinate 22,982,966, forward strand.
TGACTGTCATATGTGAACCCAGCCAATAGGAGAAATTTTGACTTTTATAACTAGGTTTAGGAACATAAGTGATGTCAATGATCTCTTCCCGGTAAAAATGTCACAGAAGACTATAACACTCACACATGTTTTGTTACACCCTTGTGTTGTATAAAGAATGCCATAACAGGGCCTAGCACACCGAGAAAATTGTCAGTCTCATATGCAAACCCAGCTGACAGCAAGAACTTTCACCATCATAGACGGATGAAGGCAACTCTTCTACATGAAAATAGGGCATGTGTGGTATTGTAAATCTAATTTCTAGAATTTTATTCCATCATGACTCTGATACAAATCTTTGTCATGCACCATTGTGATTTCATTCTTAAGACTGGTTGAAGCCTACATATAAAATTTTGAGATCTCCCAGGGCCAACCTTGAAGTGGTTTGACTCTTCTCCCTGGGCCCTGCTCTCAGTAAGAATTTTGACATCACTGGATGCAGTAACCAGGTAATGTTATATTCTTGACTGCACCATGACACAGACATCATTGTGACATATTACTGTGTCCGTCACTTAAAAGATGTAACTCTCCTCTCTGGAATGGGCACTGCACATAGGATAGGATAGTCACATATTCATAGGCCAGGCACACAGGTGATGATACTTTTTTTTTTTGCCAGGGCCATGCCCAAAAGAAGGCATTTTGACATATCAAAGGGCCTATCATGCAGGTAATATGACTCTTCTGCTTGGGATCTGCCCACCTGCATAGTGACACATTGCTAGGCCAGACACAAAGGTGATGGTACTGTTCAGCCAGGGACAGGCTTTAAGAAAAGTTTTATGGCTGGGCATGGTGGCTCACACCTGTAATCCCAGCACTTTGGGAGGCCGAGGCGGGTGGATCACGAGGTGAGGAGATCGAGACCATCCTGGCTAACACGGTGAAACCCCATTTCTACTAAAAATACAAAAAAATAAGGCAGGTGCCATGGCAGGTGCCTGAAGTCCCAGCTACTTGGGAGGCTGAGGTGGGAGAATGGCGTGAACCCAGGAGTCGGAGCTTGCAGTGAGCCGAGATCGTGCCACTGCACTCCAGTCTGGGCAACAGAGCGAGGCTCCATCTCAAAAAAAAAAGAAAAAAGGAAGAAAGAAAAGAAAAGCTTTGTGACATATCTCTATGCCTATCACCTAGGTGATGTGACTTCCTGCTTGACCCTGCCCACATGGAGCATTGTGACATATGTGTGGAACCTGCACTTAGGTGATGTAACTCTCTTGACTGGGTCCTTTTCTAAGGGGGGCTTGTGAATATCTCAGGACCCAGGACCATGTGATATGGTATTCAGCCTTGTTTTTTCCCACATATTAAAGTGTGACATATACCTAAAGAAGCACCTAGGTGATATGATTCTCTTTTTCTGCCTGATCCCTGCCTACTGGTGACATTCGGCCATATCTCTGAGCACATAACCTATATGATGTGACTCTCTTATTCTGTCTGCGCTTTGACAATAAGAAGACTGTGAAATGTTAATGAGCCCAGCACTTAGGTAACGTAAGTCTTGTCTGGTTGCTGAACAACCCCCACAAACAAGACTTTTGCTGTATTTCAGGGCCCAACACCTGGATGATGTTACTCTTCTGCCTAGGTCATGCGTAAAGAGGGAATTAGGGCATATTGCTTGGCCCAGTCCCGTAATGATATGACTCTCCTGCTTGTGCCAGAGCCACAGAAGGTATTTTGATATATCTTGTTCCCTTTCTGTACGTGTTTTGGCTCTCATAACTTTGCTGGTATTCTTCCACGTGTTGTTGTAGCATATTGCTGGTTCCAGCCCCCAGTTAATGTGACCCTCTTTCCTAGGCCCTGCCTAGGTAGAGTATTGTGACATATTGCTTGGAACAGCACCTAAGTGATGTTAACCTTCTGCCTAGATTTTGCCCACAAATGGGGTTATGACAGATACCTTGATTCAGTTCAAAAACATGATGATCAAGCTTATATCGGGATTCAGCCAACAGGAGATATTTTGCCTTGCATTGCTAGGTTTACATCAATAAGTTAGTCCCTTCATTGCATATTTATACAGAGCTCAGAGAAACTTACAACACTGATTCATATCATAAAACCTTCCTGGGTGGTACAGAGATATTTATGACGGATCCCAACAAAAAATTGAGATTGTGAATCTCCACTACACATTCAAATGCAAGTAAAAGTTGTTATCTTCTCACATTTACAAATCTCATTGTTAAGGTCCTGAGTCTAACAAGTGAATACAGGACCAAGTTGGAGTTGTGATTTTCAAAAGCTAATCTTGTCACGGGTGGGATGGTGACTCATACATATCTGGTCCCAGGTCACAGGCTTAAAAACAGTCTCATCTCTGAAGCCAGCCTAGAGAAGAGATGTTGAGAGTCATACCTTGGTTTAGGGCAATATGTAAGATCATGAGTTCATATAAGCATGTGGGCCTCAGAGAGGTTTTCAACTCTCAGGCATGTTGTATAGTGTTCTCAGATATTGCAGAGAATGTCATACAAGGGTCAGCACACACATGAGATTGTGACTGTCATATAAACAACTAGCTAACCATTAATTGTGTCACCGTTAAAGGTGAAGAGATTGTGTCATATCACTTGGCGTCATACCCCAGTGTTGAGACATTTTTGTTTAAATTCCTTTCCAAAAGGGCATTGTCACATATCACTGGGTCAGAATAATGATAATGGCCTTGAAAACAGGGGATATTTTCACACACCCCCAAGCCTATTGGCCAGGTGATATGTCTCTCCTGCTAGTGCATTGCCCACAGGGGACATTGTGATATATCACTAGATACAGCATCTAGGTAATACTCCTGCCTGGAACCTGTCCACCAAATAAATTGTGACATACAACTGAGTGCAAAACCTAGGTGACATGACTCTCCTATTTGTCCTGGACTCTGCCAAGACAGGGAATTTCTACATATTGCTGAGCCCAGCACCCAGGTGTTGTGATTCTTTTTTTACTTTTATTTTTCATCAAATCTGTCTACATTGGGCATGGTGACATATTACCTGAGGGTCTACCCAGGTGATGTGGCTCTTCAGCCTGATTTCTGCTCACATGTTAGATTGTGACATACAACTAGGAAAGCACCTAGGTATATGACTCTCCTTTTCAGCCCATGCCCTGCCCTACTGGGAGAGTGGGATCTATCTCTGAGCCCAAGACCTAAGTGAAGTGACTCTCTTCTTCAGTCTGGTCTTTGCAGTGACGGCATTGTGACATATTGCTGAGCCCAGCACTCAGATTTATTGACAGCTATTTCTCTTGAACCATGCAAACAAACAGAAATGTTGACCTATTGCAGGGCTCAGCACACATATAATGTTACTCTTTTGCCTGGATTTTGCGTACACGGAGAATTATGGCATATACTAATATATAATAATAGCACACTAAAAATGTGACTGTCATGCTTTCCTGCAGCTACAGAAGGCATTTTGACATATACTGAGCTTATTCTGTAGATGTCTTGGCTCTGATTTTTTGCCTGTTCTTTTTCTACATATGGGATTGTGTCATATTGCTGTGTCCAGTACCCAGTTAATATGACTTAATTCCTATACGCTGCCTAGAGATGGCATTGTGGCATGATGCTTGGCACAGCACAGTGATGTTACACCCCTGCCTAGTTTTGGCCCACAAATAGGATTATGACATATACCTTACTTCAGTTCACAGGCATGATGGTCTAAATTACACTGGGAATCAGCCAAAGGAGATATTTTGCCTTTTATCACTAGAACAAGGGAAATAGGTGAGGTTGTGGGTTGCATATTTGTACCAAACTCAAAGACCTTTACAACACTAACTCATAATGTATAAATGTGTGGAGTACAGAGAGTTTCATGACAGGGAGTAGCAAAAATTCAGATTGGGACTCTCGATTACACAACCAAGTAAAAGCAAACGTTGTCACTATTCCATATGTCCAAACCTCACTGTTAAGGTCTTGAGTCTAACAAGTGAATACAGTACAACATCAGAATTGTGACCTTCATATGTGGATCTGGCCACGGGTGGGATGGTGACTCATTTCTGGATCCAGCTTACAGGCATAATAAACTGTCTCATCCCTGAACCCAAACTGCAGAAGAGATGTTGACTATTATACCTGAGTTTAGGGTAATATGTAAGATCATGAATCCATACAAACATGTAGGCCTCAGAGTGGTTTGCAACTCTCACGCATGCTGTATAAAGCCTTCAAATGTCACAGAGTGTCAATCAACAGCCCAGGAAACACATGAAATTGTTATATTCATGTAGACAGTCAGTTCACAGTTAATGGTGTCACCCTCAAAGGCAACAAAATTTGGTATATTACTAGGCCATGTACCCACCTGTTGAGACATTTTGGCATAAATTCTTTCCCACAGGTGCACTGTGACGTATCACTGGGTTCATATCATTGTAATGTGACTCTTCTGTCTGGACCCTGCCAACAGGGGATATTATCACATATCTCTGGACCTATAAGTAGGGGAATTTTTCTCTCCTGCATGTTCCCTGCCCCCAGAAGGCATTGGAAAATATTAACTTAACATCTGGGTCACGTGATTCTACTCTCCTGCCTGGGTGTGGCTCACCAAAGAAGTTGTGACATAGCACTGATTGCAAAATCTATGTGATGTGGCTTTCCTTCATATTCTAGACTCTTCCAAGCCAGCAGATTATTACAGTTTGCAAAGCCCAGCACTGAGGTAGAGTAGAGTGACACTCCTCTTTTTCTTTTTTTCCTGGCAATAGTGTGCTTGGTGACATAATCTTTGAGGCTGTCACATCACCAAGATTATATTGTATCACTGGACCAGCATAAAGCTGACACTTCTGACTATGCCCAGCCTTCAAATAATACTACACTGTATAATTGGCTCAACACCCAGGTAATGTGACTTTCCTTTCTTGTCCCTGCTCACAGGCCAAGTTTTGACATATATCTGGGTTAAGCACACATGCAGAATAATAACTCTCATACCTGGACCCAGCCAGTAGAGATAATTGACTCTCATAGGCAGTCTCACGACAATGGGTTATGTCCTGAGTTTTTCAACTGTATAAAGTTCACAAAGGATTATAACACTCGGGTATATCATATACAGCCTTAATTGTACAATGAGTGTCATAAGAGAGGCCAGAAATGAAGTGAGAATGGGACTTTTAAATGCACACCCAGCTGACATGATTGTCATTCTCACACATGAACAGGGCGTAGGAATGAGATACTAATCTCACACATAAAAAAACAGTCAAATGTTTAAATAATTACTCTTACACATAGATCTGATTCACAGGTGGTTTGGTAAAGTTTGAACCATGATTCAGCACACCTGTGGTGTTGTGTCTTCCCTACTGGAACACAGTCTTCAAGGGGGATTGGGGCTCCTATACATGAATCTTGACCATTGTTGAGATTGTGACTCCTCTACTAAGATCTACCTCATAGAAAGAGTTGGCTCAGGTACAGGAAACTAGGTGTTGTGTGGCATGTGAAACTTATTTCCAAGCATATCTGAGAGTGTGATTTGGACAGGTAACCATGTCCAGCACATGAATAATCTGACTCTCTTTTCTAGGCCCAGAACTCGGATGAAATAGTGCCCTATGTTGAACAAGCACCTAAGAAATATGTAATACCTTCTTTGGCCTTGTCTGCAAAGGGCACTTTCATATATCACTGGGACCATCACCCAGGTGATGTGAATTATCTGCCTAAAACCTGCCTACAAGAGGAATTGTGTTTTATATCTACATCCACCATGAATTGAAGTGACTCCCTTCTACTGCCTTGGCCCTGCCCTTACAGTGCATTTTGACACATAAGCAGAAACTGTGTCCAGGAGATCATTGTCCTTTTTGCGTTCTGCCAACTGGAACATGGTAACATATCACTTAGCTCAGAATGTAGGTGATGTTTCCTCGCATTGTCCTCGCCCTGACCACAGGGAGATTGTGACATATTTCTGGGTCCAGCACCCTTGTGAGGTCACTCTCCAGCCTTGGTAATGCACATAAGAAGCATTGTGACAAATAGCTAGGCCAATTGCCCAAGTGAAGTGAGTGTCCTCTCTAGCAAAAATCCTGCCCAGAGAAGAGGTTTTGATATTTCACTGACACCAGCATCCAGGTGATTTGACTCTTCTGCCAGGGTCCTGTCCACAAGGTAGACTGTGACTTCTCACTGAATCCACACCCATGTAGCTGATGAGATTTTCTTCTCTTCTCTCTGGCCACTGCCGATATTGTGCCTTATACAAGAGACCATAAATAAAAGCCTAATAACAACACATATATCTGGAGCCAGGACATGTGCAGCATGGTGACTCTTAGTCTTAAAGCGATACACAAGTGTAACTGTGACATATACCTTTACCCAGCTCCTTAGTGATTTAATAATTCTGCATAGGTATAGCATCAAAATGAGATTTTGACAAATCCTTGGTATAAGCATCTTCATGATTTGACTGTGTTATCTTAATAATATCCACAGGCGTGACTGTAACGTATTTCTGGCCCATCACATAGGTTACATGACTGTTCTCTCCCACCTGTACATGATTTTCTTTGGTAACTGTATCATTTCTAAACACTGTATCCAAATGATATGACTCTCTTGCCTGGGCCCTGTCAAGAGGAGGCATAGTGACATATTTTGGGTTCCATCATTTACCTGATATGGCAGCTCTCCTCTCCTGCTTGGACACTGCCAATAAGGGACACTGTGCCACCAAGCTGGATCTAGCACACAATTTATGTGGCATTTCTACAGGATCCTGCCTACAAAGAGAATATTGGAATATTTCTGGCCAAGAATTTAGGTGATGTGATTGTTCTGCCTGCTTCATAACCACAGAGAGTAATATTTGTACACAGAGAGTTGCATATTTGTACAAAGTCCAAAGATTACAACACTAACTTATATTGTATAAACTCATTGGTGGTAAAAACTTTCATAACAGGGCCCAGTAGAAAGTTCAGATTTGGAGTACTGATTATACACCCCAGTAAAATTAAAAGTTGTCACCATCCTACATATACAATGCCCACTGTGGAATACGGCACAAAGTTGCAATTGTGAATTTATATGTGGATCTGTCTGGAGGTGGGATAATAATGGGTCTTCTCCTTTAACCCTACATATAAAAGAGATGCTGACTATCAAATCTGAATTGAGGGCAATGTGTAAAATTGTGAACCCATATGAGCATGCAGGTCGCTGAGAGGTTTACAACTCTCATGCAGGTTTTATAAAGCCCTCGGATGTAAAGAGTGTCATACATTGGCCCAGCATACATGTGAGATTGTGATTCTAATATTCAACCTTAGCTGAAAGTTAAAGGTGTCACCCTAAAAGATGAGGAGAGTGTGTCTTATCACTAGGCCTGGTAACCAAGTGTTGAGAATTAGGGCTTAAATTTTGCCCATAGGTGCATTGTGAATTATCACTGGGTCAGAATCCTAATAATGTGAAACTTCTTCTTGGACCCAGCCAACAGGGGATATTATCACGTATCTCTGGGCCTATCAGCTAGGTGATGTGGTGTCTCTCATGCCAGTGCCCTGCCACAGTGGACACTGGGACATATCACTATAGTATCTAGGTAATGTGACTCTCCACTCCTGCCTGGATTCTGGCCACTGAAGAAATTTTGACATACCACTGAGTGCAAAACCTAGGTGATGTGACTCTCTTCTTTGTCTTGGACTCTGCCAGTGAGCTTTGTCTTGAACTCTGCTAATGAGGAAATAATAAAATATTGCTGAGCCCATCACCTAGGGGCGTGACAATCCTCTATTTTTCAATCCAGGGTTTAGTGGTCATGATAATATTATCTGAGACTGTATCCAGGTGATATGACTGTTCTGACTGGGTCCTGACTAAAAAGGAAATTATAACGTATCCCTTGCTCAGCAACCAGATAATGTAACTCTTCTCTCTTGTCTCTGTCCAAAGGTGAAATTGTGATGTATACCTGGATTCAGCTCATATAATAACTGGATTCAGCACAATAATAACTCTCATACCTAGACCTAGCCAGTGGGAGATATTTGACTTTCACAGGCAGTCTTAAGGCCATGGGTAAAGTCCTAGATCTCCCACCTGTAATAATTTACGGGAAATTATACTACTCAGGCATATCATATAAAGCCTGAATGTTACAAAGAGTTTCATAACAGGTACCTGCAACCAGGTTCCATTGTGACTCTTGGATGCATAGACAACTGACATGATTTTCATCTTCACACATGTACAGAGCCTACAAATGAGGTAGTAAATCTCACACACATAAGCAGTTGAAGCTTGAAATTGTTACTCTCATACACGAATCTGATCCATAGGTGATTTGGTGATGTTTGAACTATGATTTAGTCAAACTGTGGTACTTTGACTTTCCTACTGGAACACAATCTTCAAGTGGGATTGAGACTCTTCTATGTGGATCTTTCCTATTTTTGAGATTGTGACACCTGTACTTCAACCCAACTTATAGGAGGTGTTGACTCTCATACCCAAATCCAGGACTTGTGTGGGACTGTGAAACTTATTTCTGAACATTTTTGAGTGTGTAACTGAGAAGTATAACTTTGCACAGAATCTGAGTGTTTTGACTCTCCTTTCTAGGCCCAGAGCACAGTTGAAATTGTGACTTACATGCACCAAGCACCTAAGCAATAAGTAACATCTTTTTTGGTAATGAAACATAGGGCACTTTTACATATCACTGAGATCAGCACTTGGCTGATGTAAAATCTTGGCCTGAGGCCTGCCTACAGAGAGCACTGTGGTTTTTATATAAGTTGATTACTTAAGTGACATGACTTCCTTCTACTGTCTTGGCCCTGCACTTCTGGTGGTGGATTGTGACACGTAACTAGGTACTGCACCCAGGTGATGTGACTTTTTTGGAGAATGAAGTTTCTGCCAGTAGGAAGCTTTGTAACGTATTACTTGGCTCAGCGACTAGGTGATATTTCTTTTCTCTTGCCTGTGCCCTGACCGCCAGAGAGATTGTGACATGTTGCTGAACCTAGCACCAAAGCGAGGGTTACTCCCCTGCCTTGATCCTACACATAGGGGCCATTGTGACGTATATTCAGGCCAATTGCCTAAGTGAAGTTTGTCTTCTCTCCTGCCTAAGTTCTGCTCACAGGGGGGATCTTATATGTCACTGAAACCAGCATCCGGATGATGTGACTCTTCTATCAGAGTCCTAGCCACAAGGACAATTGAGACATTTCACTGGACCAGCATCCACTAAGGTGATGGAACTTTCCTTTTTCTCTCTGCCCACAGGTGATATTGTTCCATTTACCTGAGACCAGATAAAAAGCCTAATGATGACGCTTGTCCCCAGAGCCAGGACACGTGCAGGACAGGATCATTACTCTCATCCCTGCCCCAGATTTTCACAGGTACTATTGTGACATACACCTTTACCCAGCTCCTGAGTGATTTAATAATCCTGCCTTGTTATAGCCCGCAGATGACATTTGGACCTACACCTTTCCCAGGAACCTTTGTGATTTTACTCTTGTGTCCTAACAGGTTCTCGGAAGTGATCATAACATATCTCTGGAGCCATTGTCTAGGTTACATGACTCTCCTCTTCTGCATGAACCCTGCTTCCAGTGAAGAGTAGCATTTCTAAGCACTGCACCCAAATGACATGAGTCTCTTGTCTGGGCTTTTTAAAGGGGGGGCTTTGTGATATCTCTCTGGGCCCTTCATTTAGGTGATATGACTCTCCTCTACTGCCTGGACACACTCCACAAAGGGCATTATGCCATAGAGCTGAGTCTAGCACCTAAGTTTTGTCATATTTCTGTTAGGGCCCTCTCTACAAAATAAAGTTGGGGTATTTCTGGCTTAGGATTTAGGTGATGTCGTTTTCTGCCTGTTTAATTACCACAGATGAGATGGCGCCGTATCTGTAGACACATCTAAAATACATGATAAGGACTCTCATATGTGAACCCAGCCAATAGGAAACATTTTGACTCTTATAACTAGGCTTAGGGAGATAAGTGATATCCAGCATCTCCTTCTGGTAAAAAGGTCACAGAAGATTACAACATTCACACATATTTTATAACATCCTTGTGTCGTATAGAGAGAGTCATAACAGGGCCTAGCACATGGAGAAAATTGGGATTCTCATATGTACATTCAGCTGACAGTAACGGCTTTCACCATTACAGATGATGAAGGCAATTGTCCCACATAAAAATAGAACACGCCTGATATTGTAAATCTAATCCCTAGAATTTTATTCCATCATGACTGATATAAATCTTTGCCAAGTGCCTGTGTGAGTTCACCCTTCAGATTGGTTCCAGCCTACCTATGGGATTTTGGTATCTACCTAAGCCAACCTTGAAGTGACGTGACTCTTTTGCCTGGGCCCTCCACTCAGAATTATAACATCATTGGATCCAGCACACAGGTGACGTTACATTCTTGCTTGCGCCATGCTCGCAGATATCATTGTGACATATTGCAGTGTCCATCAGTTAGAAGATGTCACTCTCCTCTCTGGAAAGGGCCTTGAACACTGGGCAAAATAGTGACCTGTTTCTAGGCCAGGCACACAGGTGATGATGCTCTTTTCCCAGGGCTATGCCCAAAAAAGGGCATTTGACATATCACAGGACCTATCGTGTAGGTGATACGGCTCTTCTGCTTGAAACTTGCCCAATTGAATAGTGACATACTGCTAGGCCAGGCACAATGGTGATGGAACTCTTTTGCCAGGGCCATGCTTTCAAAAATGCCTTGTCATATATACCTGGTCCTATCACCAAGGTGATGTGACTTCCTGCTTGGTCCTGCCCACATGAAGTATTGAGACATAAGCGTGGAATCTGCACCTAGGTGACATAACTCTCTTGCCTGGGTCCTTTTCTAAGAGGGACTTGTGAATACCTCAGTACCCAGGACCACATGATGTGGCTCTTCAACCTGGTTTTCACCCACATATTAAATTGTGACATATAGCTAAAGAAGCATCTAGGTAATATGACTCTTCTTCTGTCTGAACCCAGCCTACTGGTGATATTGGGCCATATTTCTAAGCCTGTGACCTAAGTGATGTGACTCTATTTTTGTCTAGGGCTTTACAATGGTAAGATTATGAGATATTGATGAGCTCAGCATTTAGGTAATGTGACTCTCATCTTGTAACTGAACAACGCCCAGGAACAGATCTTTTGCCGTATTTCAGGGCCCAGTACCCAGATGAAGCTGCTCTTCTGCCTAGGTTGTGCATAAAGAGAAAATTGTGGCATATTTCTTGGCCTAGAACCCTAATGATGTGACTCTCCTGCTTGTGCCAGGACCGCAGAAGGTATTTCGACATATCTTTGGCCCATTTTCTAGGTGTTTTCACTCTTACCACTTTGCTGAATTTCTTCCACGTGTGGTTGTATTATATTGCTGACTCCAGCCTGCAGTTAATGTGGCCCTCTTTCCTAGGTGCTGCTTACAGAGGGCATCATGACATATTGCTTGACAAAGAACCTAAGTGATGTTAATATTCTGCATAGGTTGCTAAAAAATGGGAATGTGAGAAATACCTTGCTTCAGTCCAAAGGTATGATGATCAAGCTTATGTTGGGATTCAGCCAATAGGAGAGATTTTTCCTCTCACCACCAGGTTTAGGTCAAAGAGTCAGGTTACTCATTGCACATTTCTACAAAGCTCACAGTAGTTTACAACACTAACTCATGTAATAAAAATTTCCTGGGTGATACAAAGGGTTTCTTAACAGTGCCCAGCAAACAGTTAAGATTATGATTCTTGACTGCACACTCAGATGAAAGTAAGTTTTTACCATCCTACATCTACAAAGCCCATTGTTGAGATCCTGAGTCTAAGCAAATACACCACAAAGATGGAGTTGTGACTTTCATAAATGAATATGGCCGCAGGTGGGATGGTGACTCATTTTTGGAGCCAACTCTCAGTCATAATAATGATCTCATCCCTAACACCAGTCTATAGGAGAGATGCTGACTGTCATACCTGGGTTTAGGGCAATATGCATAATCATAATTCTGTAAATGCCTGTAGGCCTCAGAGAGGATTGCAACTCTCATGCATGTTGCATAACGTTCTCAGGTATTATAGAGAGTGTCATACAATGGCAAGCACACACATGAGATTGTGACTCTCTTATACACAGATAGCTAACATTTAATGGTGTCACCCTTAAAGATGAGGAGATTTTGTCATATATCTTGCCCTACTAGCTGGTGTTGAGAACTTTTAGTTTAAATTTCATTCCATTAGGGCATTGTTACATATCACTGGGTCAGAATCAAAATAATGTGACTCTTCTTCCAGGGCCCTGCAAACAGAGGATATTTTCCCATATCTCCAGGCCTATTGGCTATGTAATATGTCTCTCCTGCCAGTACTTTGCCCAGAGGAGACACTGACATATTGCTGGATTTAGAATCTAGGAAATTTGACCCATCTTTACTGCCTGGATCCTCCTCACTGAAAAAATTGTCATATACCATTGAGTGCAGAGCCTAGGTGACAGAAGTCCCCTTTTTTTCCTGGACTCTGTCAAGAGAGGGAATTGTTACATATTGGTGAGCAGAGCACCCACGTGGTGTCATTATCTAATTTTATAAGAAACCTATCTATGCTGGGGATGGTGACATATTACTTGCAGTTGTACCCAGGTGATGTGGCTCTTCTGCCTGGTTTCTGCCCGTGGGTAAGGTTTTTGGCATATAACTAGGGAAACATTTAGGTGATATGAGTCTCCCTTTCTGCCTGGGCCCTGTTCACTGGGTACACTGGACTATATCTCTGAGCCCATGAACTAAGGGAAGTGACTCTCTTTTTCTGCTGGGTCTTTACAATGGAGAGATTGTGAAATATTGCTCAACCTAGCAATCAGGTTATTTGATTCACCTTTTTTTTTTTTAATCTCAAATCATGCCCACTAACAGAAATTTTGGCCTATTGCAGGGCCCAGCACCCAGATAATGTTACGCCTTTACGTGGGTCCTGTATGTAGAGAATATTATAACATACTGCTGGGCCCAGCATCCTGAAAATATAAAACTCATGACTTTGCTGGAGGCAGAGAAGGTATTTTCACAGATCCTGGGCCCATTATGTAGGTGTTTTGGCTCTTATCTTTTTGCTGTTTTTTTTTTTTTTTTTTTCACTTTTGTTTTTGTTTGTTTCCACATAATGGATTGTTTCATATTGCTGAGTCCAGAACTCAGTTAACATGACTCTAATTCCTCTATGTTACCTAGAGAGGGCACTGTGGCATGTTGCTTGGCACAACACCTAAGTGATGTTACCCTCGGGCCTACTTTTTTTGCTCACAAATGGGACTATGACTTCAGTTCACAGGCATGATGGTCAAATTTATACTGAGATTCAGCCAATAGGAGATATTTTACCTTTCATTGCTAGGCTTTGGGCAATACATAAAGTCTGGGTTGCATATTTGTACCAAGCTCACAGAGCTTTACAACACTAACTCATAATGTATGAACTTCTTTGTTGGTATAGAGAGTTTGGTGATAGGGACCAGTGAAGAGTTCAGTTTGAGATTCTTGATTACACACCCAGGTAAAAGCAAGTGCTGTCATCATTCTACATGTCCAAAGGCCATTGTTAAGAACCTGAGTTTTACAAATGAATGCAGTGCAAAGTTGGAATTGTGACTTTCGTATGTGGATCTGGCACAGGTGGGATTGTGACTTATTTCTAGATCCAGCTCACAGGCATAAAAATGAGTCTCATTTCTAACCCAGCCTATAGAGGAGATGCTGACTATTATACCTGGGTTTAGGGGAATATGTAAGGTCATGAATCCATGTGAATATGTAGGCCTTAGAGTGGTTTGAAACTCTCATGCGTGATGTATAAAGCTTTTGAAAATTGTTGAGAGTCATGCAACGGCCCAGGATACTAGTGAAATTGTTACTCTCATATACACACCCAGCTCAGAGTTTATAATGTCACTCTCAAAGACAAGGGGATTTGGCCTATTAATAGGCATAGTGCTTAGGTGTTGAGACTATTTGGCTTAAATTCCTTTCCTTGGGTGGATTGTAACATATCACTGTGTTAGAATCATAATGTGTCTCTTCTGTCTGGACCCTGCCAAAAGGGGATATTATCACATATCTATGGGTCTATAAGCTAGAGGATTTGTCTCTTCTGACAGTGTCCTGCACCCAGAAGACATTGTGAAATATTGTTTGGCTTAACATCTAGGTAATGTGACTCTCACCTCCTGCCTGAGCCTTGCTCAGCAAACAAATTGTGACATACCGCTGATTGAAAAACCTACATGATGTGACTCTCCTTCATATTCTAGACTCTACCAAGAGAGAGGGTTGTTACATATTGCGGAGTCCAGCACATAGGTGGACTGACTGTCCTCTCTTTTTTCTTCCCTGTCCATAGTGGGCTTGCTGACATATTATGTGAAACTGTACCCGGGTGAAGTGACTCTTCTGACTAGGCCCAGCATACAAATGAGATTATGCTGTATCACTGGCTCAGTGTCGAGGTGAGTTGACTCCCTTTCCTTGTCTCTGCTTACAGGTGAAATTTTGACACGTACCTGGGTTAAGCACGCATGGACAAAAATAACTCTCATACCTGGGCCCAGCCTGTAGGAATATTTTGACTCTCATAGCCAGTCTCACGGCCATGGGTAAAGCCCTGTGTTTTTCACTTGTATAAAAGTCACGAAGGATTATAATACTCAGGTATATCATATAAAGCATTAATGGTGCAAAGAGTGTCATAACAGAGACCAGCAACCAGGTAAGAATATGACTCTTGTATGCACACTTCACTGAAATGATTGTCATTCTCGCATATTAACAGGGTCTAGGAATGAGGGACTAAATCTCACACATAAAAAGCAGTCGATGTTTGAAATAATTACTCACCTACATGGACCTGATCCACAGGTGGTTTGTTAACATTTGAACCAGGATTCAGCACACCTGTGGTGCCGTGACTCCCCTCCTGGACCACAATGTTCAAGGGGGATTGCGGCTCTTATACATGAATCTTGCCCATTGTTGAGATTTTGACTCCTCCATTTTGATCCAACTTACAGAAAGAATTGACTCACATACACAAAACCAGGACTTGTGTGGGATGTGAAACTTATTTCCGAACATATATGAGAGTGTCATATTGGGATAGGTCACTTTGTCCAGCAAATGAATAATTTGACTCATTTTCTAGGCCCAGATCACAGAAGTAATTGTGCCATATGTGGAACAAGCAGCTAAGCAATAGATAACATCCATCGTGGCTCTGCCTTCAAAGGGAAATTTTACATATGTCACTGGGACCATCACCCAGATGATGTGAGTTATCTGCCTGAAACCTTTCTACAAAAGGAATTTTGTTATATATCTAGGTCCATCCTGTAAGTGATGTGACTCTCTTCTACTTCCTTGGCCATGCACTTACAGGGCATTGTGACAAAGAACTGGGTACTGCATTCAAGTGATGTGATTCTTCTTTTTGGGTTCTGCCAACAGGAAGCATTGAACATATCACTTGGCTCAGTACCTAGGTGATGTTTCTTCACTTTCGCCTTGGCCCAGACCACAGGCAGATTGTGACATATTTCCTGGGACAAACACCTATGTGAGGCCACTCTACAGTTTGGTTACTGCACGGAATAGACATTGTGGCAAACATCTAGGCCAACTGCCTTTGTGAAGTGAGTCTCCTCTCTTGCCAAAGCCCTGCCCAGAAGAGAGGCTTTTGATATGTCACTGAAATCCAGGTGCTGTGGCTCTTCCACCAGGTTCCTACCCACAAGGTGAATAGTGATGTCTTAGTGGCCCAGACCCACATAGGTGATGGGACTTTCTTGTGTTCTCTCTGGCCACAGGTGATATTCTGCCATGTGCCAGAGACCAAAACAAAAGCCTAGTAACAACTCATATGACTAGAGCATACGACTTGTGCAGGATGGTGACTCTTAGACTTAAGCCTTTCCACAAGTCTGATTGTGACATATACCTTTGCTCAACTCCTGAGTGATTTAATAATTCTGCCTAGGTATAGCAAATGAGATTTTGACAGATACATTGGTCAAGCACCTTGGTGATCTGGCTGATGTATCTTGAAATGTCCTCAGGGGCTCTTGTAACATATTTCTGTGCCCTTCATCTAGGTTACGTGACTCTTCTCTCCTGCCTGTACCCTGCTTCTTTGGTGGATTGTAGTATTTATAATCCCTGCATCCAAATGATATGACACTCTTGCCTGGGACCTGTCAACAGGAAGAATTGTGACAAAATTTTGGGCCCATCATTTAGGTGATATTACTCTCCTCTCCTGCCTAGACACTGTCCACAAGGGATATTGAGCCATAGAGCTGGACATAGCACATAAGTTATGTGATATTTCTGAGAGGGCTCTGACTACAAAAAGAATATTGGAATATTTCTGACCCAGCATTTATGTGATATGGCTGTCAGGCCTCCTTCTTAACCACAGAGTGAATTGTAACATATACCTATGCATGGCTCACAGCCATGATAATGACTCTCATGTGTGGACTCAGCCAATAGAGGATATTTTGCATCTTATAACTCAGTTTAGGGACATGCATGATGTCCTGGATCTCCTTCTTGTACAAAGGTCACAAAATATTACAACACTCATACATATTTTACAAAGTCTTTGGGTCATACACACAAAGTCAAAGCAGGGCTCAGCACACAGATGAAATCATGAGTCTTGTTTGCACACCCAGCTGAAAGTAAGAACTCATTATCTCACATGGATAAAGGTAACTGTCACACATGAAACAGGGCATGTGTGGTAAGATGGTAAATCTCATCTTTGGAATTTTCTGACAGTGTGAGTATGATATAAATTTTTGCTAAGCACTTGTGTAATCTGAGGCTCCGGACTTGTTCCAGCTCATAGGTGGGGTTATGAAATCTACCTAGGCCAACCTCGAGGTGACATGACTTTCCTGCCTTGTCCTATCTCTCAGTAATGATTGTGACATATCACTGGACCTAGCTCCCAGGTAACGTTACATCCTTACTTGCACCCTGCCCACCAAAATTATTGTGACATATTTCTGTGTTTACCTCATAGTTGATGTGAGTCTCCTCTCTGGAATGGGCACTGCACAACAGAATGATAGTGACATAGCGCAAGGACCGGCGCACAGGCAAGGTTCCTCCTTATCCTGTGGATGCCTGGAGGAGGGCAATGTGACATATCTCTGGGTCTATCACCTACATTATGTGGCTCTCCTGCTAGGGTCCTTCCAACCTCGAAAGTGACACGCTTCTAGGCCAGGCACACAGGTGATGGTACCCTTTTCCAGGGCTATGCTTCACACAGTACATTGTGACATATCTCTGGGCCTATCACCTAAATGAAGTGACTCTCTCCCTGGGTCCTAACCAGATGAAGCATTGTGTCATAAGCAGAGACCCTTCACCTAGTATGATGTATTTCTCTTAGCTAGGTGCTGTGTTAAGAGCACTTTGTGACATATCACAGGACCCAGCACCCAAGTGATGTGGCTCTTCTGCATAGTTTCTGCCCCCATGTTAAATTGTGACATATTTTGATGGAAGCACATAGGTGATATGGCTGTCCTCATCTGCCTGAGCTCTGCCTCGTTGGAGTATTAGGACATATCTCTGAGCCCATGACCTAAGTGATGTGACTCTCTTTTCCTTCCTGGGCCTTCATAAAAGGAGGATTTTGTCACATTGCTGAGCCCAGGACTCAGGATATGTGACTCTCGGCTGTCCTCACCTGCCTGAGCTCTGCCTAGTTGGAGTATTAGGACATGTCTCTGAGCCCATGACCTAAGTGATGTGACTCTTTTTCTTCCTGGGCCTTCATAAAAGGAGGATTTTGTCACATTGCTGAGCCCAGGACTCAGGATATGTGACTCTCGGCTGTCCTCACCTGCCTGAGCTCTGCCTAGTTGGAATATTAGGACATGTCTCTGAGCCCATGACCTAAGTGATGTGACTCTGTTTTTCTTCCTGGGCCTTCATAAAAGGAGGATTTTGTTACATTGCTGAGCCCAGGACTCAGGATCTGTTTCTCTTCTCTTTCTCCTGAACCATGCCTACAAAAAAGAAATTTGACACATATTATTGCCCAGCATGCAGATCATGTTACTCTTCTGCATGGGATCTGCATAAAGAGATAATTATGGCATATTGTATATTGCTGGGCCCAGCACCCTTAAGATGTGATGCTCCTGCCTGTGCTGCTGATACCGAAAGTATTTTGACATATATTATGCCCATTATGTAGGTGTTTTGGCTCTCATAACTGGGCTGGGTTTCTTACACATGTGAAATTGTGTCGTATTTCTGGGTCCAGCACCCAGTTAACGTGACCCAATTTCCTACACCCTGCATACAGAAGGCATTGTGACATATTGCTGGGCACAGCATCTGAGTGATGTTACCCTTCTGCGTAGTGTTTTGCCCACATATGTCATTATAACATATACCCAGTTTAAGCTCACAGCCATGATGATCAAACTTATACTGGGATTCAGCCAATAGAAAATATTTGCCTTTCATTGTTAGGCTTGGGGCAATAGATAAGGTCCTGGGCTGCATATTTGTACCAAGCTCACAGAAACTTACACAACTAACTTACATTTTATAAACTCCTTTGTGGTAGAAATTTTTATAGCAGGGGCCAGCAAAAAGTTCAAATTGGGACTCTCGATTACACACCCAGGTGGAATTAAAAGTTGCCACCATCCCACATTTACAAAGCCCACAGTTGAGTCTTATACCTAAACCTTTCCGCAAGTGTAATTGTGACATATATTGTATTTCAGTTCCTGAGTGATTTAATAATTCTGCCTAGATATAGCCTACAAAAGCGATTTTGACAAATATCTTCATCAAGCACCTTGGTGATTTGACTGTGCTATCTAAAAAGTGTCCTCAGGCAAAATAGTCACATGTTTCTGGACCCATTATTTAGGGTATATGACTCTCCTCTTTGACCTGTACCCTGCTTCCTATAGTAATTGTACCTTTTCTAAACACTGCATTCAAATGACATGGCTCTCTTTTTTTGGAGAAACTCTCCTGTTGAGAGGCATTTTGACACATGCTTGAGCCCAGCTTTTAGGTCCTGTGACTCTCCTCTCCTGCCTAGACACAGCCCAAAATGAACATTGTGCAACAGAGTTGGATTTAGCACACAAGTTATGTGATATTTTGGACAAGACCCCTCCTGCAAAAAGAATACTGGAATATTTCTGGCCCAGCATTTAGGTGATGTGGCTGTTAGGCCTGATTCATAACAACAGAACAAATTATAACAAATACCTAGGCAGGGCTTGCAGGAATAATAATGACTCTTATATGTGGACTCATCCAACAGAGAATATTTTTACTCTTATAATTCAGTTTAGGGACATGCGTGATGTCCTGAATCACTTTCTTGTACAAACATCACAAAAGATTACAACACACACATTTTACAGAGTCTTTGGTTTATACAGAAAGAGTCAAAGCAGGGTTCAACTCAGGTGAAATTGTGAGTCTTGTATGCACACCCGCCTGACAGTAAGGACTGTCATCATCTCTCATGGATGAAGTCAACTGTCACACATGAAAACAGGACATGTGTGGTATTGTAAATCACATCTTTGGAATTTTCTGACAGTGTGATTGTGATATAAATCTTTGCTAAGCACCAGTGTAATTTGACTCTCCAGACTTGTTCCAGCCCATATGTGGGATTGTGATATCTACCTAGGCCAACCTCAAGGAGATGTGACTCTCCTGCCTGGGCCCTTCTCTCAGTAAGGATTGTACATATCACTGGATCTAGCATCCAGGTGATGTTCACATTCTTGCCTGTGCCACGCCAACCAAAATTATTGTGAACATATTTGTGTGTGCACCTCATAGGGATGAAACTCTGATCTCTGGAATGGGCCTTGCACAAAGGAAGGATGGTGACATATTGTGAAGCCAGGCATACAGCTGTGGGTACTTTTTGCCACAGCCATGCCCAAAGTAGGGCATTGTGACATATCTCTGCACCTATTACCTAGGTTAAGCGGCTCTCCTGCTTGGGCCCTGACAACCTGGAGAATGACATATTTCTAGGCCAGGCACACAGGTGATGATACTCTTTTGCCAAGACTATGCTTCACAGGGGACTTTGTGACCTATCTCTTGGGCCAATAAACTAGTTTATGGGACTAAATGCTTTGGCCTCACACACATAGAGCATTGTGACATGAAAGTGAAACCTGAACCAAGGTGATGTAACTCTTTCACCTTGGTTCTGAACTAATCGGGATTTGCAACATACCTTAGGACCCAGTACCCAGGTTATATGGCTCTTCTGTCTGGTTCTGCCCATGTGTTAGATTGAGACATACACCTAAAGAAGCACCAATGAGACACCACTCTCCTCTTCTGCCTGAATTCTGCCTGACTTCTGCCTACTGGGGACATTGGGACATGTTTCTAAGCCCATGACCTAAGTGATATGACTCTCTTCCCTTGCCTCAGCCTTTAAAATGCTGAAATTGTGATGTATTTCTGAGACCAGGATTTAGGTTATGTGACTATTTCCTTTTTTCTGAACCATGCCCACAAAGGGAAAATTTCACCTATTGCACTCAGATGATGTTACTCTTCTGCTGCAGTCCTGAATAATGAGGGAGTGATTGCATAATGGTAGGCCCAACACTCTAATGATGCTTCAGTCCCACCAGTGCCAGAGCCACAGAGGGCATTTTGACATATCTTCAGCCAAATCTGTAAGTGTTTTGGCTTTCATCCCTTGGTTGAGTTTCTTTTTTTAACAAGTAAAATTGTGTCATATTGCTAGGTCCAGCATCCAGATAACATGACCCTGCTTTCTGTATTCTGCCTAGAGACAGCACTGTGACATGCTGCGTGCCACAGCACCTAAGTGACATTACTCTTTTTGGTAATTTTTTGCCCACAAATGGGATTATAAAATATACCTTGCTTCAGTTTACAGGTATGATGGTCAAACTTACATTGTGATTCAGCAAATAGAAGATATTTTGCCTCTCATCGCAAGGCTTAGGGCAATAGGTAAAATCCTGGGTTGCGTATTTGAGGAAAGCTCACAGAACAATAATTAATATTGTATAAACTCCTTGGGTGGTACAGCGTTTCCTAACAAAGCCCAGCAAAAAGTTAAGATTGTGATTCTGAATTACACACACAATTGAAAGTAAAACTTGTCACCACCCCTCATTAAGAAAGCCCATTGCTGAGATACTGAGTCTAACAAGTAAAACAGTACAAAGATGGAATTGTGACTCTCATTTGTGGATTTTGCCACAGGTGCAACCATCACTCATTTTTAGACCCAGCTCACAGGCATAAAAATAAGCCTCATTCCTGAACTAAGCATAAATGAGAGATACTGACTCTCATATCTGGGTTTAAGGCAATATATAATATTCAGAGTCAAAATGAGCATGTGGACCTCAGAGTAGTTTGTGAATCTCACGCATGTTGTATAAAACTCTCAGATGTTCTAGAGGATATCATACAATGGCCCAGCACACACGTGACAATGTGACTTACATACATATGAGTTAACAGTTAAAGGTGTCACCCTAAAAGATGAGGAGATATTGTCATATCATTGGGCCTAGTACCCAGGTGTAAAAACTGCTTTGTTTCCCATGTGTGCATTGTGACATATCGTTGGGTCAGAATCACAATAATGTGACTTTTTACTACTTGATCCTGCCAAGTAGGGATATTGTCACATATATCTGAGCCTATTTCTTGGGTGATTTGTCTATTTTGCTTCTGCTTTTTCACCAAAGAACATTGTGACATCATCGGTGATAACATCTAGGAAATGTGATTCTTCTCTCCTGCCTAGGTCCTGCCCACTAAAAGAATTGTGACATAACGCTGACTGCAAAAACTGGGTAATGCAACTCTCCTCTTTATTCTGGAGTCTGCCAAAACAAGGGATTATCACATATTGCGGAGTCCAGCACCCAGGTGATGTGAGTCTTCTCTGTTTCTCTAAGATTATAATGTATCCTGAGCTCACCATCCAGGTGATGAGACTCTCCTGCTCTGTTTCTGCCCGCAGGTAAAATTTTGTCATATACCCAGCTTCAGATACCATGCAATAATACAACTATCATACCTGGACCCAAAGAGGAGAGATATTTTGATTCTCATTGCCATTCTTATGGCCACAAGCAAAGTAATGGTTCTCATAGTGGTATAAAGTTCACACAGTATTATGACACTCCCAGCGTATCATAGAAAATGTGAGTAGTACAATGAGTGTTATAACAGGGAACAGCAAACCAATGCTATTGTGATTATTGGATTCACACCCAGCTGACGCGACTATCATTCTCTCACAAGAACAGAACCTGCAAATAAAGTACTAAATCTCACCAAAAGAGCAGTAAAAGATTGAAATTGTTCCTCTCATATGTGGATCTGACTCACAGGTGGTTTGGGGTTGCATGGTTCAGCACATCTGTGAGGCTGGGACTCTCCCCCTGGAATGCAGTTATCAAGTGGGATTGCCATCTTCTACATGGATTATGCCCATTGTTTAGATTGTGTCTCCTCTGTTTCGACCCAACTCACAGAAGGTGTTGACTTTCATACATAAAGCCAGGACTTGTGTGGGGCTGTGAAACTTACTTCAGAATATTTCCTGGTGTATGATTAGGACTTAAAAGTTAGCCCAGGTCCTGAGTAATTTGACTCTCCTTTTTAGGCCATAACCCGAGATGAAATTGTGACATATGTGGACCAAAAACCTAAGCAAAGGTGCCTGGGCCTGCCTACAAATGTCACTTTTACATATCACTGGGATGAGCAGCCAGGAGATGTGTATTATTTGCTTGATTCCTGCCTATATAAAGCATTGTGGCTTTTATCTAGGTCCATCATGTAAGTGACGTGACTCACTTCCACTGCCTTTGCCCTGTAATTATGGTGCATTGTGACACATAACTGGATAGTACACTCAGAAAATGTGACACTCCATTCTGGGTTCTACAAACAGAAAGCTTTGTAACATATCACTTGGCTTAGCACTTAGGTGATGTTTCTACTCTCCTACCTCACCCTGACCACAGGGGAGATTGTGACATATTGATAAACCCACCTCCAAGGTGAGGTCATTTTCATACTTTGGTTTTGCACCTAGTGGCCATTGTGACATATATCTAGGCCAATTGCCTAGATGTAGGTAAAGTGATTCTCCTCACCTTCTTAAGCCCTGCCCAACAGAAGAAATTTTGACATATCACTGAAACCAGCTTCCAGGTGATATGCCTCTTCTTCCAGGGTCCTGGCCACAAGAAAGATTGTGACATCTCACTGGACCAGCACCCTCACAAGTGATGTGACATTTCTGCTTGCTCTCTGTCCATAGACGATATCATGCCATATACTTGAGAGCAAACAAGAGGACTAATCATGACTGTTAGACCTGAAGCCAGGTCACATCAAAGATGGTGACTCCCATTGCTGAAACTTTCCACCAGTGTTATTGTGACATAGTCTATTTCCCATCTCTTGAGTGACTTAATCATCTTGCCTAAATGTTGCCCACAAATGAGATTTGGACATATTACTCAGCTGAGCACCTTGGCAATTTGACTCTCCTGTCTTAAGAATATCCTCAGGAAGGATTGTAACATGGCTTTGGACCCCTCGTCTAGTTGTCTTACTCTCCTCTGCTGTCTGAACCCTCCTTCCACTGGGGATTCCAGCATCTCTAATCATGCCATCCAAATGATATGACTCCATTTCCTGGTCCCTTCAACACGAGACATTGCGGCATATCTCTGGTCCTAGCATTTAGGTGATATGAGTCTCTTCTTCTGTCTGGAAACTGCCCACAGGAGCATTGTGCCATATATCTGGGTGTAACCCCCAGTTTATGCAACTTTACTGCCAGGAGTATGCCTACAAGGAGAATATTAGAACATTTCTGGCTCAGCATTTAGTGTACTTGGCTGTCGTGCCTATTTCATAAGCCACAATATAAATTGTTACATATACCTAGGTACAACTTAGAGACATGATAATGACCCTCATATGTGGACCCCGTAAATACGGTTAATTCTGAGTCTCATAACTTGCTTCAGAAACATGAGAGATTAAATCACTTTCTGGTAAAAAAGAAGACAAGGAAGGTTATAAGAGCCTCAGATGTTTTATAAACACCTTGGCCCATACAGAGAGTTTTATAACAGAACCCAAGAGAAAGGTGAAACTGTGAGTCTTATATGTGCACTCAGCTGACAGCAAGTACTGTCACCGTCTCACATATATGATGCCAACTGTCAATCATGAAAACAGGACATGTGTGGTATTATAAATCTCATCCTCAGAATTTTCTGCCAGTGTGAGTGATATAAATCTTCGCCAAGCACCTGTGTGATTTTGTTCTCCAGACTTGTTCCAGTCCACATATGTTATTGTGATACCTACCTGGGCCAAACTTTAGGTGATGTGATGCTCCTGCCTCGGCCCTGCTGTCATTAAGAATCATGACATATCACTAGATCCAGCACCCAGGTCATGTTACATTTTTGCCTAAGCCATGCATAGAGAAATCACTGGGCCATACCACTGTGTCAACAACTTAGGCAACACAACTCTCCTTATTAGAATGGGCACAGCACTCAGTGGGTGATAGTGACATGTGGCTGGGCCAGGCACAGAGGTGACAGGACTATTTTGCTAGTACCATGTCCTAAAGAGGGCATTGTGACAAATCTCTTGGCCTATCCTAGGTGATACTGCACTCCTGCTTGGGTACTGCTTACCTGGATAACAACATAATGCACAGAGGTGATGGTACTTTCTTGCTAGGGCCATGTCCTAAAGAGGTCACTGTGACAAATCTCTGGGCCTATCAGCTAGATGATGTTGCTCTCCTGCTTGGGTCCTGCTTACCTGGATAGTGGACATATTGCTAGGCTACGCACATGGGTGATGGTACTCTTTCACCAGGGCCATGACTCAAGGAGGACATTGTGACATATCTCTCGGCCAGTCCCCTAGGTGATGTGACTCCCTGCTTCTGTCTTGCCCACATGGAGCATTGTGATATTTTTTTGTACTTATTTTTTGTAACTCTCTTTTCTGTGTCCTGTCTTAAGGAAGTCTTGTGACATATCTTAGGACCCAGCATCAAGGTGATGTGACTCTTCTGCCTGGCTTCACCTCACATGTTAGATTGTGTCATATACCTAGGAAGCACCTAGGTGATATGACTCTTCTCTTCTGCATGAGTCCTGCCTACTTGGGACATTGGGCCATATATCTGAGCCTGTGTCTTAAGTGATGTGAATCTTTTTTTCTGCAAGAGCCTTTAGAATGGGGTGATGTGATATACTGCTAGGCCCAATACTTAGGTAAATTGACTCCTTTTTTCCTGAACTATGCCCATGAAAAGGAACTTTGATGTATCACTGATCCCAGCATGAAGATGACAGTTCTCTTGTTACTAGGTCCAGCATAAAGAGAGAATTATGGCATATTGCTGGGGCCCCCACCCTGATGATGTAACTCTTTTGCCTGTGCTAGAATAACAAAGTATTTTTACATACCATGGGCCTATTCTGTAGGTAATCTTGTTCTCATCATTAGTATGCATTTCTTTTTCCTACATATTCTACATTTGGGTTTATGTCTTATTGCTGAGTCCAGCACCCAGTTATCATAACCCCAATTTCTAGACCTGCATTGAGAGGGCCTTGTGATATATTGCTTGGCACAGCACCTAAGTATGCTACCTTTCTGAAAAGTTTTTTTTTTTTTCTACAAATGGTATGAAATTTACATTCCTTCAATTCAGACGCATTATGATCAAGCTGAAATTGAAATTTCACCAATAGTAGATGTTTTGCCTTTCATGGCTACACTTAGAACAATAGGTAAGGTTATGAGTTGCAAATTTGTACAAAGTTCACAGAAGGTTACAACAGTAACACATAATCTATAAACTCCTTGGTTGGTACACAGAGTTTTATAACAGGGCCCAGTAAAAGTTAAGGTTTTGACTCTTGATTACACATGCAGGTGAGAGAAAAAGTTGTCAAAATCCCACATTTACAAAGCCCACTGTTGAAGTCCTGAGTCTAACAAGTAAATAAAGTACAAAGATGGAATTGTGACTTTCATATATGGATCTTGCTACAGGTGAGATGGTAACTCACTTCTGGACCCACATCAGGGGCATAATAATGTGTCTTCTGTCTGAATCTAGCCTATAAGAGGAATGTTGCCTATCATAACTGAGTTTAAAGCAGTATGTAAGATTGTGAGTCAATAGGAGCATGTAGGCCTCAGAATGGATTGCAACTCTCATGCATGTTGCTTAAAGCCTTTGTATGTTGTAGATTGTGTCATAGGATCACCCAGAATACACATGAGATTGTGACTCCTATATACTCACCAAACAGTCAAAGTTGTCACCCTAATAGATGAAGAGATTGTGCCATATCACGAGGCCTAGTACCTCTAGGTGTTGAGAATTTTAGGCTTAAATTCTTTTCCATGGTTGCATTGTAAAACATCCCTTGCTTAGAATCATAATAGTTTAACCCTCTGCTTGGACCCTGACAACAGGGGATATGATCACATGTCTTTAGGCCTATCAGCTAAGTGGTGTGTCTCTCCTGCCAGTGCCCTGCCCACAAAGGACACTGTGACATATCACTAGATAAAGCATCTAGGTAATGTGAATCTCCTCTCCTGCTGAATCCTGCCCACTGAAGAAATTGTGACATACCACTGAGTGAAAAACCTAGGTGATGTGACTCTCCCCTTTGTCCTGGGCTCTGCCAAGAGAGTCCGAGAAGATGTGCTGAGCCCAGTCCTTAGAGAATTTGACTATCCACTTTTTTTAATCCCTGTATTCAGTAGGCATGATGACATATTATTTGAGAGTGTACCCAGGTGATATGATTCTTCTGACTGAGTCCTGCCTACAGTGCAGAATAAAATGTATCCCTGGATCAGAATCCAGATGATGAGACTCTTCTGTCTTGTCTCTGTCCAAAGGTGAATTTGGGACATATACCTGGATTCAGCTCACATGCACAATAATAACTCTATGGCCATGGGTAGAGTTCTATATTACCCACCTCTAAGAATACACAGAAAAGTATCCCACTCAGGCATATCGTATAAAGCCTGAGTGGTACAAAGAGTGTCATAACAGGCACCCAAAACCAGGTGGTATTGTGACTCTTGAATGCACACCAAGCTGACACAATTGTTATTCTCACACATGAACAGAGCCTACCAATGCAGTGCTAAATCTCACACACATAAGACTTGAAACTGTTACACTTGTACGTGAATCTGATCCACAGGTGTTTGATGGCATTGGAACCATGATTAAGTAGAACTGTGGTGCTGTGTCTCTCTTATTAGAACACAGTCTTCGGGTGGGATTGGGGCTCTTACACATGGATCTTCCCATTGCTGAGATTGTGACTCCTGTACTACAACCCAACTCGTAGAATGTGTTGATTCGCATACTCAAAGCTCGGACTTGAGTGAACTGAAAATTATTTCTGAACCTTCTTGAAAGTATGATTGGGTCATGCAACCCTTCCCAGCATATGAGTAATTTGATGCACATTTCTAGGCCCAGACCACAGATGAAATTTTGCCATATGCGGAACAAGCCCCTAATCAATATATAACATCATCCTTGTCTCTGCCTATAAGGGGCACTTTTATATATCACTGGGACCGTCACCCAGGTGATGTGATTTACCTGCCTGAAAACTGCCTAAAAAGAGAATTGTGTCTTACATTTAGGTCCATCACATAAGTGATGTCACTCTCTTCTACTGTCTTGGCCCTGCAGTTACAGAGCACTGTGACACATAACAGGCTACTGCACCCAGGAGATGTGATTTTTTGGGGGGTTCTGCCAACATAGTAACATACCACTTGGCTCAGCACCTGGGTGATGTTTCTTCACTTTTCATTGTGTCCTGACCACAGGGAGCTTGGGACATATTCCTGGGTACAGCACCAAGGTGAGGGCACTCTTTAGCCTTCTTACTGCAGTTAATGGTCATTGTGACATAATCTAGGCCAATTTCCTAGATGAAGTGAGTCTTCTCTCATGCCAAAGTCCTTCCCACAGAGGGCTTTTTAAAAATATATCACTGAAACCAGCATCCAAGTGATCTGACAATTCTGCAAGCGTTTTGCCCACCAGGTGGATTGCAACATCTCACTGGACCTGCACCCATGTAGGTGATGTGAGTTTCTTGCCTTCTTTCTGGCCACAGGTGATATTGTGTCATATACCTGAGACCAAAACAAAAGCCTAATAACAACTCATATGTTTGGAGCCAGGACATGTGCAGGATGGTGACTGTAATTCCTAAATCTTTCCACAAGTGAAATTGTGACACATACCTTTGTCCAGCTCCAGAGAGATTTAATAATTCTTCCTAGGTATAGCCCACAAATCAGATTTTGACAAATACCTGGCCAAGTAACTTGATGATTTTACCGTGCTATTTTAACAATGGCCTCAGGAGGGATTGTATCATATTTCTGAACACATCATCTAGGTTACATGATTCTCCTCTCCTGCCTGTACCCTGCTTACTTTGGTAATTGTAGCATTTCTAAACACTGCATCTAAATGATACGACTCTCTTTCCTGGGCCCTGTCAACAGGAGGCATTTTGACATATTTTGGGGCCTATCATTTAGGTGATATTACTCTCCTCTTCTTCCTGGACACTACCCACAAGGGACATTGTGCCACAGAGCTGGACCCAGCACACAAGTCATGTGGCATTTCTGACAGGACCCTGTCTACAAAGATAATATTGAAATATTTCAGGCCCAGAATTTAGGTGATGAGGCTGTTCTGCCTGCTTCATAACCACTCATGGAATTGTAACATATACCTACGCAAGGCTCGCAGGAATGATAACGACTCTTAGATGTGAACTCAGCAAATAGAGAATATTTAGGCTCTTATAACTAGGTGTAGGGACATGTGTGATATCATGGATCACATTCTTGTACAAACATCACAAAAGATTACAACATTGACACATACTTTTATAGAGTCTTTGGGTTATACAAGCAGAACCAATGTAGCACTCAGCACACAGGTGAAATTGTGAGTCCTGTATGCAAACCCAGCTGACAGAAATAACTGTCATCATCCCACATGGTTGCAGCCAACTGTCACACGTAAAAACAGGACATGTGTGGTATCATAAAACTCACCTTTGACATTTTCTGACAGTGTGATTGTGATATACATATTTGCCAAGCACCTGTGTAGTTGGACTTTCCAGAATGGTCCCAGTTTATATATGAAATTGTGATATCTAGCTGGGTCAGCCTCAAGGGGATATGACTGCCATGCCTGGGCTCTTCTCTCAGTAAGTGTTGTGACAGATCACTGGATCTAGCAGCCAGGTGATGTTACATTCTTGCCTGTGCCATGTCCACAAAAATTACTGTGACATATTCCTGTGTCCACCTCATAGGTGATGTAACTCTCTTCTTTGGAATGGGCCCTGCCCGAAGGAAGGATAGTGACATATTGCAATGCCAGTCACACAGGTGAGGGTATTCTTTTGCCAGAGCCATGCTGAAAGTAGGGCACTGTGACATATCTCTAGGCCTGTCACCTAAGTTATGTGGCTCTCCGGCTTGGGCCCTGCCAACCTGGAGAGTGACATATTTCTAGGCCAGGCACACAGGTGAGGGTACTCTTTAGCCAGGGCTGTGCTTCATAGAGGACACTGTGACACGTCTCTTCAGCTATCACCTGGTTGAAGTGACTCCCTCTCTGGGATCTACTCACATGGAGCATTGTGGAATAAGCAGAGAATTTGTACCTCATTTATGTAACTCCCTTTCCTGGATGATATCCTAAGACAGCCTTGTGACATATCTCAGGACCCAGCACCCAAGGGACGTGGCTCCTCTACCTTGTTTCTGCTTACATGTTACATTATGCATATTTGAAGGGAAGCACCCAGGTGATATGACTTTCCTCGTCTCAATGAGCCCTGCCTACTGGAAACATTTGGACATATTTCTGAGCCCATGATCTAAAAATGTGACTCTATTTTTCTGCCTGGGGCTTCACATTAAGAGGATTTTGGCACATTGCTGATCCCAGCACGCAGAATATGTGACTCTCCTCTTGTTCCCGAGCCATGCCCACAAAAAAAGAATTTGGACCTATTGCAGGGCCCAGCATCCCGATGATGTTACTCACCTGCCTGGGTTTTGCACAAAGAAGAAACTATGGCATATTGCATATTGATAAGCCCAGCATCCTTATGATGTGACTCTCCGGCCTGTGTTGGAGCCACTGAAGGTATTTTGACATATCTTCAGCCCATAATGCAGATGTTTTGGCTCTCCTAACTTGGCTGGGTATTTTCTACATGTGAGATGTTGTCATATTGCTGGCTCCAACACCCGGTTATTGTGACCTAATATCCCCTATACCCTGCCTGAAGAAGGCAATTTGACATATTGCCTGGCACACCATATAAGTGATGTTTCCCTCCTGCATACTTATTTGGCCACATATGGGATTATGACATATATCTTGCTTTTAGTTCACAGGCATGATGATCAAACTTATTTTGGGATTCAGCCAATAGGAGATATTTTACCTCTCATCATTAGGCTTAGGGCAATAGGTAAGTTCCTGGGTTACATATTTCTACCAAGGTCATAGAAGCTTAACACTGAGTTATATTTTTTCAAACTCTTTGGTGGTAGAATGTTTCATAACAGGGCCCAGCAAAAAGTTCAGATTGAGACTCCTGGTTACACACCCAGGTGAAATCAAAAGTTGTCATCATCCAACGTTTACAATGTCCAAGGTTGAGGTCCTGAGTCTAACAGGGAATACAGCACAAAGTTGGAGGTTTGACTTTTATATGTTAATCTGACAAAAGTTGGGATGGTGACTCATTTCTGGACCCAGCCCACTGGCATAATAATGGGTCTTCCTCCCTAACCCTGCCTATAGGGAGATGATGACTATCAAACCTGAGTTTAGGGCCATATGTAAGATTGTGAGTCCATAGGAGCATGTAGTCCTCAGAGAGCTTTGCAATTCTTATGCAGGTTTATAAAACCCTCAGCTCCTGTAGACAGTGTTGTATATTGGCCCAGCACACATGTGAAATTGTGACGCTAATATACATATTCAGGTAAAAGTTAAAACTGTCACTCTCAAAGATGAGGAGATTGTGTCATACGACTGGACATAGTATGCAGGTGTTGAGACTTTTTGGCTCATATTCCTTTCCATGGGTTTATTGTTACATGTCAATGGGACAGAATCATAATAACTTGACTCTTCTGCCTGGGCCCTGTCAACAGGGGATATTATTACATATTTCTGGTCTTTTCGGCTAGGTGATGTGTCTCTCCAGCCTGTGTCCCGCACCCAGAGGACATTTTGAAATATCACTCTGCTCTCCTGCCTGGGTCTTGCTTATTGAAATGTAACTCCGCTCTCTTGCCTGGGTCTTGCTTATTGAAGGAATTGCGACATATGGCTGAATGCAAAACCTAGGTGATGTCTCTCCTGTCTATTCAAGAGTTTATATCTGTGCTGAATTTTGTTTCATGACTTTGGTGTTCTACCATTATACCGGCAGCACAATCCTTTGATTAATGTAGGTTTGCTTTGTGTTTGGAAATTGTTATGTGTAATGCTTCCTATATATATTTTTAAGATTGTCAGGCTTTTCACGGTTTATTGGAATCTCAAGTAATTTTGTGGAGTTTTGTCTATTTTTGGAAAAGTAAAATTAAAAATTGAAAAGGAGTGTGTTGCCGGTGTGCTTCACTTTAAGCAGTATGGACATCTTCATAATATTTTATCTTCCAACCCTTGAAAAACAGCATGCTTAAAAGTGCGTTGTTTTCTGGGCATGGTAGCTCATACCTCTAATCCCAGAACTTTTGGAGGCCAAGTAGGGCTTGAACCAAGGAGGTGGAGATTGCAGTGGAGCTGAGATTGTGCCACTGGACTCCAACCTAGCTCCGGAGTGCCAGAGTGAGAGTCCATCTCAAAAGAAAAAAAAAAAAAAACTGTGTTGCTTAATTTTTATATTTTTGGAGTTTTTCTGCTTTTCTTTTGTTACTAAATTCTAGTTCCATTCCGTCTGGGCTATAAATAATTTTCTGTAAAATTTCAACTGAAAAATAATTAAGACTTCTTTTGTGGTGTCACATGTGGTCCATCTAGGAAAATGTTTTATGTGCTATTGAAAAGAAAGTCTATTCTGTTGTCTCTATACATTTCTTAGGTGTAGTTGTTGTACAGTACATTCAAGTTTTTGTTCCCTCATTGATATTCTGTCTTGCTTTATTTATTACTGAAAGTGGGGTATTGATATATACTTCCACTATCTCATTGCTGCCTGCCTATTTTTGATTCAATTCTGTCAATGTTTGATTTATGTGTTTGGAATAACTGTCCTGCATTTATAGGTTCTCAGTGAATGAACCCTCTTACTGCATTTGAATGTCCTACTTTGTCCCTTGTGAATTTTAACATAAAATAAATTATATAAATATAACAGTTTTCAACTTAATAAATTGTTACCTCTTCTCCTCTCATTTGATTAACACTTGCATGGAATGTATTTTTATACTGCCATTTTCAGTCTAATTTTTATTAGATCTGAAATGAGTCTCTTAAAGGCATGACATAGTTACATCCTGATATAGACTACAACATAGCCACATTTTTTTTTTTCATTTGGAAAGATAATTTTGCAGGCTATAGTATTCTTTATTAGGCTATTTATTTCAGTGTTTTAACTATGTCATCTTATTCCCTTCATGCCCAAAAGATTGACATTCATAAATTTACTGGTAATCTTGCAGAAGCATACATATGAATAACACATCTATTTTTTATTTCTGAATTCCAGATTCTCTTCTTTTCTCTGACTTTCAAAACATTGCTTATGTTTTGTCTTGTTAGAAATCTCTTTGTGTTAACCTTAGTTGAAATTGTCTGAGCTTCTTGAGTTTCTTAAAATTTTTTACTGATGTTGAACTGCATATTAGTCTTTTTTTGTGCTTCTACTGCACAATTTTCATTCCTTTTTGTGACTTTTATCTTTTGTTGGTTTCATTTATTTATTTTTATGTTTTTTTCTTTATTTCTATTTTACTGATTAAGCATCATTGACACGGTGATTTTCACTTTTTAGCACTTTTTTTTTTTCTTTTTAAAAATAGATCTAAACTAACCCAAATCGCCTCTGGTAATTTTTATATTACCATTTATATCTCCATTTTTTATAACTGATTTCTGGATATTTCACCATGTTGACCTGGCTGGTCTTGAACTTCTTACCTCAGCTGATCCACCCACCTCAGCCTCCCAAATAGCTAGAATTACAGGTGTGATCCAATACTCCCAGCCGTTCCCCATATTTCTCACTGAGATCCTGCAGTCAGCTGGATACCCATAGTCTGCCTATGATACTGAAGTCTTTCTTTTTTTGTAACAGTTATTTGTCTTTAGTCTCAGTCAAAGTATACCATCTTTCCTTTCAACACTGTCTTGGAATGTAGGAATTTGTCTTTGGTAAAAACTCAAAAAGCCAGAAGCATGGACATGTCACTGTTTTATTTATTTTTGAAGGGGTAAGACAGGAGTTGTCAGTCTCTACACTTTTCATAGGATAAAATATGTGTGTAGTGGGTAAATATGAAATACTTTTATTACACTCCTATGTGGTTCTTGGCATTTTGCTCACTTGGTGCTGCAAATGCTTAACTGAGTCTTGGACTTCTCACAAAGGCATTTTGGTAAGTATATTATGTTAAACTTATATGTTTATAAAGGAATTAGGCCCTGTGGTATTTTATTGTCACCTTGTTAATGTGCTTTGTATAATTACACATTTGTCAAGTGTATTCACCTGAGTCGAATGAGGGAGAAATTTTGTCTTTTTTTGTTTGTTTGTTTCAGCTGGGCTGTTTTCATTTTACTACAGAGATATGGATGGAGCACAAAATAAAAGATTCATTCCAAAAAGTGACTGATAAAATATGAAAGCTGTGACTTTAATAACTTACTTTTAAAGAAACACTACCAAAGTGTGGGTTATTGCAAGGGCAGAAAAGCAGTTTTAATGGCTTTCCTCAATGTCTGTCATCTACTCATAGCAAAACAAATGTGGCAAACCTTTTGAGTTGTGCTCAAACTTCAGTGAACATAAAAAAAAAATTAGTGGGAGAAATGCTACAAGTATGAAGAACGTGGCAAAGACTGTACATTGTTCTCACATTTTACTATAAAAAAGGAAATTCCTATTGCAGAGAGATGACACAAATGTGAAGAATGTGGCAAAGCCTTTAAAAAGTTATCAAGTCTTACTGAACATAAGAAAGTTTATCCTGGAGAGAAATCTTACAAATATAAAGAATGTGGCAAACCTTCACCTGCTCCTAAACCTTCATTAAACACAAGATAAATCATGCTGGAGACACATCCTAAAAACGCGTGGAACGTGGCAAAGCCTTTAAGTGCTTCTCAGACCTTACTAATCATAAGAGAATTCACACTGGAGAGAAACCCTACAAATGTGAAAAATGCGGCCAAACATTGAGCTCATTCTCACACCTCATTAGACATAAGAAAATTCATACTACAGAGAAAGTCCACAAGTGATAAAAATGTGGAAAAGCCTTTAACAAATCCTCATGTCGTGTTCCACATCAGAGATTTAATACTGAATGAATGCAATATAAGGGTAACGACTGATGAAGACCATTTACTTAACATCTTGGAGGGTCTCTAAGAACTTGGTTTATAATCTGTATGTGTCTGTATTGGGTGCATATATAGCACTTTACTCTTATGTAATGTTCTTTTTTGTCTTTTTAAAAAAATCTATGTTGACTTAAAAGTCTGTTTTGCTAGAAACTATAATCTCAACGGCTGCTTTTTTCCTGTTTTCTATTTGCTTGGTAGATTTTTCTTTTTCAATTTATTGTTATCTTATTTTAGATGGGTGTCTCAGTTACAGCATACCCTTGGATATTAACTCTGCATGCAATTTGCCACTCTGTTTTTTAACTGGGATATTTAGCCCATTTACATTTAAAGTTAGCATTTTTATGCGTGGATTTGATTCTGTCCCTGTGATCTTAGCTGGCTAATTTTCACATTTATGTAGTTGCTTTATAGTGCCAGCTGTTTATGTACTTTAGTGGGTTTTTTGGGGGTTTGTTTTGTTTTGTTTTGTTTTTGTTTTGTTTTTATTTTGTTTGTAGTGACTTGTAATAGTCTCTTATTTACTGCTTTCTTCAGAAGCTCTTGTAAGGCCGGTCTTGTGGTAACAGAGTTCCTCAGCGTTGGCTTATCTGAATAGGATTATATTTATTTTTTACTTCTGTAGCTTGCTTTGGTAAGATATAGAATTCTTGTTGTGAGAAGTCAGGGACTCTGAATGAAGGCACCTGCTGAAGCCATGGCAGAAGAACATAAATTGTGAAGATTTCATGGACATTTGTCAGTTCTCCAAATGAATACTTTTATAATTTCTTATGCCTGTCTTTACTGCAATCTCTGAACATAAATTGGGAAGATTTCATGGACATTTATCACTTCCTCAATCAATACTCTCATAATTTCCAATGCCTGTCTTTACTTTAATCTCTTAATCCTTTCATCTTCATAAGCTGAGGATGTACGTCGCCTCAGGACCCTGTGATGATTGCGTTATCTGCACAAATTGTTTGTAAAGCATGTGTGTTTGAACAATATGACATCTGGGCACCCTGAAAAAGAACAGGATAACAGCGATGTTCAGGGAACAAGGGACACAGCCATGAGGTCTGACTGCCTACGGGGCCAGGCAGAACAGAATCATACTTCTCTTCTTGCAGGAAGTGAATAGGAGAAATATCCTTGAATTCTTTTCTCAGCAAGGAATAGCCCTGGGAAAAAAAGGCATTCCCAGGGGGAGTTCTCTAACATGGCTGCTCTGGGAGTGTCTGTCTTATGCAGTTGAAGATAAGGGATGAAATACTTCCTGGTCTCCTGCAGTGCCCTCAGGCTTGCTAGGATTAGGAAATTCCAGCCTGGCAAATTCTAGTCAGATCCGTTGTCTGCTCTCAAACCCTGTTTCCTGTTAAGATGTTTATCAATGATAGTGCATGCCCATTGGGACATGGACCTTCATCAGTAATTCTAATTTCACCTTTGCCTTGTGATCTTGCTCTGCCCCCTTGCCTTGTGATCTTTTATTGCCCTATGAAGCATGTGAACCCTGTGACCCACTCCCTATTCATACACCCCTCCCTTTTTGAGATCCCTAATAAAAACTTCCTGGTTTTGTGGCTCAGGTGGACATCACAGAACCTGCTGACATGTGATGTCACTCCGAGAGGCCCAGCTGTAAAATTTCCCTTTTTTTTTTTTTTTTTTTTTTACTCTTTCCCTTTATTTCTCAGACCAGCCAACACTTAGGGAAAATAGAAAAGAACCTATGTTGAAATATTCGGGGCCGGTTCCTCTGAAAATTCTTGTTTGGAATTCTTTTTTTTTAAAGAATGTAGAATATTGGCCCCTAGTCTCTTTTGAGTTGTAGGATTTCAGCTGAAAGGTTTGTTGTTTGTCTGATGGTCTTCTTTTACAGGTGGCCTGGCCTTTCACTCTAACTGCCTTTAACACATTTTTTTCTTTCATTTTGACCTTGGAGAATCTCACGATTTCGTGTCTTGAGGGTGACCTTCTTGTAGGGTATCTTACTGGGGTTCTCCACATTTCCTTCATTTGAATGTTGACCTCTCTGTCTAGGCTGGAAAAATTCTCATGGATGATATCTGGAAATAGGTATTTCAAGTTGTTTTCATTCTTCCCATCAATTTCAGATGTTCTTTTTAATCATAGATTTGGTTTCATTACATAATCCTGTATTTCTTAGAGACTTTGGTTCATTTCTCTGTATTCTTTTTTCACTATTCTTGTCTGTCTTATTTCAGAAAGCCAGTCTTGAAGTTCTGAGATTCTTTCCTCTGCTTGGCCTATTCTGTTGTTAAGACTTTTGATTACATTATAAAGTTTTGTATTGTGTTTTTCAGCTCTATCAGGTTGACCACATTTTCCTCCTGATTGGCTGTTTTTTCCATTAATTCCTGCAATTTTTTCCTTTTATTGCATTGGGTTGCAACTTACATTTGTAGCTCAATGAAGTTTATTTCTATCCATATTCTGAATTCTACTTCTGTCATCTTAGGCCTTGCTGAAATGACCAAATTACATAATTTGGTCATTTGGATGAAAGAAGTCACTGTGGTTTTTTGTGTTTTCAACATTTTTGCACGGATTTTGTCAAATCTTTGTGGGCATATCTTTGAGGTTGCTGACATTTGAATGGAGTTTTTTTTTTTTTTTTTTAATCCTATTCAATGGCCTGTAATATCCAATTGTGGTATAAAGTAGATTGAGCCTACGGGCTTTGTTCCTGGGAATTTTTTTTTTTTTTTTTTTTTTTTTTTTTTGGTGGCAGGGAGACAATGCTCAGCTCACAACTCAGAGGCTGCATACTCTGGGGCAGTTGTATTTGTTTCCAACCATCTTCTCTGGCTCCTTGATATTTCAAGTCCATCACTTTGTAGGACTAGCATGCCGCAGCTGCAGCAAAGTGGTAGTGGATATGGGTTTTCTGCCTGCCTCTGGGCATTTACCTTAGTGGCAGGAGCAAAGAAGTTGGGAGGTGACTGAGGACGTAACTGCTGGACACTGTGTGTGCTGTTGCGCTAATAATGGTTGGTTGTGTTAGCTTGGTGCAGGAAGCTGGCCAGTGAATGTTTGATGCCTTCTTTGTGCCCCACCAATAAAGAAGTGATTGTTCAGAGTGTGGGAGAATACACAGTTCTCTGCACAGTGTTAACACAAAGGCAGAGTTGTGCCTTTCTGGCTCTCTGCCCACCAAAGCTTCATCTACAGTAGAAGCTGCTGTGGGTGGCAGGGGAATACTGCATTCTTATTTGCTGATGGATCAAGCAAAGTCCAACCCACCTTTGCAGACATGTGCCACCAAAGTAATATCAGGAGTTGCCATGGTCTCTGGAGAAGCTGCAGTATGGGGAACATACCTGTGTGCTGGTGCAGCCACAGGGGCTGCTTTGCTGGAGCAGTTAGGGCTCAGGCATCGTCCACCAATGCAGATGCCATGGTATGGTAAACTACTCTTCCAGAGGAGCTGAGACTGCCCTGTAAGTGGCTGCAGCCAGACTGGGACCCTGGGAGAGACCAGCAGACCAAGGAGTGCTCAGTTGGAGACGCTTCTTCTCATTTGCAAGACTATCCTGCAGAAATTAGGTCCAACAGGTTCTCTAGGGCTAAAGTCTCTTATGAGAGAAAGTTTAGCCTAGAGAAATGGCCATCACTGGCCACACTTTCCTACAGATGCTTTTGTGCCAAACCCACTGGACACCACATAAGCTGGCTTGCTGGCCCACCTCTTTGCTTCTCTTCTGGGGGGCTGCATCTCAGAGAGATGTAGGTCAGCAATCCCTCAGTGCAGTCAGCCCAGGATGGAGGAGCTCTGCTTTTGGCCAAGTAGAGGTTCACTGTCTGGTGAGGAGCAGTGAGGAGTGTGTGAAACCCAAGGAGGATGGACTGGCCTCTTCTCCTTGGGTAAACTGCAGCTTGTTTAAGGTGTGAATAACGCACTTAAGTTTTTGGACTGTTCATTAGCCTGAGGGAAGCAAGGACAGTTCTACTGCAGGGGCAGTGGCAGAAGTATTTTCAATTGCTGCTGGAGTCTCTGTCCAGGGAATTGCTAACTTGCTACTGGCTCAATAACTCTGGGAATGATTGGCTAGTGGGCCAGTCCTGGAGAACCTTCCCAAAGAGAATATAGGAGAACAGGCCCTTACGTAACAATCTGGCCACTTTCTGAAGGGCTGTTGGATTATCCTGAGTGTCCATTGCAGTTTCTAGTCATCTCCAATTTTCCAGTATCTGAAGTTATCACCAGTAAATGCTGCAAAACAACAACAATGGCAACATGCCCTTTTCTCTGGGAGCCCTGTCCCAGGGAGGTTAGACCTGTTTCCAGCACAAAAGCACATATAGGAGGTAGCTAAAAATCTCAGTTGAAAGATCTTACCCAGTGAGGGTGACATAATTGGGGACCCACTTGAAAAGCAATCTAGCCACATT